>NC_000011.10:77419332-77722362 GCF_000001405.40 Homo sapiens
TTTCATTTAAATAGTCCTCTGGTTTTCAAAGTAAATAATTAACAAATTATTCTTATAAGTCATGGACCTTGGCCAGCAATGTTTTGTCTCTGTAGTCATCTTAAGCCTAACCAGGCCTTTTTAAGTCACTTATCTCTCCTCTGTAGGCATATGAGTTTGCAACTCCTGCTAACTCTATTATAAAAGCAAATGATCAATAATCATTCAAAAATTTGGTTTTGTTTGGAGACTACAGCTTTCAATCTAATAGCTTATAACTGATGACTAGTGTGATTGAAGTGCCTAAAGGATTTGAAAATGATTATTTTTACTGGGTTCTTTTGCAACCACAAATAACTTTTAAAACAATATGTGTACTAAGTGGAAATTATAAATCTCCTGACACAACCAGTTAAATGTACAAGGAAATCAGTCAACAATGATGATGTTGGATTTAAAACAACATCTGAGATGAAATTTTTTCTTGTAGTAATTAGATGGTGAGGCCAATTGCCTGTTAAGGTCACTTACTGTGGAGTATACTTTCAGTAATGATGATCTAGAGCATCTTAGATCTAGATATGAGGTGGAGTATAAAATAAATAATAATAGTAGCTTACAAAAACACTATAAGTAAAGAAACAAGCAAAAGAAAGATGGAAACGAAAAAAGATATTAATAAATCTATTTAGTGGCAGTCAGTCATAAGTCAAAGCAACCAGTCATAAGTCAAAGTATACTTGAATTTCAAAAAAGGCAAAGAAGTGCAGAGAAGGGAGACATTAATTACACCTGCAGAACTAGGAAAAGGTTCATGGAAGAGGCAGTATTTGGGTTGGTATTGAAGAAGGAGTAAATTTTTCATAGAGCTACTGAGATTTCCCTTGAGTGAATCACAAAAACAAAGGCCCAAAGGAGAAAAAAGTATGAACGGTTTAGGAAACAGTAAATAACTTGGTCCTTCTTGGAAATAGTAAATAATCTCATCATTCATTCACCACTTATTGAACATATTCTACATGCCAGACACAATGTTCGTCACTATGGATGCAAAGATGACATGACCTAGTTCTTACCCTCAAAAAGAAAAGCATTTTTAAAGACAATAGGAGACAAAGCTGTGCCACTGACTGTCAGACTTAACAAGTCAAAACTCTGTTCCTCCTTCAGGTGTTTCCTCCCCCATCCCTCAATAAATGGCAATTCTACTCTTTCAGTTGCTAAGCCAAAAATCTGATTCATTTTTTACTCCACTTTTTGTCTATCAGCCCCCACAAGCATCCATCAGCAAATTGTATCAACTATACCTTCAAAACAGATCTACGGTCCAACCACTTCTCATCACCTTTACTGTTATCACCTTGGTCCAAACCATCAGCAACTTTTGTGTACAACAGTGGATCTCAATAGTGGGGTGAAGAGGAGTTAGGGAGGGCAGGACAGATTTGCTCTGCTCCCCAGGGGATATTTGGCAATGTCAAGGGAAATTTTGGATTAAAACAACTGGGTAAGTGCTACTGGCATTTAGTAAGTGGGAGCCAGGGATACTATTAAACATCCTAGAATGCATAGTATAGCCCCTCATAACAAAGAATTATCCTGCCCAAAATGTCAATAGCGCCACTGTTGGGAAACTCTGACCTAGAATATTACAACATCCTTTTTAACTGATCCATTCTTGCCTCCCAGGGTGATCTATTTAAAACATGTCTCAGATCACATCACTCTCTTCTGCTTAAAATCTTCCTGTGGCTTCCCCAATCTCAATGTAAAAGCCAAAGTCCTTAGAAAAACATACAAGGCCTTATATGATCTTACCTTCCTCTACCTCCTCCCCTCATCTCACCCTGCTACTTCACTGACCTTATCTCCGACTTTTCCCCACTTCACTCACTCTGCTCCAGGCACCAAGGCTTTCTCCGACAGGCTATATACACTCTCTCCTCCAGGCCTTCATACCCTATGGTGACTATGCCTGAAAACACATTTCCCCTCAGATAACCATATGGCTTATTCCCTGTCTTCCTTCAAGTCTCTGCTGAAATATCACTTTATCAGATAATTCTTCCCTAACCAATCTTTATAAAATGATTTAAAAATCCCCCTCTACTCTATATCAGCACCCTTTATTCCACCCTATCCTGCTTTATTTGTATCCTGGCACTTATCATCAACTGACATTTATTTGCCTATTGGCTGGCTCCCTCCAATGGAACATATGCTCCACAAAGGCAAAGACTTTGTCTTTATCTCCAGACCTCAGAACTATTCCTTGCAAACAGTGGGTGACAGATAAGTAATGGCTGAATGAAGGAATGAATGAATAAATGGAGCTAGAAAGACCAGTCAGAAAAAAAGCTACAGAGAATCCTGAAGGCTAAGAAAGGAATGTGGATGCAGTCTTAGAGTGGCCTAAAGTAATTGTCCAAGAGTTCTCTCATCATGTCATACAAAACACCTTTTGCCCTCCCAACCAAAAAGAGAGACAGGGGAAGGGAGGAAGAAATGGAGAATTCTATAAGAACATTATAATAATCAGAGGTATCTAATAATGAAATGCACAATCTCTGAGGTATTAACATTGCCAATCAACCCCTCAGCAGAGAAGATACAGCAACAAGTTACTGCATAATCCCATAAGTTTTCCTCCCTTTGCTTATCCTTTAGGACCCAGCTTAAATGTCACCACTTCTATGAAGGCTTCCTATAATCCCTCAAACAGATTTAATGACTCCTAAATATGGCCCTCAGAGAAGTCCCAAACACTTATCCAATTTACTGAAAGTATTTGATAGTATTTATTTTTACCTCTAGACTGGAAAGGTAGTATATATCTCCTCATTTGCTACTATATCTCCAGCCCAAAATGAGGTAGCTCCAATAAAACACAGGCACCAGCACACATTTTTATAAAATCATACAGGGTACAAATACATTTCTTAAAACCATATTAAAAAGTCACTAAAGGCAGGGCACAGTGGCTCACACCTGTAATCCCAGCACTCTGGGGAGGCTGAAGCGGGTGAATCACCCGGGGTCAAGAGTTTGAGACCAGCCCGGCTAACATGGTGAAATCCCATCGCTACTAAAAATACAAAACTTAGCCAGGCATGGTGGCAGGCACCTGTAATCTTGGGAGGCTGAGGCAGGGAGAAATCACTTGAACCCAGGAGGCGGAGGTTGCAGTAAGCCGAGATCGCGCCATTGGACTCCAGCCTGGGCAACAGAGGGAGACACCGTCTCAAAAAAAAAAAAAAGTCACTAAAATCCAATGACTTTCAAATCCCTAATCAATATCCATTCATCCCTTCATCCTTGCCAATTTTGCCAACCCTAATTTTATCCAGGAAAGTAATGAGACAATTAAACACTCATTTTTCCAGCCTCCTTTAAAGTTGGGCATGTGCATGTGACAAAGTTCTAGTCAGTAAGTTTCTAAGGATTCTGGGGAAATGGTTGCTTTAATTATAAAATAGAACACAGGCAGAGTGCTAATTCTGCCTTTCCGCCCCTTTCTTCTTTTCTCAAACATTCTTTCTGGAGCTACAGTAGCCTAGTAACCTTGAGGTCATAAGTACAAGAGTGAAAAGCACACACTCAGTGGCTGGCAGAGTGGCAGAGTAGAAAAGGCTGGCAGAGTAGAAAAACAGAAAGAGCCTGGGTTCTAAATGGCATTGTATCCCACCCTATACAAGCAACCAATGCCCTCCCTCCAGAAAATTAATTCCTATATTTTAAATCACTGTTTTCTACTACTTACAGCTGAAAATATTTCTAATTGATACAAACAAGAAGCATACTAGAGAATCAAGAAAAAGATGCTTCTTACTAGTCTGAAACATTGATTCCTTATTAGCCACTGGTCTCTAACCATAAATAAATTCCTCTTATTAGCAGAAGAATGAAAAAGATCTGAGCAAATTAAGACAATACTAGATAGATATGAAAGGAAGACTGAGAATATTCTTCACAATTTGATATATTCCCAATAAGGCAGGCAATCACTCTTTCCAAGTTCTTTAAAAAAAAAAAAAACAGAATAAGAATATAACCTGTCTACTTCAAAAATGGCTTTCAAGTTGCTTTCAAATACACACACACACACACACACACACACACACACACACACACCCCTTAGGACAATAGTAATCATCAGTGGAATACAGGTAATAAAGTAGGAGACAATTAAAACATAGTACCAACACTCCATGCTTTGCAATTCATGACCAAATTTTGCTCTGAGCATCCTGGAAGCCAAAACCAAAATTTAAGAAAAAAGGGTGAAACTCAAACTAATACTCACTGTCTCATTAAGGAAACATTTCAGTGTTGTTAAGGGACAACCATTATTAGTTAAAGTAGGGGTTGGAAAATTCTGCAAAAGGCCAAATAGTAAATATTTTAGGCTTTGCAGGCCCTATCACCTCTGTCTCAATAACTCAACTCTGCCTTTGTAGCACAAAAGCAGCCACTGACAATATGTAAATGAATGTGTGTAGCTATGTTTCAACAAAACTTTATTTACAAAAACAGGCAATGGGGCCAGATTTGCCCCACAGGCTGTAGTCTGATGACCTCTGACTCAAAGGATTCTTAGATGTAAGCATCAGACTCTGAGTCTGGTGAAAATCAATTTAAAATCTGAGTCTAGTGAAAATCAATGTACTGAAAGAATATTGGGGGCTCACAAAATTTGGTGAAGGTTGGAAAAATAGGCTTAAGGCTAAACTTCCAGAATAAAGCACAAAGTTACACTGCAGAACTAGTCCAATGAGGAAACCACTGCAGCTACTTCTCATCATTACATGCTAGAATGGGTACCACCGTCACTTCTGGATCAAGAATTCAACCTCTGTGCAGCAATCACAAACAACAATGCCACTTCAGTGCCAGGAACCCAACCTTGCAGGGGATGCTACTGCCTCTGCCATCAGAAAAAGAAAGTTAGTTTCCCGTTACCTCCTCTCTCAAGTCTTTAAGTGCTAAATCCAAGTGTGGTCTGGGCATATCGGATTGGTGAAACCTAGGTCACTGCCTATGCCCCAGAAGCAAGGAAGCTTGGGAAGCAAGTATCTAAATTATCTCCTTTAGGGAACTGCATATTTGCCCCTAATGAGACTCATAAAATGGGGAACACAAAATACTGTACAGTAAAAACAAATGTTCCACTATAAAATCTTATAACTAACACTAACTAAAAATGTTCTATCTCTTCAAAAAGGGGACAAAATACAAAGTCTTATCAGTTACTACACTCCAGCATTAAATTCTGAGGAATGTTTCTCTTATTTGTAGGTGCTTTAAGTACCAGGTACTATTTAAATCCTGGTGCCTTTCTTCAAGCTATTACCATTGCATAGAACACACTTATCTCCCATTATTCCCTTCTGTTTCCTCCAAAACTTCTAATCTTCAGGTGTCCTCTCCTCTAACTTGCCATCTCTGATGCAGTCCTTACCCAACGGCTTGAGTAGGTCCTCCACCTTTAAGATCTTAGAGTACCTCATAAAAATGCTTATCACTTACCACAGATGTCTTGTATCTCCAGCCAGACTATATGTCCCCTTGTTTACGAAATGCTTCATTCATCTCTGTTCCCTCAGTACTTCATACAAAGCCTAGCACATACAAAGCTCTCAATAATTACATCTACTGAACCCAAACAAATATAAAAAATAAAAACATTACATATCTTTGGCTCAGCCGCCCAATTTCTCTTTGTCTTGTCCTGATTCATTTTATTCCCCAGGATACATACTTGTTTGCAAGGCTGTTTTAAATATCTAAAATGCTGCAGGAGCACAAGTGGCTTTTTTTTAAGTGATAATAAATAAGTCCTTTATAAACTCAAAAGTGGCTGAGGTCCACTGTGTCATCAAAGTAGAAGACAATTTTAATAGGCATACACATCCCATTTTAAGGACTCCTGGATTCCAAAAACTTCAGACACAGGCTTTTGCTTTTTTTTTTTTTAATATAAAATCTCAATCTACTAAAATCTTTCTTCTCACTTTAATTAAGTTTGGACTCCAACTATGGTGTTCTACTCGGTCAGCCAAGGTTTCTAGAAAAGAGGCACCTTCTGTAAGAATTGACAGTTGTAAAAAGCTGCATTTATGTGGCAACTAATAAAGCACATTCATATCCATTATCCAATTAATTCTTACATACCCTCCTTTGAGATTTCTCCTCAGAAGCAATGCCCAGCCCCACGGCTATCTCTGTGGCACCCTCCTGGACCACTCCCACCACAGCCACCATTATCTTCTGCCACATACACATTTGTTATAACTCTTTTCACTTAAACTAATTATCTGTATCTCTTATCCTTAGTGAAATATAAACAGCTTGACAGAAGGGACAAGCCTAGCACCGTGTAAGGCATAGTAAATGCTCGACAATTATTTGCCAAAGTGAGTTAAAAAGAATAATTCATATTTCTGTTTAAATAAGGTAGAAACTGAGTTGACTTTCCCAAATTATCCTAGCTAAAACTACAAAATCAAGATATTCTTAGTGCAGTGGCTTCTGCGTATAATCCTAGCTACTTGGGAGGCTAAGGCAGGGGGATCGCTTGAGCCCACAAGTTCAAGGCTACAGTGGGCTATGATCACATAGCCTGGGTGACAGAGCAAGACCCTGTTTCTGAAAAAGAAAAAATACTCCTGGGTTCAAGGAATCTTCCCACCTCAGCCTCCCAAAGTGCTGGGACTACAAGCTTGAGCCACTGCACCAAGCCCATTCTTGACTTTTCAATTGAAGGCCTCTTTTTTTTTTTTTTTTTTTTTTTACACCACACGGCCCTCTCCTAAGACTTGTTAAGAACAAAAGGAGTCTCAGACTAGGAGTCAGAGGTCTCTGTTTTCAGACAAGCCACTCAACTTCTCTGAGTATCAATTTCCTTATTTGACAAATGGGAACCACCACCACCATCTTTTTTTCTCTGATCACAATATGAAGGTTATATAAGATAATGGAAGTAAACGTAGCTTTAGTGTGAAATTATGGCATATACTAAGCCAGGGACAATGCTTAGGTTGATGACTCCCACCTCCCACTGTTGGTGACAAAGTCAAAACCAGAGTCAACCCTACAAGAATCATATCATTTAACCTAATAACAGCCCTTTAAAAATTGGCTTTATTACCCTCATTTTACAGGTAAGAAAATCGGGGCACAGAGAGCTTAACACTTGCCAAAACTTATAAACCTAGTAAATATCAAGTTCATCACATTCTAAGGAGTTTTCCATGCTGCTCTCCAAACAATTATAGAATAAAAGCTTTCCTTCCTCTTCAGTTTCAATTAGCACCAGGCAGATGGAATAGTGCTAATCTTAAATTGGGAACATTCTACTGTGTCTCAGGCCAAATCAAAATAAGAGTTAGTCTTGTAGGTAAGTATACCTTGATTCAACCCCTGTGGAGGCAAAAATTGAATCTGTATATTAGAAAATATTCTGATCTCAATTTAGAAATTATTTTAATGAGACTGAAAACCTGACAGGAAAAGCAAAAATGAGCAATCTTTAAAAAAAAAAAAAAAAAAAATTCGGTGCTATGATTATGAAACACAAAAGAGCCTAGGCTTTGAAATCAGACAGTTCAATCTCAGGGTAGAAAAGAAAACCTGGACAAAGCCCCGGAAGAATGAATGATCAGAACAAGAAAAGTTCAAGATGCTGCTATGGCTGGAGCAAATGGGGTTGGTAGTGGGATCTAAAGAAATACAGACTCCTATCTTTCTCTTCCCCTCTAGAAACCCCCACATGCTACAAGGAACCTAGCCTGTGATGCTTCCCACACAGCTCCAAAAAGTGCAGACTGGTAAAGTCACTGAGAAAGTCTAAAACCCTCCTTTGCTGACACTTCAGCCTAAGTGTCTCTGCAGAGACAGACTGAGGGTCTCTGCAGGGATAGGCTGTCAGGAGACACATATCACAATGCTGGCCTTCAGACAATTTGGGGCAGGCTTTTTTAGTAGGATGATGTCACTGCTATTATTTGCAGCTTTAAATACCTATATTCCTGTAGCTAGGAATTATTTTATTTAGGATGACAGTGTAGATTTTTTTTTAAAGACATATTTGGAATTTACTAAAGAGGAGAATAGTGTGAATATATCATTTTCTCAGAAAGAGCTCTGGCACAGGGCAGATATCTAGACCCAAGGATGCCAGACTCCAAACCCTTTCTTGTAGTCAGAGCCTCTCAGACCTCAGTGGGACCTGTGAATGGACTTCAAATGAAAGCAACAGATTCACTGCTGTGGTAACTTCACCATCCAAAATTCATTCCCTTGACAAGTTCCATCAGCATTCCCTGAGGGTCTACTAGATGCAATGCCCTGTGTTGAGTGCATTCAAGGAGCAGCCAATGAATCAGAGGCAACAGATATGTAAACAGCTGATTGTGAAAAGAGAGAGAATGAAGTAAATACTCCATCAGAAGTAGAAAAAAAGGGGACTGTTTATGACTATAGAGGTCAGAGAGGTTTCACCAGGTAATTCCTTCCTCTTATTGTTATCTTCCTCACTGTATTCAGGCTCTGACATCCATAGCAGACATCTGAACTAGGACTCTGAGGGATTTTATCAGACAGTGAAGAGAGTTGGCTAAGCCAGACAGAGGAGAGGATAAAGGCAAAAAGCCAGAGGAGTAAATGTACTGGGGTATGTCTAAGGAGTAGCCAGTGGCGATAGTTGGAGTGCACAGTATACCAAGGAACTAATAAGAAATGAGGACGAAAGGTACCTTTGGGTCAGATACTAGAGATCCTTGAATGACAGCCCAAGGAACTTGAAATTTATTCTCTAAGCAAAAGGGAACTATTACAATGTTTTTAAGCAGAGCAGTGGCATGATTTGACTTATATTTTAGAATGATCACTCTTGCAGAAATGTGAAAGGTATAAGAAGATTGAAAGCAAGGAGATCAGTTAGGAGGCTTTGTGTTATAATAGTCTAGTTAAGGCCAGGCGCGGTGGCTCACACCTGTAATCCCAGCACTTTGGGAGACCGAGGCGGGCAGATCACAAGGTCGGGAGATCGAGACCATCCTGGCTAGCGCGGTGAAACCCCGTTGCTACTAAAAATACAAAAAAAGAAAAAAATTAGCTGGGCATGATGGCAGACGCCTGTAGCCCCAGCTACTCGGGAGGCTGAGGCAGGAGAATGGCATGAACCTAGGAGGCGGAGGTTGCAGTGAGCCGAGATTGCACCACTGCACTCCAGCCTGGGCGACAGAACAAGACTCCATCTCAAAAAAAAAAAAAAAAGTCTAGTTAAGAGATGATGAGGGCAGCCCAACACTGTGGTCAGACCTAAGCAGGGTGAGTCCATCAGGAGGGGGAGGAAGAGACAAGTAGTCTAGTGAGGAGAATCAGAGCCCAAGCAGGGTGAAAAGAGCATCCACATTTGGGGCAGGGAGGTGGACTGGTGTGGAATATCATAGTCTAAGTATAGCAAGGAAGGCATCCGTATCAGGAGAGAGGGGTGCCCTGGTGTAGTGTGTCAGAAGCCAACCACAGTTAAGAAAGAGTTGTCATGGAAGAGCACCCTGCTATAGGGTACCAAAGCCCAAGCAAGATAAGGAGGGCATCCACACAGTAGGGAGAGCCTGTGATGGGGGTGTCAGAACCTCATTTCCTCATTATGTCTATGAGAAGGCCTGGGAGCAGCAATGGTCCAATAACAATGAGCATTATCTAGGAACCAGATTTTGGATTCTAAATGCCATTTAATACTAAAAAAAAAAAAAAAAAAAAAAAAAAAAAAAAAAAAAACACACACACACACATCAGGATTCCTTGGCTGGTATAGAGAAAGTACAGGATGAACCTAGAACATCTTATTGGGCTAGAAAGCAAGGAAGTAGTCAAAGAATGATAGGGACATATCAAAAGTTGACAGAAGCCAACTTCTGATTTGGCTCCTACTGGCCAAACCAAAGAGAATTTGAGCACCAAAACAAATGATGCTAGCAATAGATTATTACCCATTAAATAAAATGAGTCCATACTGATATAAATAACTAAATACACTGAAAGTTTGGCAACGAAACGGATATTTACATAGTACTGCCTACAAAATACTTATTAATTATACAAGAGAAAAGAGTAACTTCACAGTGAAGAAGGCTGGTAGACACCACCTTAAGCAAGATGCTGAAATGAACATCAATAGTCATGGGACAAACCAAAACCACTACCATCTAAAAGGATGCAATGAAACGAATACAGCACCAGTTCTGTAATATTTACTACCAAAGAAGCATAACGTAAGACTGGTGATGACATTCTATAAAACACCTGCTTTATCTGATATTCTACAAAATAATTGGCCTGTAATCTTCAGAAGTGTCAAGGTTATCAAAGTTAAGGAAAGACCGAGGACACTAAAAAGATGTAGCTTCTAAATGTAACACGTGATTCTGAACTATATTCTTTTGCTGTAAAAGACAGTCGGACAATTGGCAAAGCTTGAATGGGTATGAGGATTAGATAATAGTAATGTAACAGTGTTTATTTCCTGATTTTGATGGTTGCATTGTACTTACACAACCATCTTATTATGTAGGAAATAATGTGGGGTTGATGGAGGGTCATGTCAGCAACTCATTCTCAAATGACCCAGAAAAACTAAGTTTGATATCGCTTTTTAAATTATTTTAATAAAAACAAAACAGATGATGAAGATCTAGAATACAGCAGTAGCAGTGGGAGTAGAGAAGAAAGATATTTTTCCAGGGTCACACAGTGAAGTTAAAGGTAAGACTGAGACTAGACTCTTTCTGAACCTCATATTTCCTTCCTGCTATATAGGGCTTGTGTGGTGCCAAAGAAAATACTCTTCTAAGAATTAGAAGGTTATGTGTCTCATAGTGATTAAATATTGGGGGTTATAGAAAAAAAAAAGAAGATAACAAATCTTCAAGTGAGTCAGGCTGAGGTTTACAGGACATCGGGTTTTTGGTGAGGAAAAACATATTTCAGACTCCCCCATTTGATGAGAACAAAGTTTAATAACTTCAAATGTTCCTTCAACACTGAGATAATGACCTTGCTATTCGAAGAGTCCTTGTTCCCATTTTGGCCCAGTCCTATGAGTGTCCGAATAACCAGTGACTAAATTAGTCTCAGACCTACTGTCTCCTCCAAAGTCTAGTACTGTTTAGACAGTGGGGACAAGCTGTAGCTGTCAACAAAAGCAAATTTTATCCTTTCTTAAAATGGACCAATGTGACCCACACTATCAAGACCTTTTCAAAACAAGTGGAATAGAGGAAAACATCTCTTTACCAAAGGGCAGAAAAATATAATAGAAAGAATATGGACTCTAGAGTTAGATCCAGTTGTGATTGCTGACTCTTCCCCCTTGGGATGATTATTTAATCTCTTTGAACTGGAATTTCCTCCTCTGTTAAATGGGGACAAATAATTGTTGTAAAGCGTTAGGAAAAGAATCTTTAAAGCACATATCAGAAGTGCCAGAAACACAGTAGGAGCCTAAAATATAGTAACTAATTTCAGGGGTCCCCAACTCCGAAGACCAGTACCATGGCCTGTTAGGAACTGGGCCTCACAGAAGGGGACAAGGGAGCAAAGCTGAGCTCCACCTCCTGTCAGATCAGTGGCAGCATTAGATTCTGATAGGAGCACAAACTCTACTGTGAACTACACATGAGAAGGATCTAGGTTGTGTGTTCCTTATGAGAATCTAATGATAAATGTAATGCATTTGCATCATTCTGAACCACCCCCACCCCCACAAGCTCAGTCCATGGAAAAATTGTCTTCCCTGAAACCAGTCCCTAATGCCAAAAATGTTGGGGACCACTGATTTATTTAGTGCATTTTTGCTACATTATTTGCAAAATTTTGCTAGTATTTACTACATTATCTGCATTATTTTACAACATTTACAAGATAATTTGCATTTCTGCTACATTATGCAACTCTACCTTTTGCAAATAACCAATATATAAAGCTTTGTATGCATCTAGGATATAATTTATGTCTCATATCAACCCTGAGAGATTATGCAATAGAAGTGTTATTCTCTAAGGAACCGAAGTATGAACAGAATGAACTGACCTACCCAATGTTTAACAATGAGTTAAACATATAGCTGAGTCCTGAAAAACATGTACTCCTAATACCCTCTTCAGTGGTCTTTTCCTCTCGTAGGACTTATGTGATGCTAAGGGAAATGGTCTTTCTTAAGAGTTACCCCTTTCACCAGAATGTGGACTGATATGGAAGGCAATCATCTCTCTGAGATGAGAGTGCAGTTAAGGCCAACGAAGAAAGAAGTAAAGCATCTTTCCCCCACTCTGAACCAGAACAGGAAGACTCATCTTTCTAGCTACTTGGAGCTATCAAAATGGCACTCTTCATAAGGACCTAAGTGAAGAAGCCCCACAAAAGCCAAGTAATTTCACAACATGTCATAACTAGAAGGGGTCTTAAATACCAAGTCTAACTTACCCACGTATAGATGGTGAAGCTGATATCTGGAGAAGAGAAAGGATATACCTGAAGTCACAAAAAGTAACAATATGCCAATCCTATAACTGCTGAATGGCCTTAAAATAAGGTCACTCTAAAGTTCATTTGGTAACTGTTTATCACACATCAACACAAGGTACTGTCTTTATCCCACTCTTGTACTCTAAAGTTTAAGCCTGTGTGGGTTTTTTTTGTCTCCTCAATTAACGTGAATAACCCCATCTTACTCATCTGTGTCCTCCCACAAGCTTAAACAGTTGGTGCTCAACAAGTAATTGTAGTATGACATAATGATTCCAGATATGCAAGGTTGTTTTAATATCCAAAAAATCAATTCATTAATACCCCATAATAACACAATAAAGGGAAAAAGCCATAGAATTATCTCTGTTGACACAGAAAAAGCATTTGACAAAATCTGATACCCTCTTACAAAAAAAATACTCAAGAAATGAGGAATAGAAGGCAACTTCCTTAATCTGATAAAGGCATCTATGAAAAACCCACAGTTAATATCATACTAAACTGAATGCTTTCTCCCTAAAATCAGAAACAAGACAAAGATGTCCATTTTTGCCACTTCTATTTAACATTGCACTGAAGGTTCTGGTCAGAGCAATTAGGTGGAAAAAAAAAAGAAATAAAGAAAAGAAAAAGAAATACAAGCACCTAGATTAGAAAAAAAGCAGTTTAGCTGGTTGTGGTGGCATGCACCTGTAGTCTCAGCTAATCAGGAGGCTGAGGCTGGAGGAATGCTTAAACCCAAGAAATCAAGGTTGCAGTGAACTACAATTGCACCACTGCACTCCTGCCTAGGTGGCGGAATGAGACCCTGTCTCAAAAAAAGAGTAAAACTATCTATATTCACAGATGACATAATCTTGTATATAGAAAATTCTAAGGAATCAACACCAAAAAAAAAATCTGTTGGAATTAAAAAGTTCAACAAGGTTTCAGGATACAAAAATCAACTGTATTTCTATACACAGCAATGAACAATCCAAAAACTGAAATTAAAAAAAAAAACATTTAGAATAGCATCAAAAAGAAAAACAGAAGTGTAAAACTTGTACAACCTTGAAAAAGAAAAACAAAGAAGACTAATACTTCCCAATTTCAAAACTTGATTATAAACCTAGAGTAATCAAGACAGTATGGTATTGGCATAAGAATAAAGATACAGATCAATTAAATGGAACTGAGAGTCAAGAAATTAATGCTTATGTTTGTGGTCAATTATTTTTCAACAAGAGTGCCAAGACAATGCAACGAAGAAAGAATAGTCTTTTCAACAAAGGGTGCTGAAACAACTGGATATAAACATGCAAAAGAATGAAAATTGACCTCTATCACCTCATACCACATGGAAAAACTAACTCAAAATGGATCACAGCTTTAACTGTAAGAGCTAAAAGTATAAAACTCTCAGAGGAAAACATAGGTGTAAATATTCATGACCCTGAATGGTTTCTTAGACATAACACCAAAAGCAAACAACAAAAGAAGAACTAAATAAACTGGACTACATCAAAAATAAAAACTTTTGTGCTATAAATAATGTCATCAAGAAAGCAAAAAGACAATCCACAAAATTGGAGAAAATATTTGCAAAACATATATTTGATAGGAGACTTGTATCCAGGATATATAAAGAACTCTTATAATAATAGTAAAAAAGAGGCTGGGCGCAGTGGCTCACACCTGTAATCCCAGCACTTTGGGGGGCCGAGGCAGGCGGATCATGAGGTCAGGAGATCAAGACCATCCTGGCTAACACGGTGAAACCCTGTCTCTACTAAAAATACAAAAAATTAGCTGGGCGTGGTGGCACGCTCCTGTAGTCCCAGCTACTGGAGAGGCTGAGGCAGGAGAATCGCTTGAACACGGGAGACAGAGGTTGCAGTGAGTCAAGATCGCACCACTGCACTCCAGCGTGGGCGACAGAGCAAGACTGCGTCTCAAAAAATAAATAAACAGTAAAAAGACAAACCAATTTAAAAATGGACAAAGGCTCTAAATAGACATTTGTCCCAGGAAGATATCCAAGTGGCCAATAAACACATGAAAAGATACTCAAAATCATTAGTCTTTAAGGAAATTCAAATCAAAACCATATGAGACAGATACCATTTCACACCCACTAAGATGCCTAAAATAAAAAGATAGTAACAAGTATTTACAAGGATGTGGAGAAATTAGAACTCTCATACACTGCTGGTGGAAATGTAAAATGGTACAGCCCCTTTAGAAAACAGTCAGGTAGTTCCTCAAAAAGTTAAACATAGAGTTAGCACATGACCCTGCAATTCTACTCCTAAATATATACTTAAAGGTAAATGAAAATATATATCTACACAAAAAATGTACATAAATGTTCATAGTAGCATTAGTCGCAGCCAAAAAATGGAAACAACCCAAATATCCATGAACTGATAAAGGAATAAATAAAATGTGGCATATCCATACAACAGAATTCAGCAGTAAATACAATTACATAGATAAACAGAATTCCATACAATAGAATATTTTTCAGCAAAAAAATACTGCCAAATATTATTTAGCAATAAAATGAAAAACACACATTACAACATCCATGTTTCTTTTAGGAGGACAAAATATTCTTTTTCTTTTTTTTTTTGGAGAGGGGATGGGGTATTGCTATGTCACCCCCAGGCTGGAGAGCAGTGGAACTATCATGGCCCACCTGTAACCTCAACCTCCTGGGCTCAAGCGATCTTCCCACCTCAGCCTCCCAAGTAGCTGAAACCACAGGGAGACACCACTATGCCCAGCTAATTTTATTTATTTACTTATTTATTGAGACAGGTTCTCACTCTATTACCAGGCTGGAGTGCAGTAGCATGATGTCTGCTCACTGCAACCTCTGCCTCCCGGGCTCCACTGATCCTCCCACCTCAGCCTCCCGAGTAGCTGGGACTACAGGCATGCACCACCACGCCTGGCTAATTTTTGTATTTTTTGTAGAGACAGGATTTTGCCATGTTGCCCAGGCTGGTCTCCAACTCCTGAGCTCAAGAGATCTGCCTACCTCGGCCTCTCAAAGTGGTGGGATTACAGACATAAGCCACCAGGCCTGGCCCAGATAATTTTTGAATTTTTTTTTTGTAGAGACAGGGTTTCCCTATGTTGCCCAGTCTAGTTCCCAAACTCCTAGGCTCAAAGGATCTTCCTGATTCAGCTTCCCGAAGTGCTGGAATTACAGGCATGAGCCACTATGCCCAGCCAAGACAAAATATTCTAAAACTAGATTGTAGTACTTGTACAACCCTGTGAATATACAAAAAAAAAAAAAATTGAAATTAAAACCCCACCGGAAACAAGAAAAAAAACACTGAATTGTATACACTCTAAGTAGGTGAATTTCATGGTATGTGAATTATCTCAATAAAGCTGCTAAACATACCCATACACACATACACAACTATGGTAGAATGGCAAGAATACCCACTGGACTTAAAGGGTCAGTCAAGTTGAGGTCAAATCCTGGTCTATCACTATCTATATGATCATGACTTCACACTGAACCTTAGCTTCTCTGTAAAGTTAGGATAAAAATAGTAATCCCTGCCTTCGCAAGGTGGCTGGAAGATTATGTAAGAAAACAGACATGGAAGTGCCTTGCATATAGCTAATTTCCAGAGACACATATTTTCTCTTTTTTTTTTTTTTTTTGAGACGGAGTCTCACTCTGTCCCCCAGGCTGGAGTGCAGTGGCCTGATCTCGGCTCACTGCAAGCTCCGCCTCCCGGGTTCACGCCATTCTCTTGCCTCAGCCTCCCAAGTAGCTGGGACTACAGGCGCCCGCCACTACACCTGGCTTTTTTTTTTTTTTTTTTTTTTTTGTATTTTTAGTAGAGACGGAGTTTCACCATGTTAGCCAGGATGGTCTCAATCTCCTGACCTCGTGATCCGCCTGCCTCGGCCTCCCAAAGTGCTGGGATTATAGGCGTAAGCCACTGCGCCCGGCCCACATATTTTCTCTTAATAGACATCCCTTATCACTAGTATTACTGAACAAAATAACTGAAAATGGAAGAGGACATTTTCCTCAACTAATTTAAGTAGATTTGTGTGTTTTTCCAACAAACTAAAGGGAAAATGAGCAGACCCCAATGTTTATAATGAAGAGTAAGAAGGCGCTAGAGTATGTGTACATAGGCACTCAGAGTGCAGTTCTGAATAAAGAAGGGTTAAAGTAGCTACTCCAACTGCCTTCTTCCTCTATAATCCAAACTCTGCTTTCTGTTTCAATTGGTAGACCATGACCGCCACATCACCACTGAAATAGGAAGGTGTTCAGGAGAAATAACATGATTCCCAGTTCCAGGTTGGCAGGGAGAGTAAGGTTTCCCTGTTTCTCAGCAGACACTTACTCTATGGTTGGAGGCCACACCAGGATATCACTGGTGGGCAACCAAAGATGGGAAGGAGAAAAGAACAGCTGTTTAATACTTTTGTTTACAGAAAAGAAAACCAACAGATTTGGCTAAGACCACAGAGCAAAATCATATAGCTCTAATCATGATAGGCATGTGGCAAGCAGCACTATGTTGTACAAAGAATTCTGGGCTTAAGGATAGAAAAAATCAGATCTAGTCCCAGAAGTGCTACCAAACTGCTATATAATCTTGACTAAGTCAATTTATCTCTCTCTCTTAATTACCTCTCATGTGCCTACTGATTCAGAATTTTCATAAAGTGACTACTGCATGCAAGACACTGTGCTGGAATACTGTGAACAAAACAGAGTCCTACATTTATGTAACTTATAGGATAGAACACTGCAGAAGTCAGATGTTAAAGAAATAAACAATCTAATTATAACATAATTACAACTTGTGATACACAGCCAGTGCCAATCAGGAAGTAAGATATGCGTGGGAAAGCACATATGCAGAAGAAAACTTCACCAGCAAACTCCAAATTACATATCAGAAGAAGCTTCTCTCAGCTCTCCCTCCATCTCAAACAGGGACTCAGTATTTCTTTGCTGTACAGTATGTCACCTGACTGCCTGCTTCTTAGTATAGCTGGAAGCATCATGGTCAATCACAAATAAACTAAAATGCGCGACAGATGCCAGTCAGTTGCATCAGTTACTATGAGATTTTACACAAGCCTCTTTCTCTGAGTCTGTTTCTTTATCTATAAAATGGGGATGATACTACCTATTTCACAGTACTGTTCTGAGGATAAAATAGGAAAAAGTCGTCTGGAAACTAAAACAATGAATTGGGATAACAACACTAAATCATTAAGATAAAGAGGTAAATCATTTACTCTAGTGTGCCCTCAACATTCAGTAGCAGGTTAGGCACACAACAGATCTATGCCTATCTGTTCCCATCTGTAAAACAATGATAACATCAGAACTCACTTCACAGAGTGATTGTAAGTATTAAATGAGATAACATATAGGTCAGGTACTTAGCACAGTCCCTGACACATACTTAGAAAAACATTAACTGCTATTAATTCACTTAACCTTACTTTCCTTCAATTTCCTCATCTGTGAAACAGTGATAGTAAGAGTACCTAACTTATACGATTATTATGAGGATTAAATAAAGGCTTAGAACAGTGTCTGGTACACAGTGAGTGCTAAATAAGATTATAATAATATTATTAATTTTATCTTTTAGCTGTCCCCACAATTCACATGAATACAGACCACTGGTTCTCAACAAAAGTTGATTTTGCCTTCCAGGTGACATTTGGCAATGTCTAGAGATGTTTTTTATTGTCATGTCTTGGGGAAGAGGTAGCCACTACCGGCATCTAGCAGGCAGAGGACAGGGATGCAACTAAACATCCTATGAGGCACAGGACAGCCCCATACTCCCCAAAGACTTATGCGGTCCAAAATATACACAGTACCAAGATTGAGAAATTCAAATATAGACTAAAACAAATCAAACAAAAGTTCTCTCGTGAACTCCTCTGAACTCTTTAAGAGTATATGGATCTCCCTTCTAGACTTTATTAGATAGGTATAAATGTTTTCGATATCTCCAAGACTTAGAATGAGCAAGTAATCTACAAAAGAATAGATATTCAATAGGAAAGCCAGCACTGGAACTGAGGTCTCCTGATTCCCAGACTTGTGCTGCTTCCAAGAGCTAACTCAACAATATGTCTCAGGTACCTCACAAGCATTTCCTTTCCTTCTCCCTCTTCTCCTTGGACTACCCAGTTTGAAAACAACATCTATTTCTTTTCCAGCATCATCAGAGGTCAAACACAGCACTGGCCTCTGTCCCCACCCTCCCCAGTTAAAATACCTTCCCAAGGACCTGTCCTTCTGGGGAAGCCCCAGGACACTTACAATCATGGCAGAAGGTAAAGAGGGAAACAGGCACGTCACATAGCCAGAGCAGGAGCAAGAGAGAGGGGTGCAAGAGGTGCCACACACTTTTAAACAACCAGATCTCATGAGAATTCACTCACTATCATGAGAACAGCACCAAGGGGATAGTGCTAAACCATTCATGAGAAATCCATTCCCATGATCCAACCACCTCTCACCAAGCCCCACCTCCAACATTAGGGATTACAATTAAACATGAGATTTGGGCCCAGGACACATATCCAAACTGTATCAAAGGCTTGCCTCCAAAACAGACAATGAGCTTCTTTAGGTGCTCTATAAATGTTTGTGGATGGAGCCCTTTACCTTCTCGTGTTAGGCTGAAGAACAACTTGATATTTTTAGACTGAAATCTGTGTAATTTTAACTAATGCTGTTGCTCCCAATAGAAATCTCAAGGTACACAGGTCACATGGCACTTAAAAATATATAGTTTTAGAGCTTGGTAACAGCTTCTCTAAAAGAGCTGTTTATGGAAAGACATCTAGGTCTTGCTACCAGGAAACCACAGTCCTAACGTCAGTTCTGTCACAGAACCTCTGTGTATGACATTGGGCAGATGGCTTTACCTCTCTGGAACTCAGTTATTAATCTATAAAATGGTGATTAAAATAGACTATATGATCAGTAAATTTCTTTCTAGTACTAGTACATTCTGCAAGCCTATGAAAAAATAAATTATTTTAATAAAAACCACTCACCCACAAAGACATGAGGATGAATTTGAGGCTCTAGAACTGAGCTCCTGGGTCTCTGTCTTGCCTGATTCTCTTAGCTGGAGGCAGAGTGGAAGAGTCACACCCAATGGTCCGATATACATCATTTCATTTGCCTAAGCCTGTTTCCTCATGTGAGAGGCCAGTGATTCGAAGCCATGAAGAGCATGCTATCTCCTCTATCTTTTAAATGTTAGGACTTTGGCTTTTAAGCCAAACTAAACTTTAGTTTAGTTTTTAAAAGAAAAAGCCAAAATATCTAACCAAGAAAATGAGTGCTTCTACTCTAGTTTTAAAACTAGAAGCCCTATAGAGGAGCATGCTATCTCTTCTATCTTTTAAAAGTTAGGGCTTTGGCTTTTAAAACCAAAAAGCCAAAATATCTAACCAAGAAAATAACTGCTTCTACTTCTAGTTTTAAAAGCCAAAATTATATATATACATAAAATAAAAAATGAAAGCCAAAATATCTAACCAAGAAAATGCCTGCTTCTAGAAGTACAGGGCTCACCAACATGGAAGTACACAGATACTGGAAAACTACCTGGCAGGAACTTTGAAGAGAGAGTTCAAACATGGGTTAAAGGTTGTGTTAGATGCCCCTAAAGGGAAATTTCAGTCCCTAATATTCTACAATTCTCTTTTCAGACAATTACAGAAAGAATAACCCTTAGCAGACTTCTAGAGAAAAAAAAATACCCAAGGACTTTTCTGGTCCTATCCTTTCTCCTGCCCTCCTTCTATGTCTCTACCTCAGTACAATGGGTCATTCACTTCCAGAGACATCATGGCTATACTGTACTTGCCTTCTCTTTTCTGGGTTTAACATATGGAGAGGGAAAGAGGACTAAATTGTCAAGGAAATTTAAATTGTCAAGAACCATCAGGTGCCTGGGTCTGTATCAGGGAAAATTTCTCAGGAGAGTGGGAAGGTATAAGATTGGCTCCACTCAGCAGTACCTAAGCTCAAGGTAGCCACTGGCTTCTCAGGTCACACAAATCAATGGCCCTCAAAGCATAAAGTTAGAAACCTAGTATGGATATTTAATCCAGCCCCAGTCACCCAGACTAGTCTAAGGTACACCTGTCATCGGAGAATCAGGTATTATAAACTTAATCCCCGGTGCCTCCACAGGTAACGTTGGACCATTCACTGCTTCACTCTGAGCCAAGTGTAAAATGTACCAATTCCAAGTATAAAATGAATATATCAGAAAAGATCATTTGAAAAATTTCTTCAGTACTGATTTTGTTACTCTGCTATAAAATGGTATTTTTTAGAATTTAATTAGCATCTATCCTAAACTTTCAAACATACGAGAACAAAAATAGCCAGGTGCAGGGCCTCGCATCTATAATCCTAGCTACTGAGGAGGCGGAAGCAGGAGAATAGTGTGAGGCCAGGAGTTTTGAGACCAGCCTAGGCAAAATAGTGAGACCCCCATCTCTAAAAATAAAAAATAAAGAACAAAAATAATAATAAATACTTAGCACCTACTATAAGGGCACTTACTATAAGGGTAAGTACCATACTTAACATGCCTATATCCTTTAATCTTCACAGCAATCCTAATTTATAAATGAGGAAACAAACTGAGAAAGGTTAAAAAACTTGCCCATAGTCACACAGGTAAATAGAAAACCTGGAACTTGACTCACCTCTGCTGATTCTAAATAGAACTCTTAGAATCTTTCTACTAAACCATTAATTTCCAGGCTTCTATTCCAAAATAGAATATTTACTTGGAAAGAAAGAAAACAGACAGTAGGGAAAAGATGATTAGAGATAAGCTTCAATCAGCTAGTAAAGACCTGCTGTATACAGCAAGGGAAATAACAATATGCATTGAAGCCACCAAAAAACAAGAGACCTTCTAAGCTGCTGGAAGCAAGATTCATCTGAATTCCTCCCACCTCTATCTGCCCCTCCCACCTCTACCTGCTCCTCCCACCTCTACCTGCTCCTCCCACCTCTACCTCCTCCATTAGTTTGTTCTCCAAAAGCTAGATGGGCTTGGGGATCCATATAGGCCAGGGAAAGTATGTTTACAGCTAAATAATCCAAAGGAGGCAGAGACCAACTTAGAAGACCAGTCCTTCTCACCTGCTGCTAACTCACTTGACCCCCTCCTCTCCCAAGAGGCCTGTACCATACTCTGCCTTTCAAGGGAAGGCCTTTAGCCCTGCAGACCTGGATCCTGTTCCTGAAGAAGCTTCAATCAGCTTAGAGACAGGAGATGCAGCCATCGGTATTTAATGCCCATCTCTCCAAATACCGTCTTAAAAAAAAAAAAATCTAAAGGAAAGAAGGTGAGGAAAAGGCCTAAGTTTCTTAGAGACATCTAGGTCCATTTCTCTGCCATCCTATCTGTAAAAAGGAGGGTAATCCCATACCCCTTGGGCTAGTCCTTGCTCAATGGCATCAGAAAAGCCAACCCATTTCTTTTCACTGAGAAGTCCTTTGAGAATTCAATCACTCAATCCAGTGGTTTCCAAGCTTTTTTGTAAAGTCTCTCTACCTCTTTTTCCAATCAAATCTTACAGTAATGCCAATATTTCAACAGACGAAAAGTAGAGCTTCTCTGGCTGAAATGGAGGTGGATAAGTTCTATTTCCTCAGCCTCTTCTCACCTCCCAACCTTACCCAGGTAGCTTGTGAGGCTCCACTTCAAAGCCCTAGTTTAACACTTCCTTGTTATACTTAAGGAAACTGCAGTCCAGAGAGAGAACATGACTTAGGATCACATGGTCAGTTAGTGGCAAAGCAAGAACTCAAACCCAGATGTACTGACTTCAAGGTTAGCTGATTTCCCATCTCATCACTACTCCTTTGAGATGATCATGTAAAACTGAATGTGAGTTTTTAAAAGCATTAAGTATTGGAGATGCACAGTTTCATCAGCTAATTTTCTCCACAAGTAAGAGTCAAAATGCTCAGACCTGCAAGGACCAAATCACCAGGTAACACCCAATAGCAAAGAAATCTTCTTGTGTTCCCGACCCTCACGAAAGTGTCTGGTTGCTGGTAAAACAGGCATGGTTGTGTTACCAACTTAGAAAAATTAATAGTAGAAAAATGAGACCCAGAAGGCTTCTGAAGGAATCCCTGCTCCCTTCACCCTCAGAAACTATCCCTTAAAGACATATGGGAATTCTCCTCATATCCACCATGCCTGGAACATGGAATAGAATCTTAACCTGTTTATTAAAGTTAATTCCTTAATACATGATATGTATAGCCTGGTCTCAAAATTTTTCTACCACTGTGAAAACCACTACTTGGAGGTAGCCAGCCTCTAAGATAGTACCCTATGTTCCCTGTCTCCTGGTATTTGCATCCTTGTAGAGTCCTCTCCCACAGGGTTGGTCTATGTGACTGAAAGAATACAACAGAAGTGATGGTATGTCACTTCTGAAGTTTGATTACATTAGACACAGCAGCTTCTGTTTTGATTACTCTCCTCTCTCTTGGATCTCTTCTTTGAGGAAGCCAGCTGATATGCTGTGAACTGCCCTGCCCTATGGACAGGCACACATGGCAAAGAACTGAAGCTTTTAGCCAACAGCCAGGAAGAAACTGAGGCTGGCCAACAATGAACGGCATGAGTGAACTTGGAAGGAGTTCATTCCAGCCCTGCTTGAGCCTCCAGATGACTGCAGTCCTGGGCAACAGTTTGGCTGTAACCCCATTACAGACAGTGAAGCAGAACCACCCAGCCCAGCCACTCTAAGATTCCTGACCCTCAGAAACTGTGTGAAATAATAAATGTTTATTTTTTTAAAACTGCTAGTTTTGCAGGTAATTTGTCTACACAACAATAGATAACTAATACAACCATCAAACTAAGGTTTCCTGGGTTAACATCAGAAAGCCCCGATCATGAAACCAAAAGTCCAGCCGAAATGAAACCCAAAGCCTCAAGGCTTGGGGCTTCTCCTTAAACAACAACAGTCTCTGCTGCTTATTCACAAGGTGACCTTGTGCAATTCATTTCATCTCTCTTAGCCATGGTTTCCTTATTGAAGATACAGAGATATCACCTTCCTTGCAGATTATTGTGAGGATTAAATGAGAATAGTTTCTAAAAGTATCTAAAACAGTATAGAATTATACAAAGTAGGCTGGGCCTGGTGGCTCATGCCTGTAATCCCAGCACTTTGGGAGGCCGAGGTGGGTGGATCACGAGGTCAGGAGATCAAGACCATCATGGCCAACATGGTAAAACCCCGTCTCTACTAAAAATACAAAAATTAGCCGGGTGTGGTAGCGCACGCCTGTAGTCTCAGGATGCTGAGGCAGGAGAATCACTTGAACCCAGGAGGCAGAGGTTGCAGTGAGCCGTGATCACTGCAGCCTGGCAACAGAGTGAGACTCCGTCTCTTAAAAAAAAAAAAAAAAAAAGAATTATACAAAGTAAGATTGTTATAATAGACTGTGGAAGACTCCCCAGCAAGCCCATTCCCAACAGCCACCACAAGGAGATGGCTCTGCTCAGTGAAGTCAAATGGAAAGGCCTCTACTACAACCCTTATCCAACTGTAATGTAAGTATCCCCCTCTATTACTGCCCCTCATAATAACAAGAAGCCATAATCACCAGTGCTTATTAGGTATCAAGCAAAATGCTAAGTACATTTACATTATTTCCCATGTAATACTCCATTTTACATACAGGAAAACTGAAACTTAAGAGGTTAAAATGATTTGGTTATTAATGGAGCCAGGATTGAACCTCAAATTCATGCAACTCTAAAGACCATGTTTTTTCCATTAATTCAGTAAGCTTTTAATGACACCAAGGGATCTCGAAGTATCCAAAACAGAAGGCATTCAGGTACAACTTAATAAAAGAAAAAGGAAGCAAAATCACAGTTCAAATTAATGAGAAAATTAAAAGATTCAGAAGGTGAGAATTCTGAACCTGTCTAGGGCACCAAGCAGCTGTGATATCTTCAGCAAGTTGTCTGTCAATGAAAATAAAACACCCCTCACATTTACAGTATATAGTATTCTGGAGTCTACATAGCATTTTGAAATATCTGCAAATATTTTATTGTCACAGCAACACTGGAGAGCAGTTTCAATTATCTCTCTTCTATAAATGAGCAAACTGAGACTCAAAAAGAATTCCAGTGACTTACCCATGGTTATTAAACAGATGGAACTTGCCAGACACAATATACCTAGATTTCTTTATTCTCAGACATAATATACCTAGATTTCCTTATTCTCAGAAGAGATGTACTTGAAACTGGAAAGTTTTAGGGAATGGCCAAAAGGTCACAGCAAGGACAAGAATCCAGTTTCCTTCTTATTCTCCTAACCCAGTGAGCTGCAACCAGGTACGTAAACCTGGAGAGCTCTAAAAAAAAAAAAAAAAAAACCCGACGCCTGGGTCCCATACCAACCACCATCCCCCAAATTTAACTTATTTGGTCCAGGGTGGGACGTGGGTATCATCAGGAAGCTTATATTTTTAAGTTTCCCGGGTGTGGTCATGCTCAAAAACTATTGGCCTAACCCCCAGAGCCACAGATTGAGAAATGTCCTGATTCACCCTCGTTTTCTAATGTGAAATTCTCTGAGTGAAGCCATCTAACTCTTTGTAAACTCATCACAATTACGAAGCAAAACATCTTCTATTATTGTGAATGGCCATGTAAGTTAAAATAATTTAATTTCTGTTGCCTAAGAATAAATTGTTATATACCATGCAATCAACATCTTAATGGTCATGACTAGAAATGTGGCATACAGCAACAAAATTGCTTCTAGAAAAAGAAAAGCTGCCCACAATAGTATAATATACACAAAAACAACTAAGTAAAAAAACTGAAGTTGTCTTTTTCCTCCAAATGTCCCTGTTTGGGGGATCTCAAAACTCCTTGGTTCCACCAAGATGAATTCACCTCAAGTGTCCTCTGATGGAGGTCTGAATACTGCAAGGACTTATCCCACAATATCTCTACTTCTCTCTGCTAATCCAAATCCTACCTGACCAAGTTCTTTTCCTGACCATCCAGCCTACTGTTATGGGTTGAATTGTGTCTCAAAAAAAAAAAAATGTTAAAATCCTAACCACCAATACCTTAGGATTGACCTTATTTGGAATTAGAGTAGTTACAGACGTAATCAAGTTAAAATGAGGTCATTAGGGTGGACCCTAATCCAATATAATTGGTGTCCTTATAAAAAGGGGAAATTTGGACACAAGAGACAATCACACACAGAGATAAGATTAGGTGAAAGGACAAAGGGAAAAGAAGCCATCCATAAGCCAAGAAAGGCCAGAGGGTAACAGAAACTAGGATAGAGGCCAGGCACCTCCAGAGGTGGACCTGCAAAAACCTTGATTTCAACCTTCTGGCCTCTAGAACTGAGAGACCACAAATTTCTGTTTTTCTAAGTCACCCAATCTGTGGTACAGCAGCACTAGGAAACTAATACAGCCACCTTTCTCTAAACTACTAAAGTTTGTACCCAGTTTATTTGGTGGCACTGTTCAATTTATTTTTAGTGTATATATCCTACATTCTTAATGAAATCAAAGTTTTTTAAGGGCAGAAACACTATTTTATACTTCTTTGGTATCATCTACCATTCTTAGGGAAAAACTGACCTCAGGCAAGGTATTCAGGAAACATTTGCTCTCTTGATCACTTTCTGGAAAATGTTCAACAACCACTGTTGTTTTAGAATGTGATAACCAGAAAATCACTTTTCCTACTTCCCTAATTCTGTTTCACACCGGAGTGAGCTATTTAAAAATCTACATTTCTCTTCATGAGCTTTTTATATACATAATATCTATCACATATAGAATCATGGACTGTTTGGGGCCAAGAGAGAGCTTAAAGATCATGTAGTGCAATCCTGAAGCGGTATCTTCTTCAACTTACAGATACCACTTCTCCCTTCTTGATCGTAAATGCCCTATTCTCCCTTGTCCGTTGTATTAGTTATTGATTTACAGGGCTCCTTCTCATCACCCCACCCCCACTATACAATAAGCACATTCAGGGTTGAAACTGTCTCATTCATCTTTATATCTCCAGTACTTATCACAGTTCATAGTACATGCTCAATCAACAGTTCCTAAAGTATTATTTTCTCTT
This sequence comes from Homo sapiens, assembly GCF_000001405.40. NCBI lineage: Eukaryota > Metazoa > Chordata > Mammalia > Primates > Hominidae > Homo > Homo sapiens. The sequence goes on from NC_000011.10 coordinate 77,446,038, forward strand.
TCTTTGCCACTAGTCTGCAAGCTTCTCCAAGAAAGGAAGTGAATCTTAGTCATCTTTGTATCTCTAGGGTCTAGCACTAGCATGCAGCAGATAATAAATATAATATTTGTTGTTCATGATATTAAAATGTTTGACTCACTGTCTCTATGCTAGGCTGTGCTGGCCTATCCTTTATTAAGAAGCTCAGACCCAGGCTGGGCACGGTGGCTCACACCTGTAATCCCAGCACTTTGGGAGGCCGAGGTGGGTGGATCACCTGAGGCCAGGAGTTCGAGACCAGCCTGGCCAACATGGCGAAACCCTGAATCTACTAAAAATACAAAAATTAGCCAGGCATGCTGGTGCAGGCTTGTAATCCCAGCTACTCAGGAGGCTGAGCCATGAGAAACACTTGAACCCAGGAGACAGAGGTTGCAGTGAGCCAAGATCATGCCACTACACTCCAGCCTGAGTGAAACAGCGAGACCCTGTCTCAAAAAAAAAAAAAAAAAAAAAAAGAAAGTTCAGACCCAAGGTCATATAGTTAATAGATGATGGAGCTAAGATTTGAATCCAGAACATCTCATTGAAAGGTCTATCCTCTCATGTACTTTCATGGTAAAGTTTTTATAACTCTAGATATAAATGCAACTTCAGTTTTCTATTGGTTTAACTTCCTTTGAAGTTTGTTTCTAGTTAAAATTGGCAGATTGAAAACACATTTACTTATGTTCCCTCCCAAAATCACTCTAAAATGATGGTAAAGCTATAAAAGAGGTATGAACCTCAACAATAAAGAGAATGGGTGAGGGGACATCAGACGGTAAGAGATTTCAAAAACTGTTTAGAATAATAGTGAATAGGGGAGCTGTGACAAAAAGAAAAAAAAAAAACAAAAAAGGAGAGCAAAAGAAGCTGTAATCTAGAGCCTTGCATAGTCCCTGAGCAGCAAAGATGTGTGGTCCCTGTACAACAGGATCCCTTCACCTGGAAAGAATCACTGGATTAAAACACATAAAGACATAGGAAGTATAAATCATTTACCCAAAACCACACAGAGATAAGAAGAGCTAGATCCTATTTTTGTTACCTTTCTATAACACATCCGCTATTAGCCAACTTAAAAGAATATAGGATGAATCAGCAGCCCATGCCACAAAACAAGGAGGCAGAGGTGTTTCCCAGGGTCTACATTTTGGCCTTCTTTACCAACTCCAAAAAGGTCCTTTGTGTTTGGGCTCTCCCTGGTGAGAACCTGTTCAAATAGTTGGGATAAGAATCCCATTATTCCCATTGTCTGATTCTATAGCTCTGAAAGGTAGGTTACCAGCACCTAACAAAAATAGGACAAAACTTGGAGGCGAAAGATTTCATAAGCACTAACACTGTTTCAAGTCAAAGCTGAGCTCATCTATCTTGCCCGTGGTAGTGTGAGAGAAGCAGCTTTTCATCCCTTTTTAGAACAGAACATGTCCAAAGGTAGGTGTTGTTATATCTGCTAACAAGATGAAACAGATTCTTTTTTTTTTTTTCAGGGGAAGTCTCGCGCTCAGGCTGGAGTGCAGTGGCACGATCTCAGCTCACTGCAACCTCCACCTCCCGGGTTCAAGCGATTCTCCTGCCTCAGCCTCCCAAGTAGCTGGGATTACAGGCGCCCACCACCACGCCCAGCTAATTTTTGTATTTTTAGTAGAGACGGGGGTTTCATCATGTTGGCCGGACTGGTCTCAAACTCCTGATCTCAGGTGATCCGCCCACCTCAGCCTCCCAAAGTGCTGGGATTACAGGCGTGAGCCACCATGCCCAGCCAAAATAGATTCATTTTAAAATGCCAAATTACAGAATTGCCTACAGTTGCAATTAAGGCATTAATAACTCTAGGGCTATTTCTTAATACACAATTATGAGAGTACCACAGCTATTTGCTCCTCATTCCACCACACTCCCATTTGAACTCTAGTCCATCACTGCATTAAACACATCTACATACTCAATTTGTGTGTTTTTGATGTGCACAGAAAGAATACTGAATTAGGAGTCAGAAGAATAGTTCCAAACACAACTCAAGCTTTGGAATCAGCAAGCTTGGGTTTGAATCCCAATTCTGTCTGAGTTACCAGCTGTGAGATCAGAAATTAATCATTTAATCTCTCTGGACCTCAATTACCTCATATGTAAAATGGGAGACTCATATGGGAAAAAATGGAAAAATATGTCAGAGACCTGTTGTGAGGATTGGGAATATTTATTAGGCAACTTGCACAGCAGTAAGTTACTCAATGCGTGGTACTTTCCTCTTTTATTGACCACCTGGTATTTGCTACGTATTTCTAACCTTGGAAGGGTTGTTTTGAAGAAGTGTTTAAGGAGAGGTAGAATATACAAATTACATTAATTACAATACAGTACAACACAAAATATAACACAGTACAAATATAATATAAGAAATGATGTCATAGCCATTACAACAGAGTAACACATAAACACTGAAGGAAGAAATACTAATTCTGCCTGGCACAGGAGGACAATGTCAGAGAAGGCATCAGAGACAGATATTTGAACTTGGTCTTGAAGGTTGTTGAGTGTAAGGACAGCAAGCAAAGGAAAACATGTTAAACAAACAAAATGCTATGAGACCCAAGTTAAGGGAACATGAGAAAGAATGTTTGGCTTATTTCAGCAATAGTGTGAAAACTTACAAAGAAGTGATAGGTTATACAGAACCAGAAATAAGATTAGCATGAGGAAGGGACTACCCATGGGAAGTTTTTTGTGGAAAGCAAAGTGGTATAATAGGCAAAAAGAGGTAGTCATTTGAGAAACTCTTGAAACTATTTAGCTGGAGAAGAACAGTAATAAAATCACTATTGTGATTATAAAGAATTGTCATGTGGAGGAAAGGTTGAATTCATTTTGTCTGACCCAAGGGACAGATTTAAGAAGGTGGATAGAAATTAAAAAATGATATTATACAAAAATGGCTAAGGAATATTAATGATATACAGGGTGAGTGTTTGAAATTTAAAAGAAAATGTCCCTCCTGTACGTTTTGAAATTAACCCAGAAAGCTCGAAAGAGAAACTCCTTCAATCTTAGCCTGGGCTAAGAACCCCAGGCTTTCTCTTCCTCTTTGGGGACAAGACTTGACTTGATGGGCCTTTGGTGCAACCAGGTTTGAGGAAGGTGCTTCCACCACTTCCTGAGGCCTTACACAATTCAATTCAACCTCAAAAGGGAACACTAGCCCACACAGAAACAGCTTAAAAAGAAAACTAAAGAAGGCAACGACTTTAAAGGAAACTAGGCAGTGCGCTTAAAGAGAAAAGGGCAATGGGAACAACATGAACATCAGAGGCATCAACTATCTGTTCTCATGTTAATGAAGGAAGGAAGAGCAGCAAGACCATTCAGTTCAACATCTCACTGTACACATAGAGAAACTGAAGCCCAGAAAGGGGATAGGGCAGGTAAAGCCAGGCATGAAAACAACTTAACATAAAACGTTAGAGTTCAGGCAGACTCTTTTATCATCTCACTTTTCCTCAAAATAACACAGTGAAGGAGGTGTTATTTTCCCAATGAGACACGAAGATCTTTAAAGCATTACAATGTTTGTGTTAGTTTTCCTTATGGGTTGCTGGAATGAATAATGCTTTCCTTTTCAATCCTATAGGTAAAAAAAAAAAAAAAAAAAAAATCACCCTAAGGACTGGAGCTTCTCCAGGGAAATAATGTGGACTAGGAAACAGTTTCTCAATACCCTCACCCCAATTCCCCTATTCTATCTAGGACTTTCCAATGTATTACATATTCAATTTTTTAAAAATTCTGTTTTAGCCCCTGTGCTGAGAACAGGGAGCAAAAATTCAATCAGACATGCATCTTCAAGGAGCTTCCCATTCTGAAAGCATAGACAAGCATGACAATCAATGATTATCTTTTAGTCATGAAGACTTGGTTTCAAATCCTGGGTCTGCCCTTTACTAGCTAAGGCAAGTCATTTCCTTTCATCTAAACTTCAGACTCCTTTTCTGCGAAATTGAAGGCAATACCCTCAGTCTAACTCAAAGTATTAACTTGTGAGTATTTGGAAAGATAATTATTTAAAGCACCCAGCAGAATGTCTGATCCACAGTATATATGCTCAGAAGGTATTTACTGAATTAATGGCTTACATAAAAGTATCAATTCTAGGGGTAGAGTTGGGAAGAAAGAACATCCCAGCATTATGTTTTCTCATAACCCTGGACCCACTGAGAGAATGATGTTTACCTGATCATGTGGGTTTCATGCTCCCCAACTCTTGTGCATTAAAGCCACAAATACCACCCCAGCATTAAAAACCCGAAAGAACCTGGCAGGTCCCACACAATGACTAGGGATGAAGGAAATAGCTGTCTGGCCTGACCATATTTGCAAAGGGAAGTAGGCAGCAGAGCAAGGCCTAAAAAACCCAAGACCTGAAATCCTGCAAATCCTTATGATTAAAGACTAGAAAATCCTTGTTAAATACAAATATCTCTGCAAGGTGAAGCTGGGGTGAAGAATTAGGAGCCATTAGGGATTTATGGAACTCTATGGGCCACAGAAGTTCTCCACTTTAGATAGATATTATTTCAAAAAAATACATTGGCATATCTACTGTGGGTCAGGTGTTGAAACAGCAGAGGACTTAGACATGGTTCCAGTTTTTGAGACACTTAGAATAACAGAGACAGAGATCACAATGAAAAATGGTTTCACCACTAAGGTCCTGACATACTGCTATTCAGTGGGCTGCAACTGCCTGCAGAAGTGACCCAAGTTTCCCAGTTACCAAGTTTCCTCCTCCTCTTTTTCAATCCATTTACCACAAAACCTGCCATCTCTAGAGGCCCTTCTCTGGGCAGAAGAGCTTGCCTATGTGCCACAGGAGTTTAGAATGGAAATCTGACTAACAGCAAAGCTCATACCTTACACCACCTATAGCCTCTGGAATCAAACTCCACAAAACACTTTAAAACCACAGAACAAGAAGTTCTGATGTATTTATTTTAAGACTTTAGGGAAACCATTTGAGAAGACAGAACTAAGTCTTCTGAGAATATCTCAAACATTTACTGACTACCTATTATGTTCCAGCCACCACTTTGATTCTTTATAATGGGGTTCAAGACATGCTACCCCAAAATATGACATCTTAGCATATGAGAAAACAGCAGACGCAAGAAAGTATTCTCACTCTCAGCTTCCCCTCACCCTTCTCCCCTGAAGCAGGTAATCAGATCCTCATTCAAGAGGTACCCTCCTTATTCCCAGAGGAAAGCCTCATTTTTCTCTGAAGACACAGGGACATACAGAAAAATCTGAACAAACCAGCCTTGCTAAGTTCCCTCCAACCCTGATCCTATTACCATTACATCATACCGCCTTTGTCCAATCATATTTCTCCAAGACTACCCACTTCTTCCATCAAACCTAAACATAAAAATACACAAGTTTGCCTGTTTCTTTGCATCCTCATTTCCTTATGAAGGCTCCTATGTCATGTAAAACTTGTATTAAATATATTTGCTTGCTTTTCTCTCGTTAATGTCTTTTGTTTTTTTTTGTTTTTTTTTTGAGACGGCGTCTTGCTCTGTCGCCCAGGCTGGAGTGCAGTGGCACGATTTCTGCTCACTGCAAGCTCCGCCTCCTGGGTTCATGCCATTCTCCTGCCTCAGCCTCCCGAGTAGCTGGGACTACAGGCGCCACCACCACGCCCGGCTAATTTTTTGTATTTTTAGTAGAGACGGGGTTTCACCATTTTGGTCAGGCTGTCTCGAACTCCTGACCTCAGGTGATCCGCCTGCCTCGGCCTCCCAAAGTGCTGGGATTACAGGCGTGAGCCACCACGCCCGACCTCTCTCGTTAATGTCTTTTGCTACAGGAGCCTCAGCCATGAACATAGCAATGGGAAAAATATTTCTTTTCCCCTACATTTATATATATTAATGTCCTCAAAACAACCCTGTAAGAGAGCTATTATTGTCTCAATTTTACAAAGAAAAAACTACGTTCACAGAAATTAAGTGACTTGCCCAAAATCACACAGTTAATAAGTGATGGAGCTAAAAATTCATAAGTAAATTGGCCACGTCCACTTTAAAGTCTTCATTTCATTTTTTCCCCTGCATCTCACATTTCATTCTAATGATAACGCTGTGAGGCAGAGTATCAACATAATTTCATTTTATAAATAGGAAACTGGTGCTTAAGGAAGTGATATTACTTTCTGAGAAACAGGTCAGTAAGTAGCAGAGCCACAGTTTGTACCCAGATCTCATGCCCTCAAATCTGCACTCTTTACACTACCCCACAATTCCTCTTACACTTGCCTTGCAGAGAGGTGTAGTAAAAATATACTTAATAGGGAGTCAGAAGTGCTGAGATGTGGTCTTGACTCTGTAACTAACTTATATAATATTGAATGAGCTGCTTTTCTTCTCTTGGCTTCAGTTTCTCATTCATAAAATAAGGGTGTTGAATTAGACATCTCCTAGGGTCCCCTTCAGCCAGCAACCCAACTAGTCTATGAGAAGCAGTTTCTCTAATTTCCTTGCCACTCAAGCAGTAACTTTCTAAAAGAAAAAAAAAGACTGGTTATTTACAGTATAGACGAAGGTGGAAAATGCTCAGCACCAAAGAGTAGAAATTACCCATTCAAAAGGCATATTTACCTTCCTCAAACACCCTAGATATAAAGAAAGAAGAAGCCATAAGCCACCTAATAACAGGGTTGGCACATCTAATAACAAGCCAAGTAGGAGTAAAGAGTGTGTTCATGGTAGGGCCCTTTTCCCTCTGCTGGATTCCTAACACTTCTATTCACTAGCTTTCTCTCTTCCTAGGTTGGCACATCAGCCCTGCCTCACAGCAAATCAGGCTTATGACTTTAACTAAATCCCATCAGATCTAAACAATCTACAAATGACTTTTTACTAGTATTACAGAACAAAAAAATGAAAGCCCCAGATGTAAATTCATCCATGCCAAGAAATAGGAAGAAGGAAGAAGTGGGATATATAAGATTTTGGAGGCCAGGTGCGGTGGCTCACGCCTGTAATCCCAGCACTTCAGGAGGCCGAGGCAAGCAGATCGCCTGAGGTCAAGAGTTCAAGATCAGCCTGGCCAATATGGCAAAACCCCGTCTCTACTAAAAATACAAAAATTAGCCAGGTGTATGGCGCACGCCTATAGTCCCAGCTACTCAGGAGGCTGAGGCAGAAGAATCGCTTGAACCCAGGCAGCAGAGGTTTCAGTGAGCCGAGATCGCGCCATTGCACTCCAGCCTGGGCGAAAAGAGCAAAACTCAGTCTCAGGAAAAAAAAAAATTTTTTTGGAAAAATTATTTCCCTGTCTGTCCTAGTTTCTTTATATATAAAGCAAAGGAGAGAGTCCAAACTGATTCTAAACACCTTTCCCACTGAAACTTAACATGAACTTGTAAGTATTCTATATTTAGAAAATGTGAGATATATTAAAAAAAAAAAAAACAAGGGGGAAAAGGGCATGGTATTACAAATTTTAATTACCTCACAGGAGAAAATAAAAAGGAATGAATTATAGTGCCAGGGAAGAACATAAAATATGTATGGTCACAGCAAGCTGAATACATATTAGTTATAAGAGCAAAAGGAACTGCACTATCCCTGTAACAGCCAAATAATTCATATAATGCCCCAGGGTAAGACTGCAGAGCAGAACCCATGTTCATGCAGTTAAACCAGAGCTGATCTGAATATGATCAAAGATCCAACACCAGGCTGGGTGCGGTGGCTCACACCTGTAATCTTAGCACTTTGGGAGGCTGAGGCAGGAGGATTGCTTGAACTCAGGACTTCAAGACCAGTCTGGCAATATGGCGAAACCCCATCTCTACAAAAAAATACAAAAAAATTAACTGGGTATGGTGGCACGTGCCTGTAGCCCCAGCTACTTGGCAGGCTGAAGTAGGAGGTTGAAGCTGCAGTGAACTATGATCAGGCCACTGTACTCCAGCCTAGGTGACAGAGCGAGACCTTGTCTTGAAAAATAAATAAACAAATAAATAAAATTCATACTACCTTAGCCAAGTATCATCATTCATATTCTGTAGCTCTTTACCTATTAATATGCTAAATTACGTACTAGGCACTTCCACATATATTTGTCCATTTAATTGTCTCAACACCCCAGTGGTTATATTCCCTATTTTACAGAAGGGGAGCCCGAAGCTCAATGAGGTAAAAAGACCAGGATGAGAATCCAAACTCTGGCTCCAAGTTCAATATACTCTGTCCCTATTATAACCTATCTCCTTCATTGTACAAGTCCCTCAGACACACATTATCCGGTTTTATATCTCACAACCACCACCACCTTGTGAGCTAGACATTCAAGATTCCTCATGAACTGGTCCCTATCCGTCTTTCCAGTTTTGAAATGGATGCTGTTGGCTGCCTACCCAGCATCCATTCCCTTCTTCTCCCTAACAGAGCCCAGACTTTTTTTTTTATCAGGTATTCATCCCTCATCAAACAGTTTCTAAGGCAGTTCTCAAATTTTAGCATGAAATCAAAATCATCTGGCGGGCTTGTTAAAACACAGATTCCTGGGCCCCACACCCAGAGTTTTTGATTCATAAGTCTGAGATGTGGCTCCAGAATTTGCATTTTTAGCAAGTTCCCAGAACACAACACTTTGAGAAGCACTGTTCTCAGAGAAAGCTGACCCCATTCCTAGCTCCAAGAGCAGGCCCTGATTGTACATCCAAACCAAACATGGTAATTCCATTCTCCTTGCCAGTGATTAGTTCTTGAATCAGATTTAGGTTTACTCAATCAGTACCTGGCATGTCCCTAGAAATTCTTGTAGTTCAGGGATGGGCAGGTGGTCTCTACTGGTTCAATTTCACTGAGGAGAAGAAATTTTTGTCCATTTTCTGAAATAAAATCAGTCAGTCTCTCTCCCTTTCTCTCTCTCTCTCTGTCTCTCTCATCCACTGGTGAATAAAGAAGCTTATCTCCCCAGCTGGTCTTGTCAGCCAATTTACTACCATGATGGAAGCCGGCTTGTGGATAAAGGTAACACAAGCATGATAAAAACGTCAACATGATTTAAGCCAAATTTGAGTCAGAATTTCTGTTTACCGAATTCCAAATGATACACAATTTGGTACTAGAAGAGGGTACAGCCACCTGAATATTCTCTAGGGCATAATGTATACACTGCTTTGCTCAACACCTATTCCAACTCCTTTCTAGCCTAGTAGGCACTACAGAGGTTGAAAAAAAAAAAAAACATTACTTCTCAGATTTCCTTCTAAATGTGATTTAGGTTCCACCATTCAGATGCTCTCAGACTAGATACTGATTAGAACTAAATTGGATGATGGGAGAGACTAGCACAGGACATCCCTTTTGCTGGAACAAACTGCAGCAGAGGCAGCATAGTTCTCTATCTAGCAACTGTAGCAACAGGTTCCTGATTCTGGCAAAGAGCAGCATCCTTGGGGACTCAGTTATTCAATGTAGTTTGGGGAGTTTGTTCCTGGAAGCCCAGCCGGGTCCATTTCTTTAACTCTCCCAAAGATTCCTAAATCTCTCTGATATCCTTTAATAAATCTTTTTTGCTTAAACTTGCTAGAATGGACTCTCCTGTTTGCCCCTATTAATAAGAGCCATGACAAATAAGATAGCATATAATATTTACTATCATATTCCCATGACACCTGGCCCTTTCCTACCATGTCTTTGCATCAGCTCTTCTATCAGTGTGGAATGTCCTCCCTCAAAATAACCCCATTTGCAAAAGTTATCCACTACCTCCATGAAGAGATTTACAAAAAGAGGAAGAAAGACTTACATAAAGGAAGAAAGACTTGACAGGAGACTGAGCTCTGAAGAATGAGGGGTATGTCATCTGGTAGAAAGGGACAGAGAGGAAGGAGAGGGCTATTTCAAGTGCAAAGATCAACATTTACAATAGTAATAAGGTGTCTCTTGCCACCAAAGACTGCACCTGCACCTACAAATTCACAACTTCTTAAAGAGTTGGAAATGATACCACTGCACATACTAGTTTTTGCTCAAAAAATTAATGTTGAATACAAGTGAATTTTATAGTCAGTTGTCAGTAATTACTAAGCACTAATAACTGTATTTTAAAAAAAATACCATACTAGAAGCTATAGGGAGATTCCCATAGTAGACATCACACTCTCCCACTCTTGGAGCCTTACAACGTAGAAGGAAACAAGGATACCCACAAAGATCAAAGACACAACATAAAAACTATTTTTTAAGTGCATATTCATATAAACAACAGTAAAGGAAAAAAAAAGATTCAAGTATCTAAACCTAGATGTTATTCAGAGAAAATGTCCCTAGAATTCATTAATTCACCAAATATTTATTAGGTATCTACTATGTGCTAAAAATTGGTCTAGGTGCTGAGGACAACAAAGAAGCAAGCAGAGAAGGTCTTTGTTTTCACAAGGCTTATATTCTAATTGAAGAATTAGGAACAAAGGTTTTGAGGGCAGGGCTATAAATTAAAGCAGAAGTCATTTAAAATCATTTTAGCTTCTCTATCCTGTAATGATAATGATAGCCGACATTTGTTAAGGACTTCTTATGTGCCAAAATTTGCTAAGTGCTTTACAACTACTACCTCATGTAATCCTAATAACAAACATAGGATGCAGGTACAATTATTATTATTTGGTTTTTTGTTTTTTTTTTTCAGACGGAGTCTCGCACTGCCACCCAGACTGGGGTGCAGTGGCGTAATCTCAGCTCACTGCAAGCTCCACCTCCCAGGTTCATGCCGTTTTTCTGCCTCAGCCTCTCGAGTACCTGGGACTACAGGCGTGCACCACCACGCCCGGCTAATTTTTCGTATTTTTAGTAGAGACAGGGTTTCTCCGTGTTAGCCAGAATGGTCTCAATCTCCTGACCTTGTGATCCGCCCGCCTCGGCCTCCCAAAGTGCTGGGATTACAGGCATGAACTGCCGCACCCAGCCAAAGCAGGTACTATTATTAGTACCATTTCACGTATAAGGAAACCAAAACCACAGAGGTTAACTAAAACTACTCTGGCCAGATCACAGTCAGGAAATGGCAGGGCCACAGGATTCAATGTTAGGTCAGTAGCAGAGATTTTAACAGCTACACAATACACAGAGAAGAGAAAATTATATTTACATGTTACAGCCTTGTTGAAATGTGAGGTTTGGAATTATTAATTGGGCATGAACTTCATCATCTCTGTCATTATTTTTCCTTATTCTATAAAGTGAGCTGTTAGACTTCCAAAACTAAGGTCGTGTTCAACTTCTGTTTCCATGGTTTCAAAAACAATGTGAAAAGATATTCAGGTGCCTGGTCCAATTGTTAGTAAAAAGGTGCTTTGAAGGCTGCGGCTCTGCAGTTCTTATTCACTGGCTGGGACCGTGTGCTTCCATGGGTTCATTAAGGGGCGCATTAGCATTACATTAATTGGCATAAACAGCTGTAGCACAAACCTCCAGCAGATAGGAGGCTAGAGGCACAGAGAACAAAGGGAGAGGCAGGAAAGCAACAATTGGCTGACCTGAAGCTGTCTAGGTCAGGCATGGCATTTGGTCCCTCTTCATTTCTAAGTTCTCATGAATGTGGACACCCAGTCGGCAGCCCAAAGCCTTTCTCATTTCCATCTCAATCTCCAGGAAGAATTACAATGAGAATAACAGCTACTGAGGCAGAGAACAGATTCTGAATATTAAAATACACACTAGGCAGGAGCTGGGAAAAGGAAGAATAAGACAGGTTTTCCTTTTGGTCTTAACAAAGCATGACAGTCAAATGCTACCATATACCTGCTGTATAAGCTCTGTACCAGACAGGACCTTTCAAGGACCCTTACCAAGTCCCTTCAATTATTATTCACTTCTTATCTCTATGCATTTATTAGGCATCTCTGATGTACCAGACTCTGAGGTAGCCATCATAGGAATATAATTTAAAAAACACAATCCCAATCTCAGGGAACTAAATCTAATGGAGGAATAAGCATACATAGAGGGGATTCTTGTTATGTGAGGATAACTACTATCCAAAAATACCACTTAAAGTTAACTGACAAGGGACCAAAATTTCTTAGTAAATTTTTTTAAAATGTTGATGGGGCCTTTAATTTATCAAGACAAACATTTTAAAATGTTTATAATTCCTAATTTAATAAAACTTGTTATATTGCCCACAAAGTTAATTCTTAGAACAAAGAACATCCGTCACTTCACATTTGGCTTTCAAAACATATCGATAAGAGGATCAATTTTATAAAAATATTCAAGAGCTTCATCAATTTTTCCCAAGGGTCTCTTTTAATCCTTTGTTACTCAAATCATTGTCCTCCGAATGTCCTGTTATGTCATTACCCACATTAATTCTCCCTTCAATTTTAAATTGGTCTAAATTTACCTAATCCTCATTTGTCAGTGATTTTTGTGCGTGTGATTCAGGCCATTATCCAATATTGCCTTATTTCAACTTCCTAAATTTTTTCAACATTCATTTTAGAATCCACTTGCATTACATTGTTCAATGTTAATAATCCTACCATTAGAAAAGCACTTACTGACAAAGAGGGGTGAATGTACAGACCTTACTGGTGAGCAGGGAGGAATGTTTGAGTGGGGGCTAATTTTATAAGTCCCTATAGATAACAAATGAACTTCAATACTAATTATAGTGCAAAGGACGGAGAGAGTACTACGAAAATTCAAGAAAGTTTGATGAATATATGTCGAGGGAGTGCAAAAGTAAATTATTTTATTCAGTCTTTCAACAAATATGTATTAAGAGCCTACTACATGCCAGGCACTGATCAAGATACTGAAGATACAGCAAAGAACAAAACAAAGTACTACCCTCTAGGAACTTAAAATCATAAATGGGAGGATGAAAACTGGGGAAGCCTACATGGAAGAACTGGCATCCAAGTTGCATCTTGAGGAATAAAGAGTTTTAAAAGCATAGAGGAAAACAGAATTCCAGGCTGAGGGAACAGGGTAATATGATATGAAATGGAATGAAACTGAAACTGTCTATTTAGAGAGATAGAGTAGGGTTAGAAGAGATGATGCTGAAGAGGTAGGTGAGGTCAAATTATTAAGTTCCCTGAATAACTAATTTACATATTATCCTATAAACAATGGAGACACACTGATGGCTTTTGGGAAGAACAGTGACAGGATCAGAAAAATTACTCCAGGCAGAATAATGAATAAATAAGAGGGCACAAAGACTGGTTGCCACGACACTAGTTAATAGGTTACTAAAAGTCAAGGGAAGAGATGATTACAGTCTAAATCAGAGCAGAAAGGATAGAGAAATAAAAATAAACTGGTAAAAAAAACTACAGAGATAAAACTAACAAGGCTTGATAATCCATTGGACTGATAGCAAGAGCTTATTCATTCTGCAAATATTTACAAGCCTCACTGTGTTCCAAGCATTGTACTAAGTGATGAGGTACAATGGTGACCAAAAGACATGACCTTTGACTCCATGGAGTTGAAAGTCTAGACATAACCAAGAGTCAAATAAATACAGAATCACAAATCATTATAAATGCCATCGCAGAAAATAACAAAGTGCTGTAAGAGGAAAACAGAGGGGCTCTTCTTCTTCTTTTTTTTTTTTTTTTTTTTGAGACGGAGTCTCGCTCTTTCACCCAGGCCGGACTGCAGTGGCGCGATCTCAGCTCACTGCAAGCTCCGCCTCCCGGGTTCACGCCATTCTCCTGCCTGAGCCACCCCCGCGAGCAGCTGGGACTACAGGCGCCCGCCACCGCGCCTGGCTAATTTTTTGTGTTTTTAGTAGAGACGGGGTTTCACCGTGTTAGCCAGGATGGTCTCGATCTCCTGACCTCGTGATCCGCCTGCCTAGGCCTCCCAAAGTGCTGGGATTACAGGCGTGAGCCACCGCGCCCGGCGTGGGGCTCTTCTTTAGATTAGAAAGGTCCTGGTTTACAGTAGACAATGAGTATTTGTTTACTGAATGAGAAGGAGAAGCCAGAATTGCGAACAGCAAACCAGGGGTAAAGAACAGGTGTGAAGGCCCTGAGGAGAGACAGACTTTCTCAAACTCTGTAGAATAGAAAAAAAAAAAAAGGGATGAAAAGGAAAAAGGGAGAGAGAAAAAGAAAGAAGGAAAGAAAAAAAAGAAGGAAGGGAGGAAGGGAGGGAGGGAGTCAGCCAGCCAGCCAGCCATTGAGGTACAGGATTATTGGGTACATCTGTGGCTATAAGGTTTTTTGTTTGCTTTTTTTTTTTTTTTTTTAAAGTTAAGTTTGGCACCATGAACATCATTAATGGCCTTAGCAAGAGCAGTTATGATGAGGTTGTGGAGACAGGAGGGGAGTAGGCTGCAGAATAAATAGGAGGTAAGGTACTCGAAGTAGAAGTTGTAAATAGCTATTTTAAAAAGACTAGCTTTGAAGGAAAGCAGAGATAGGGTTTATCTAGAAGCTGACATGGGATCCCAGGAGCACTTTTTTTTTTTGGTGAAGAAAAGGAAAATTATTTTCCTTTAAGTAGAATGTTTGAATGATGCTTAGGGTAACTCAGTAGAAGGCAAAATTTAAAGATGCCATAAAGCGAGATTTCTAAAATGGGACCATGGGAAACAATCTAAAAACATGTGGAGGAGCAAGCGAAGAAGAGATGAGGCAAGAGAACAGAATGACTTCTTTCATTGTAAAAGAAGGGGCAAAGGAAGGAATGGGTACAAATCCAAGTAAATTCTAAGTAGGAATATGAAGCTTCTATTTCATCTGTGATATATGAGGCAAAGTCTGGAGGGTGGGGGCAGAGAGGTAAAGGGCAGAAAAAAAGTGGCAGAAGGAGAATAAGAGTAAAACTGAAGACAATTCTGAGGAAAAGCATGCAATTATTTCCAGAGATAGAAAACACAGGCAGAAAACTAGGCTTGTGGAAAAGGTAAATGAGTCAGTTGAATAGGCCAATTCCTGAAGAAATCATCAAAAGAAAGGCTGTAGTGGTTTTTTCAGTTTGCAAATGTCAAATCCTGTCAAGAGCCCATTAGGTCTTCTACCCTTTGATCCAGTAATCCCACCTATAGAAATTTATTCTAAAGAAGTAATCTTTGAAAGGAGAAAGCTATATGCAGTGCTATTGGGTAAAATTACAGTATAATTTATAATAGGAAAAGAAAAACCTAAAAACCTACACCTGATAGTTTTATGTGTCAACTTGGCTAGGCTATAGTCCCCAGTTATTCAATTAAACATTAATGTAGATGTTGCTGGGAAGGTATTTTGCAGATGTGGTTAACATCTACAATCAGCTGACGTTAAGTAAAGAATATTATCCTCCATAATCTGGATGGACTTCATCTAATCAGTTGAAAGGCTTTAAGAGCAAAACTGAAGTTTCTCTAAGAAAGAATTATTCTACTGGTTCTGTTTCTCCAGTAGAACATTGACTGACACAATAGTTTCGGGTAAATTATGGAACATCATCTTAAATTTTACAATGAAGACTAAAGAGTAACATGCGGGAATGTGTATAAGTCAAGAAAAAAGGGCAAACAACAAACTTAGGTCTACATTATGATTACAACTACATGTATGTTTATGTATGTTTACATACACCAAAAAAGGAAACAGAAAAGGGTTGTCAGGATGGCATCATAACTAAATTTTAAATTGATTCAAAAGTTTGTGAAACAAAGCCCTGTTATTTTTAATGGAACAAAGTCACATTATTCATGTTAAGCTTTATTAGAATAGTGTGGCACTTTAAAGAAACCCATACTAATCCAAAAGAAAACTGCGAATTTTGAAACATTGCCTTCGATAATACTAAAAAGAGCTGACCCACTAGAAGACAAATAGGCCTTCAAGGGTCTCAGTCCAATGCCATTTTTCAGTAACATGCAATTCCTCAGCTTAAAGGAAATGAAGAAAGATCCAGAGTAGCAAAGTAGCTGCTGATCAGCTTTAAGAATTTTCCACATCTTTTCGCCGGGCGCTGTGGCTCACGCCTGTAATCCCAGCACTTTGGGAGGCCGAAGCGGGTGGATCACAAGGTCAGGAGATCGAGACCATCCTGGCTAACACGGTGAAACCCCTTCTCTACTAAAAATACAAAAAAAAAAATTAGCCAGGCGTGGTGGCGGGCACCTGTAGTCCCAGCTACTGGGGAGGCTGAGGCAGGAGAATGGCGTGAACCCGGGAGGCGGAGCTTGCAGTGAGCCGAGATTGCTCCACTGCACTCCAGCCTGGGCAACAGAGTGAGACTCCGTCTCAAAAAAAAAAAAAATGTTCCGCATCCTTAGATAGCATCAGGACATACTTTCAACTTTTACTCAGGTCAGAGGCATTTGCACTGGGCAGCTACACATTTAGCACAGTAAGGTTTCTTCTCTCCTCTCTTCTCCTAATACCAGACATTGAAAGGATTTTTTTTTTTATGTTCTTTGAACTTAAGAAAATCAAATAACAGTTCTTAGTAAAGAAGTCATGTGGGCCAGGCACAGTGTCTCACACATGTAATCCCAGCACTTTGGGAGCCCAAGGCTGGCAGATCACTTGAGGTCAGGTGTCTGAGACCAGCCTGGCCAACATGGTGAAACCCTATCTCTACTAAAAACACCAAAATTAGCCAGGCATGGTGCCTTGCACCTATAATCCCAGCTACTTGGGAGGCTGAGGCAGGAGAATTGCTTAAATCCGGAAGGAAGAGGTTGCAGTGAGCCGAGACCGTGCCACTGCACTCCAGCCTGGGCAACAGAGCGACCCTCCATCTCCAAAAAAAAAAAAAAGTCATGTGTCTCAAAAAAAAAAAAAGAAGTCATGTGGACCACAGTTTGAATGCTGGCTCCACTTTCACTCACTCAATCAAAGTGCCTACTATAGGTTAGGCACTGGGGGATACAACAGTGAGAAAAAAAAAAAAAAGGTGGGTGGGGGTGGGGTGGGGGGGCTTTTAGGAAAAAGGGTACTATGTTAAAACTCATTCTCTTGAAGGTGCCAAGCCTTAAAGAGAAATGATTCTCTGGAACTTAGGGTCTAGTAGGGTAGACAGATATTCATCAAATAATGCCACAGAGTATCAAGTAAGAGTATAGTTTCATGTAAGCAAATAATGATATGAATGCTAAAGTGTTTACGGGTGTACTGATATCTGCAACTTATTTTGAAATGCTTCAAAATAAGACAGGTTAATGAATGGATCAAGGGATACACAGACATGCGATAAAGAAAACACAGCAAAATACCACAGAATCTAAATAATGGGTATATGGGTGTTCACTGCACATACTCCCCTGCCAATGTTTTATTTAAAAAAAATTTTTAACGTACATAAAATTAAAGAAATATAGTATAAAATGAAACAGTTTCAAGAAGAGTCAGCCTACAGGAAAATTTTTATGAAAAATTCAGTCTTTGAGAGGGTCCACCTACCACAGATAGCCAGAGGCAGTCTCAAGACCACTTGGAAACTTGTATTAATCAATTTATTCTTCATCAATATTTATTTACTTGTTTGTTTTAGCTAACAATGAAATAGAGCATTCTACTCCCAAGATACTATGCTAAAAGTGCTTGTTCATCTCCTCATTCTAGCACTCTAGAGAGGAGAAGAGAGACTTTGGCAATTACTGTCTCCATCTATAAAATCAGACTTGATAATCCCCTCTCAGTCCCTTCGGATTAACTAGGATATTACACAGGGTAGCGTTTTGAAAGGTCTCTTCCTCCCACTCCAACTTCATCTCATACCATTTACTCTTGCTTCCTATACAACAGCCATAATTTTTTTTAGTTCCTCTATGTTGAGGTAAACCAGCATTATCCAACTGAAAGATACGGTTAGCCTTAAAGAAAAGCCACATATGTAATCTCAAATTTTCTAGTAGCCATATTTTAAAGTTTGTAAAGAGGTGAAATTAATTTTAAAATACATTTAACCCAATATATTCAAAATATTAACAATTCAACATATAACCAATATAAAAAGTTAATGAGTTATTTTACATTATTTTTTCAGTATTGTCTTCAAACTCTGGTATGTATTTTATTTACACTTACAGTGCATCTCTATGTGAATCAGTCAGTGTGCTCAACAGCCACACTGGCTAAGTAGCTACCATATTGAGCAGCACATCTCTAAACTTTTACCTACTCTCAGGGCCTTTGTGCATTTAAAATGTTCCCTCTGCCTGACATGCTTTTTCCCCCTCAGTGTTCTGCATGACTAAAATCTATTTATCATGCACATCTCAGTTTAAAAGCATCATTTCCTCAATGAGGTCTTTTCCTTATCACTCCAAAATTCTCTACATTAGTCCTTTATCTCTTTTGTAGGACTTATCAAAATCTGCAACTGTCCACTTGTATATCTACTTACTTTTCTCTGTATTACCCTCTGGAATGTAATCTTTGTAAGAGCAAGGACAAGGACCATGTCTGTATTATTTATGAGTGTATCCTTAGTACTAAGTACAATGCTTGGCACACAGGAAGAAATCAATAAATATGTGTAGTCTAATTAAGGAATAAATAGAAGCACTATAGAGCTGTACAGATGCTCCTTGACTTATGATTAGGTTACGACCTGATAAACCCAACTTACACTGAAATACTTTAAGTCAAAAATGCATTTAATACACCTAACATACCAAACATCGTAGCTCAGCCTACCCAACCTTAAACATACTCAGAACACTTACGTTCACCTACAGTTATGCAAAATCATCTAACACAGAGTCTATTTTTTAATAAAGTGATGAATATCTCATGTAATTTATTCAATACTGCACTGAAAGTGATTGGATGGGTATTCCAAGTATGGTTTCTACTGAATGCATATTGCTTTTACACCATCATAAAGTCGAAAAATCATTAAGTTGAACCCCTGTAAGTCAGGGACCAGCTGTATTGGATTGGTACATACATGAAAGAGTGTGTGTGTGTGTGTGTGTGTGTCTGTGTGTGTGTCTGTGTGTGTGTGAAGAATATACTCAGCAGCCATTCCTAACTGTCCTGGAACCTTTACCACATAGTCAACTAAGTCAATTATCCGGCAAGTGGCAATGGATAGTAAAAAAACGATTTTTTGAAAGAGTTAGAGGGAACTATAAATATATTTTACCATTCTCCTAGGAACCTACAATTTTTTAAAAAGTGCCACTGGTCAGGGCAGCACCCAAATGATCAGGAACAGGTGACCAGATTTGGAGACAGAAAATATGAATTAAAGATTCCAGTTTGTAACTTCCCAGCTACATAATCATGCCACTTAACTTCTGTTCATTTATAAAAATATGATGGCTAAAGAACAGAATTAAGTTAAATGAGACTCTATATAAAAGGGTTTTGAAAACAGTAAAGCACAAAAATTATATATATAATCCTATATATAATCTCTAGAAAGTCCAGGAAACTTGGACTTTTCAAGTCTATCACAATGGGCTTTCTCATTTTGCTCACCTGGTTCTTTATTTTTTTTTAAGTTACTTTACAAATTACATATGTAATTTATTAAATTAAGCAAAATCTATCCTGGATACCAAAAAAATCTCAGACTCTGGACTGGTGAGATAATTCCATATGAGAAAATAAGTGGGAGGGAATGTTATAAAATAGTAATTCTTGGCCGGGCAAAGTGGCTCATGCCTGTAATTCCAGCACGTTGGGAGGCTGAGGCGGGCAGTTCACTTGAGTCCAGCCTGGGCAACACGGCAAAACCCTGTCTCTACAAAAAATACAAAAATTAGCTGGGCTTAGTAGCATGCCCCTGTGGTCCCAGCTACTCGGAGACTAAAGTGAGACGATTGCTTGAGCCCGGGAGGGCAGCACTGCAGTGAGCTATGATGGAGCTACTGTACTCCAACCTGGATGACAGAGCAAGACCCTGTCTCAAAAAAATAAATAAATAAAATATTAATAGTAATTCTCTAACAGGTAATTGGAGAACCAAGAGCCCCTCCAACTATACCAAGTCCCTCTTTACCCATCCCCAAAACTGGCAATTTACATTTTGTTCCTGTAGCCCATTGGGAACTATTTCCATAGTGAAATACTGTTACTGATGGACTACATCCCAGTGTATCACAGAGAAAGGGTGAGGGCAGGGAGTAGGTGAGAAGGTTAAGAATCACTGTCGAAATATTCAAGCAAAGAAGTTGGCATCAAATTCAACACATTTATATGACAGCTAAGGAAAACTGAGTCTCAGGACGGTTAAGTGACTTGCTGTGGTTACACAGTAATAATTTTTAAAAATGTCTTCAAGGCCGGGCGAGGTGGCTCACGCCTGTAATCCCAGCACTTTGGGAGGCAGAAGCGGGCAGATCACAAGGTCAGGAGATTGAGACCATCCTGGCTAACACGGTGAAACCCTGTCTCTACTAAAAATACAAAAAATTAGCCGGGCATGGTGGCACGCACCTGTGGTCCCAGCTACTTGGGAGGCTGAGGCAGGGGAATGGCGTGAACCCGGGAGGCAGAGCTTGCGGTGAGCCGACATCGCATCACTGCACTCCAGCCTGGGCGACAGAGCAAGACTCCATCTCAAAAAAAAAAAAAAGTCTTCAAATGACAGCTTGATGTCTCTGCTCCTAAATTTCCTCATCTGTAAAATGAGTTAGCCAACATCAGTCTAGCACATTACAGCTTCCAAATTGTTGTGCATATATCCACAGAGCTTACCTGATTCCCTACCACACCGCAAAAGTCTAAGACGGCTATGGTGTAATAGAAAAAGCATGATGAACTAAACAATCATAAGAACCTGGCTTCAGATCTTAGCTGTGCTGTATAGCCTCAGCAAGTCAATTAACCTCTTTGTGTTTTCTTCTATCAAATGAATATAAAACAACACCTGTCCTAGCTAACCCAGGGGATTGTCCAAAGAATAAAGTCAGATAATATCAGTAAAAGTATTTTGTACATTATACAAAAGGCCCTTCATCATCTGGGCCCTGCCTCCTCTCTGCTCTCACGCCTCCCCACTTTACACCCTATCTTCTAAGCATACTAAACTACACAGGGCTCCCCAAACAGGCTCTCAAATCTTCTGCTCACATATTGCTCTCTCTTTCAAGAGGGTCCATCATCTCCCCTTTCTTCTCACCCCTCCCTGACTGTGCTTCGTTAACCCCTGATCATTTTTCAGAACCCATCTTAGATGTCACCTCCTTTAAGAATGCTTGCCAGGCCACCCCCATTTCAAGTGCAGCAGATGCCCTTCCTCTGTGTTCACATGGCACTTGCACTTATCTCCATATTTTTGTCATTTTTTGTCTCAATGTAGTGTAATTGTCTATGCACATGTCTGTTTCTCCCGGAAACTATAAACCCAAGGGTAGAGGCTATGATTCATCTGTTTATTCAGAACCTATGACAATGCCTGATGCATAATATGTATTTAGCAAATGAATGAACTTTAAATGGCAATAAAATATTACTTTTCATATAATACTTACATAAGACATTTATGCAAAACATTGTTAATATAAGGCAGTGCTTCTCAACTTTGCATATCAGAATCACCTATAAACCTTTCAAAATAGAGATGCCAAGGCAACTCTTTACATCTTCACAAGTAATTCAAGTGCATAGCCGAAATTAAAACCACTGCTACACACAATCATAGTCATAAAATTACAAACTACTCTACCTAACATCTATATAGCTCAGTATCTTACAATTCACTTTTACATATATTATTAATCTTCACAAGAATTCTGTAAGTTAGGTATTATTTCTTTCAAATGAACAAATAGAGATTTAAATAAGTGTCCAAGTAGCTCTTTGTCTAACTTCAAATTTTGTGCTCTTCCTTAAACCCTCCCTTGGTAAGTGCAGTAATACACAAATCAAGGGTTCCACCAGTGAGGAAGACATCAATCTTAGCTTTGTGGGAATCCAGGAGGAAATAAGGAAAGCTGGACCTTAAAGATATAGGCAGGCAGATGAGGGTGGAAGCCATGCATATACTGTCATTGTCATTTGCCATCCCAAAAGATTCAAAAGGCAGATTCTATAAATTAGAAAATGCTCTTGCCAGCCTCAGTTAGTACTTAACAGTCTGAAAGGGAAAGGGATATTGGAGAAGGCTGGAAGTAGAAAAGTAATAAAAGAAAGCAGCCCATAAACAAGAATGGATTTCCCAATCCTGCATGCAAATTACCTAACTCTGACTCCAGGAACAAAAGCCAAGACATAATGGACTTAAGAATTAGATGAATTCTACAGTCAATCAATACCACGAAAACTCATGAGGGATGAATGAACCTCTGGTTCTTTCTAGACTTACTACTACACTATTCCTCAAGAAGGGATAATCCGGAGAAGCCTAGCATATACATGACTTTCCCCATCTCAAAAACTAAAAGAATGGGAGAGAAGAGGAAGATATTCATGAAAGAAAAGGCTTACAAAAAGGGTAGAAAAATGTAGCACATTAAGTTAATAAATTTACGATGGCACAGGGAAATATTCAGGCACAAGTGATTCCAAATACTGGATAAAGCCTGATCTGGCAGCTTCAGTAAAGAGGTATTATCTTCTAAGTCTGCAACATCATGACCATCTGACATAGAGTTTTATCAGCAATTATCCTTTCTAGTTCAAACTGTGGACTTCAGTCAGGGTTTTCTTAGGGAGAAGAAGCTAAAGAGATTAGGAACCAATTTAAAAGAATGTGTCTAGTGCCCCAAAATTTAGTTTGATAGAGTTTAAAAGGCAATATGTTATAGTGGCAAAGTAAAGTACTACACTTAGAATTTTAAAATGTGGTTTAAAATCAATATTCAGGCATTCATTAATGATGTGCCTCTGAGCAAGCCAAGACTTCTATTAATATGATCCTCAGCCTGCTAACTCGTAAAATGGGAATACCTATCTCATAGGGCTGTTACGAAGATTGAACAAAATAACATCCAGGAAAGATGTTATTTTTCCTGTATGAATGATAAATGTAAACGAATGTAAATCTGTCTTCACCAAGCCTTCTAATACACACACAAAAAAAACATACCAAATGGAAACTTTAACTCTCACTGCAATATATTTACTTGCAAAACATTCCTATATCCTCTGTGCAGAAACATTAAAAGCAGCCTCTGTACTGAAAATAGCACATAGCTGCTGGAGTCAGGTGCACATGGACTAGAATTGTTGGTCTGCCACTTACTTGCAGCAAAACCTTAAATAAGCTCCCTTTACTAGTATGACTCTCAGGTTTCCTCACCTATGATACAGAGATACCAGCAATCATCTCATAAGGTTATTCTGAGGGTTAAAAAGAACATGTTAAACATCTCATATAGGGCCTGGTACAGAACAGGTATTCAGTAACATAAGCCATTTTTAGTAAGCTTACCACCACCTAACAACTAACAAGCAAATTATACTTTTCAAAGATTCCTTTATAGTCATTATTTTAATTGCTTCATGATCCTGTAAACTAGTCGTAGCAACTATTACTATCCCCATTTTACAGTTGGGACAAAACACAGAGATAAAAATTACTTCTACAAGGTCATGCAGTAACATAGACACTAAAGAAGGTCTCCTAACTTTTCCAGGGTTTCATTTTCACCCACTACAAATTACAACATTACCCCTTAGAAATTAAAACATCTGTGAAGAGACTTTTTTTTTTTTTTTAATAATGGGCATAGAAAATGACCCAGAAGGAGCAAACACTGGTGTGGGAGAATGTTTTTAAATTTTTTATTTTCAAGTTTGAATATACTGACTATTAATTTTGAATCAATGCATTTTTCCTTTTATTTTTAGTTGATATGTAATAATTGTACATATTTATGATATTTTGAGATGTATATAATTCGTAATAATCAAATCAGGATAATTAGCATATTCATCACTCCAAACATTTATCATTTCTTTATCATAAACAGTCAAAAGCCTCGTTTTTAGATGCATATTGTTTATCGCTTTTCAAAAATAAACAATAAACTGTAGTGAGATGTATTCTTTTGATAACCTTAAACTTGTCTCTTTACTATGCCAAAAAGAAATATTTTTCTCCCACTTTCTGGTTATTATTTAGAAAAATAACATGGAGAGGGATCAGAAAATTCATTAAAACCAGCAACAACAGAATTAATGTCTCAAATTGGCAACTGCTGATTCCACCTTGATTTTTGTTTTAGTTTTCCCCAACAAAGCCCATGACCTCTTAAAATTTTTTAAAAGTCTGCCTGTCAAAATGATGCTTGTTTGACAAATTATTCCTAAACTGAGGGAAACAAATAGAAAGGCAGCTTTCTCCCCCCCTTTATGATCATATACCACCTTTTTTCATCCCTCTATTTCATCTCTTCATTTCAGCACTTATCATGTCATATTATCTCTAGCTCCTTAAAGACTTGGGCTGCACTCTTGTATATAGCTGAACATCCTGCCCAGCACAGGGTCTGGCACATGGTGGAGAAGGACTCATAATTTTATAGTAAACGGATGAATAATTGAAGCCACTCTCCCAGAAGGAAGCTAGGAAAGGAGAAAACTGGGCATGGTATCTTAGGGCTAATAAGAAAGTGAAAGAAACAAAGCATTTTAAGAGCTTGACAAGGAAGAGAAACCTTTGTGTGGAGTCAAACAGGCCCTATATAGCTTTAAGTATCACCAGAGAAAGACAAAAACCACAGGAGACCAGGAAGAGACAGTTTTAAGTTAAAAGACTCAAAAGTTAAGAGTGCTTATTTAGACTTGCAAAACCAACTTGCAAATTCAAAAGAAACAATCCTGGCTTGGAATATTGCAACAGCAGTTTTCAGGTGGTGGTTAAAACAAACAAACGAACAAAAGACTAGGCTAAAAATTCTTGCAGGCTTTGGTTGGAGACACATAAAGGGAAAAGCTCAACCTAAAATGAATCCCCCAAAAATGTTAGGATCCCCTTGGATTTGCACATTGGACCATGATTCCTATTCATTCTGAGAACGGTTCTTGAGTAAAACCCCAATGTCGCAGCTGGCAATACATAGAATTAAATCATCTTACATTATTCATTCAACAAATACTTGAGTGCCTGCTATATGCAGTCACTATTCTAGGCACTAGGATTAAAGCAATGACCAAACTGACAAAACTTCCCAGTCTCAGGAAGCTTTCATTCTATTGGCAAGAGAGGGATGGGATGGGATGGGATGGGATGTCACGCAGTTAAGTGCTACGGAAGAAAAACGGGACAGCAGGAGCTGGCAGGGTGCTGGTTTTTATTAAGAGCAGATCTTTTAACCCAGTGGTTCTCAAACTTTAGCAAGCATCAGAATCATTTAAAGGGCTTATTAAAGAAAAGAAATTCACAGGCTACCAAAAAAAGACAGGCACAAACTCAAGTAATTGCAACAGAGCGCTACAGAAGGCCATAAAAGTGGTATGTACATGAGCCAGAGGATGGAAGAGCAACTCATTCTATGCAGGAAAAGGAGAGACTAAGGGACTGCATCCCAGAGGCCCAACAAGGTCATCTCCACAGGCAGGTAAGGGGTGGAAGGGAAGCATTCCAGGAAGAAAACAGAACATGCAAGAGTGAAGATGAGAGTGGCAGGGGAGCCACAGAAAGTGAGACTGCAAAGGCAGGCAGTGGTCTGATCCCTGAGAGCTTTTTATTCCATGTTACTCTGAAATTTATCTTCAGAATATGAAGAGTCAGGGGTAGGGGGCGCTGATGTGGTAAGGTTTTGTTTTACAGAAATCTTTCTGGATGCACAGTACCTTCCTTTGAGGCACTGCTTCCTTCAAACCTAGCACAGGGACTCAAAACATGTGCTTAGTAAATGTATATTGAATTGAACTGAACAAGCTTTTTACCAAATGCCCTGTTATGGATGAGGCAGGTCACCTTCCCTGCAGGACTCACTTTGGCCAAGAGAAGACTTGTAAAACAGGTCCAGCAGCCTCAATTATTGCACACTACTACCTGTACAACTGGAGTCCCCCAGAGATTAGGGCAGACCTTCATTGTTTACTTGTCTACCTCACCCATTAGACTTTGAGCTCTTTGAAGACAGGGAATATCTTAATAGACTGAATCCCCATAGCCTTAGCAAGAGGCCTGAAACATAGTAGCTCTCCGAACTCCAGTAATGTTGGATAAACGAATTGACTGAATAAGCAAATTTACCAAGGTAGACCCATGAGCTCATGTAGTTAAAGAGTATGGATAAGCTTCAGGGAAAGTATGGGAAGTTTTCAGGGTCAATGTTCCCAAAACCCTTTTTGAAAGGCATAGTTTCTAGTTGAGGTGGGGAGTTTTTATATGCACCTGACTTAGAATTTTCCAAATAGGAACCAAAATGTTGTAAGTGCTGTGGTAGAAATCCCACCGGGCCAATGGGAAGAAATCAGCTCTGTCTGTAAGAGGAGAGACAGGATGGAGGCCAGCAAAGACTTCACAGTGTGGGAATTCTTCAGTGGACTCTTGAAAGCTGAGTCCGGTGCTTGCTACTTGCCCGTTTTGGGGCATAAAACCAAACTTCTGGAGCTTTTAAGGCTGGAAGTGACCTGCTCAAGGTCACACAAGAAGTAGATGAAGCCACAGGGTAAGAGAGATGAGGTATCTGTACTGATAATTCCTACTTTCTCCTGACAGAGTTGAAAGAGAACCCAAAAATGTAGGAGGCAAAATTAAAGATTGTTCTCAGGAACAATTCTTAAAGTCAAGACTAATGAATCTGAATTTTTATTAGTAACCACGGAACTAACCCTTCCCTTCACTGTTCACAGTTTTTGTAACAGTAGAACAATTATCCAAGGGGTTTAAAAACCAAGGACGTTGCTCACAACGCCACACCCACTACTTCTCAAGTATTCTTCCAAAACACTCCCAGTAATGTGTACTGCTGAAATAGGATAGCGAAGGCTACAACAATCATGTCTTTTCAAACGTAATAATGAACATAAAATAACTATAAATCTCCTTCCCCGGTTGTTTTTCACTTCCCAAGTTACAGAATATTCCGGGGTGGGGGAGGGGCTGCGTAAGTCAAGTCCTACCAGCCCTTATTTTTCAGGGAGTAGAACCCTAAAGGTGACTGTCCAAGCCTGGAAGGGGTCATTTATTCCATGCAGAAGGAACTGGGCGCCGCTTTGCTGTGCCTCCTCGTAGCGGGACAGGGTGAGCGCCGCAGGACTGCGAAGTTCGGGACGGACTCGGTCCCGGACCGGTACTCGTGTGGCCTCCCGGCTCCAGCCTGGCCTGGCCCCGCCCCGCCCCTTCCCTCTCCCAGGTCTCTCGAATCGCCCGGCGTCTGAGACCCGCGACCCCGCCGGTACGCGCACAGGGGGCCTTTGTTGGCCCGACGGGAGCGGGCCTCGCGGGGCGCCGCCCGCCTCACCTTACCTGGCGCCTCCTCCCGCCCAGGCGCCCGGCCCCGCAACGCGAAATAAATGGGCCCAGACCCCCACTCCACCCGTCCCCACCCCCGCGCCCCAGCCCTGGCAGCCCGGGACGCGAGGGGTACTGGGCGGTAGGCCCGCTCTCACCTTCCGCGCTCGCTCAGCTCCTCTCGGCTCCTCCTCCTCCTCCCGGCGGTGGGTGCCGCCTAGCCGGGAGTGAGGGCGCGAGTGTGCGCGAGCTACCGCTTCACTTTCTCCCTCCTGCCGCCGCCGCCGCGCTGCCCGTGGCGGGGCTCCCCTCAGGACAGGGGAACTGCGAGGGAAGGGATGATGGGGGGGCGGGAGGGAGCGAGGCGACGCGGGCGGGGGGGGAAGGGGGGACTGAGGGGCGAGGTGCGAAGGGCTCAGATGGCCTCTGAGGCAGGAGGTGGTAACTGGATGCGGAGACCAGGTTCCTCGAGGGGGCTCACGAAAGCGCGGGGCTCCGTGGAAAAGGGAATGAGAGTCCAAGGGGGAAGGCGTCTGTGGGGGAGGACTGCAGAGCCTGTGAGGGAAGCGCGATGGGCGAGCGAGGGGGCGGGAGCGTGTGGGGGAAGCCGTGAGGGGGCGTCTACTGTGCAGCCACCACCTTCGGCTCCGGCTGCAGCCGCGGGAGGGCAGCCTCCCCCGCCCACAGCCGCGCTATTGTACGCCGCCCGGCAGGCCTGACCGCCTAGTTCACTGGCTCCCCTACTCCTCCTCCTCCCGCCTCCTCCTCCCCTCTGCCCTTTCCCCTTCTCCCCCTCCCCCTCCCCCACTCCCCCTCCCCGGCGCGGCGGCGGCGGCTGCGGCTCCGGTGGAGCCGTGCCCGCCCCGCCTCCCGCAGGTGAGAGGGGGCGGGGAGGGCCTGACCGACCCGTGGGAGCGAGGCCAAACCCTGGCCCGCATGAGGGCGAACGCCTGGGATTACGTCATCGGCGCGTGACGCCAGAGGCTGGGGAATCACCCGCTTGCTGCGTGACGTCATCGCGTCGCGTCACTGTTCTCGGTCCGCTGTCCGTGGCGGGTTGTTTCCGTGCAGCCTTTCTATCAGACAATTTTGGGACGATTTCTGGGAGGGCTACTGTAGTAGTCAGGATGGAGAAAGACGGCTAACTTCCGGCGCTGAGGGTCCTTTTCAGGTTAACAAAGCACCACCGCATCTATGAGCTCGTTGTCAAGGGCTGAATTTGAAAACTATCCGATGTCGTGTGATCTCACAGCCAGACATGTATTATGTTTTCTTTCTGTGGGAGAGGGGGCAGGGGTGGGAGGAAGACAAAGAAATTATAACGGAGATGTTTGAACTAATGTGAACTGACATACGAAAAGAATGGGCTTCCTTTCACGTTTTTTCCCCTACCGTGGAGGGTACTTTCGACCCAAAGCTTTCTTTCTCCTGAGCTCAGATTGTGTATTTCCCAATACCTCCCGAGCAGCATTACCTGCATACTCTTCGTACCTCAGATTCAACATGTGCGAAACTGAGACAGCATTAGAAAGGCTAAGAGTCCGGAATCAGGTTGCCTTGCTTGAAATCCTAGCTATTCAAATATTAGTGATAGGACCTTGACATTTCTAAGCCGTAATTTTTCTGTAATAATAAGTAGTACCTTAACTAGGTCTTCCTAAGCCTCAGTTTTACCATGGTAATAGTAACAAGCCCTTTAGAATGTTGGCTATTATTATTATTTCCCCCCCAAAATTGCTTCTTACGTTCCTTTCCGTTCTCAATGAATGGGCCACCCATTCAACAATCCCCTAAGCCAGGAACCTAGACATACTAATAGCTCCCCGTTCTTCCTCTCTCAACATCCATATCAAGTTGGACACCAAGTCTTGTAGCTTCTCCTAAATATTTTTCAAGTCCTTGCCTGTGTCGTCTTCTACTACCACCACCTGAACAACTGGAGCAACCTTTAGTCTCTTCAAACTCAATCTATTTTTCTCACTAGTTACCTGAGTAGCCTTATAAAAGCACAAATCTGATGATGTCCTCCCGTTTAAACACCGAAAGGATTTTATTGCTTTCAGGATAAAGTTCAAACTCCTGAACTTGGCACTTTATTACCTGACTGCTTACACTAGCCTTTCTAGCTTTGTCTCACATCATTTATTTTTTGCTCCAAGCACACTGAAATATTAACGTTATTTGAATACACATTTCTTCATGTCTTCAAGCTCTTCCCTACTTAGCTGACTGGCCAACACCTATTCATTGTACAAAGCTGAGCTCAAATGTCATTCATATTCATATTCATATTCATTTGACTAATATTTCTAAAGTTTCCCTAAGCCTTAACAAAACTGTAATTCTATAGTATTTCTATGCCTTTTATGGAAGTAACTGCATTTGTGTATCTAATTTCTTGAGTTCCAAGTCATATTCCTTTCCATATCCTCAGCACCTAAAACAGTGCTTGACATATACCTAAGTATCAATATGTTGTTAAAATATATTTAATAAGGCCAGGCGCGGTGGCTCACGCCTGTAATCCCAGCACTTGGGAGGCCAAGGCAGCCAGATCACCTGAGGTCAGAAGTTTGAGACCAGCCTGGCCAATATGGCGAAACCCCATCTCTACTAAAATACAAAAATTAGCCGGGCGTAGTGGCAGGCACCTGTAATCCCAGCTACTCAGGAGGCTGAGGCAGGAGAATTGCTTAAACCCAGGAGGCGGTGGTTGTAGGAAGCTGTGATTGCACCACCACACTCCAGCCTGGGTGACAAGAGCAAAACTCTGTCTCAAAAAAAATGTATTTAATAAATGTTCCTATTGTTCTTTCTATGTGCCAGGTACTGTTCTGAGCACTTTACAAACACTGTCTTTAAACCTCTACCCTCTACGGTAGATACTGTTGTTATCCTCACCCATCTTATTGATGCGGGAACTGAGGCACAGAGGGGTTAAGTAACTTAACCCAGGATCCTAACCCAGTAAATTGACTCTAATCTGGATTGTCTTTTCGTGATCTCTGCACTAGGCAGAATAATGGCTCATCCAATGGAATGTTCACATTCCAATCCCTGGGAACTATGAATATGTTACCTTCCATGACAAAAGGACTCTGCAGATGTGAGTAAATTGAGGATTTGGGGAAAGGGACTCTCCAGCTTTTGGGAGCAGACTGGAAAATGGAAAAGGCAAGAAAATGGATCCTCCCTTGGAGCCTCTGGAAAGGAAGAGATGGTATCCTGATGATACCTTAATTTTAGCCCACTGACATCCATTTAGGACTTCTGAACTACAGAACTGTGAAATAATAAATGTGTATTGTTGGCCAGGCACAGTGGCTCACATCTGTAATCCCAGCACTTTGGGAGGCCGAGGCGGGTGTATCACCTGAGGTCAGGAGTTCAAGAGCAGCCTGGCCAACATGGTGAAACCCCATCTCTACTAAAAATACAAAATTAGCTGGGCGTGGTGGCACATGCTTGTAATCCCAGCTACTCGGGAGCTGAGGCAGGAGAATCGGTTGAATCCAGGAGGTAAAGATGCTGTGAGCCGAGATTGCGCCATTGCACTTAAGCCTAGAGACAAGAGTGAAACTCCATCTCAAAAAATAAAATAAAAAAATAAAAATAAATGTGTATTGTTTTAAGCCCACTTTGTGTTTGATAATTTGTTACAGCATCCATAAGAAACTAATACAATCTCTAATCAAAGGTGACTGCTCTATGCTAGGAATTGCTAGCAGGATGAGAAGTGAAACTGTCCACCAAAGCTGCAGCTGAAATCAGAGATGGGCTAGAAGTGGAATAAATAAGTAGGATAAGTGTATACAGTAAGTCCTCACTTAACGCCATCAATGGGTTCTGCAACTTTAGGCAAAACAATGTATAACAAAACCAATTTTACCATAGGCTGGCTAATTGATATAAATAAGAGTTGAGTTCCTGTGGCATATTTCTGGTCACAAGACATCATCAAACTTCTAAATAAAGACCAAAACACCTCTAATATCAAACATTGAAATCAATGTGGCCTATACATACATTTAAGAAAGATTAATAAAAAGAGGCCAGACCAGGTGCCTTGGCTCATGCCTGTAATCCCAGCACTTTGGGAGGCCAAGGTGGGCAGATCGCTTGAGCCCAGTAGTTTGAGACCAGGCAAGATAACATGACAAAACACCATCTCTACAAAAAAAAAAAAACCCAAATACAAAAAATTAGCCAGGCATGTCAGCACACCCCTATAGTCCCATAGTCCCAGCTACCCAGGAGGCTAAGGTGGGAGGATCACTTAAGCCCCGGAGGTCAAGGCCACAGTGAGCCATGACCGCACACCTTTGCACTTCAGTCTGGGCGACAGAGTGAGACCTTGTTTCAAAAACAAAACAAAAAACAAGAGGCTGGGCACAGTGATTCATGCCTGTAATCCCAGCATTTTGGGAGACCAAGGCAGAAGATCACTTAAGCCTAGGAGGTCGAGGCTGCAGTGAGCCGTGATCATGCCACTGCACTCCAGCCCAGGAAACAGCGTGAAACCGTGTCTCAAAAATAAACAAGTAAGATCATTATTTACCCAATTTTTCCAGTTCAGGGTTGAGAGTGGCCAGAGCCTATCCCAGCAGCTAAAGGTGCAAGGCAGGAACCAACCATGTATAGGATGCTACGTAAGCTATTCCAGGGTGCACTCACATGCACACCAACACTCACTCAGACTAGGACAATTGAAACATGCCAGTTAACTTAATGTGCACATCTTTGGGATGTGGGAGGAAGCTAGAGTACACAGAGAAAACAGAGTCCAAACTACACTGGTGACCCAGGCCAAGAAGTTATTTTTTTTTTTCTCATCAACATTGTAACAAAATAACATTATTCAAGGACTTGTTGTATTTCACTTTATAAGAAATTGCCAAACTGTTTCCCAAAATGGTTGTACCATTCAGGATCCTTTTGACACGTCCTCATCATCGTTCTTTGAGCTCTTCCTTGCTTTTTGGTCCAAGATGTTCTAAGCTCTTCTTACACTTTCTTTGACCCAGCCCTCAAATGAGCCATTACTCCAAAGAGCTCTGATTCTTTTCAATGAAGAATAGTATTTAAATGTGAAGATCTGGCCTGGCACGGTGGCCCAAGCCTGTAATCCTAGCACTTTGGGAGGCCAAGGTGGGTGGATTGCCTGAGCTCAGGAGTTCAAGACCAGCCTGGGCAACATGGCGAAACCCCAATCTCTACTAAAATACAAAAAAAAAAAATTAGCCGGGCGTGGTGGCATGTGCCTGTAGTCCCAGCTGCTAGGGAGGCTGAGGCAGGAGAATTGCTTGAGCCCGGGAGGCAGAGGTTGCAGTGAGCTGAGATCAGGCCACTGCACTCCAGCCTGGTGACAGAGTGAGAGTCAACATTTAAATGTTAAGATCTAGGCCAGGCGCAGTGGCTCATGCCTGTAATCCCAACACTTTGGGAGGCCGAGGTGGGCGGATCATGAGGTCAGGAGATCGAGACCATCCTGGCTAACATGGTGAAACCCCGTCTCCACTAAAAATACAAAAAAAAAAAAAAATTAGCTGGGCGTGGTGGCAGGCGCCTATAGTCCCAGCTGCTTGGGAG
Source organism: Homo sapiens (assembly GCF_000001405.40). NCBI lineage: Eukaryota > Metazoa > Chordata > Mammalia > Primates > Hominidae > Homo > Homo sapiens. The sequence continues at coordinate 77,478,983 of NC_000011.10, forward strand.
GCTGAGGCAGGAGAATGGCATGAACCCAAGAGGCACAGCTTGCAGTGAGCCGAGACCGCGCCACTGCACTCCAGCCTAGGCGGCCGAGCAAGACTCCGTCTCAAAAAAAAAAAAAAAAAAGTTAAGATCTAAGCATTAGCACTCATTGTAATAGATGCCACTGTTCCCAAACTCAGACCTACTTTTGCTCTCTTTCTGGCCTTTAAGAAGCATACCGTCACGAGTTCTATGGCTTCAAGGAAATGAATTTTGCCAACAACCTGAGGGAGCTTGGAAACCGCTGATGAGAATGCAGCCCTCCGATGTCATGATTGCAGCCTATGAAACCCTGAGCAAAAGACCCATCTAAGCCATTTCCAGACTCCTGACCCACAGAAACTGTCAGATAATGAATATGTGTTGTTGTAAGCCACTAAGTTTGTGGTAATTTGTTGCTGAGACATAGAAAACTTATAGGGGGCCAAAGGAGAGAAGGGGGAGAAGAAGAGGAAAGGAAGAGCTCTGGAGACATTTTATATTTCCTAATTCTTCCTGTTTCCTGCTGCCTTGAGTGTACACACGAAGGCTGGAGCTGGAGCAGCTATTCAGAAACCATGAAGAAAAGGCCAAGAAAAATAAACTTTTTTTTTTTTTTTTTTTTTTGGTGACAGAGTCTCACTCTGTCACCCAGGCTGGAGTGCAGTGGTACGATATCGGCTCACTGCAAACTCCGTCTCCTGGGCTCAAGCGATTCTCATGCCTCAGCCTCCCAATTAGCTGGGATTACAGGCGCCCACCAGCACACCCGGCTAATTTTTGTATTTTTAGTGGAGATGAGGTTTCACCATGTTGGCCAGGCTGGTCTCAAACTCCTTACCTCAAATGATCCACCCACCTCAGCCTCCCAAACTGCTGGGATTACAGGCATCAACCACAGTGCTGGGCCCAAAATCACAAAGATCTTGAACTAAGTACTTTGAGTCATCAACCTAATGCCAGGAACCACCTGCCTCCAGAATTTCTATCAGGAGAAAGAGAAGTAAGTTTTTTAAAGCTGTTGTTTCTCAGGACTCTTACAGCCAAAAGCTGTTCCTTAATGGTTCAGTGTGTTTTGTAAGTTTCCATATGTATGCTTTCTTTTGTTTTGTTTTAACTATCTTTTCACTGCTGTTTCTTGAACATGGCAAGCACCCTCCCAACTCAGGGCTTTTGATCTTGCTATTCACTCTGCATGGAATTTTCTTCCCCCACATAGCTGCATATCTTGCTCCCTCACTCCTTTCAGGTTTCTGCTCAAATGTTACCTCATCAGAGAGGCTTTTCTTTTTTTTTTAAAAAAAGTATACTTTAATGAGTATAAAGTATATAAACAATTAGGTAAGCTTGTGGAGAAGCTGACCAAGATACATAAATTAGGAGATACAAGTGTCCATCTAAATTTTCTGTATTTTATTATTTTACAGAATATTTATTAAAGGTGTTTAATATACACTTTCTCATCTGTCATTTTGGAAGTCCTTTATTGTAAAGATAATTCTATTGTCTGAGTAACCACCATGGTTTTTTTTTTTTTTTTTTTTGAGACATAGTCTTGCTCTGTTGCCCAGGCTGGAGTGCAGTGGCGCAATCTCAACTCACTGCAACCTCCGCCTCCCAGGTTCAAGTGGTTCTGCTGCCGCAGCCTCCCGAATAGCTGGGATTACAGGTGTGTGCCACCATGCCCAACTAATTTTTGCACTTTTAGTAGAGGCGGGGTTTCACCATGTTGGCCAGACAGGTCTTGAGCTCCTGACCTCAAGTGATCCACCTGCCTCAGCCTCCCAAAGTGCTGGGATTACAGGCGTGAGCCACCACACCCAGCCTAAATATTTTTTGAAATTTGTTTATCATCTGTCCTCTTGCCCTCAGAATGCAAGCTTCATGACAGTAGGACTTCATCTCATTTGTTTGTTGCTGTGTGCCCAGCTTCTAGAAAATTACCTGGTGTATAATACATGCTTAATAAATATATTATTTCTAATTTAATTTCATCGTGGTCAGGAGACATGCTTTGTATAACATCTTTTTAAACTTTCTTGAGACTTTCTTTTGCCCTTGTACATGTTCTAGTGCATATTTTAAAAGAATGCATATTCTCTATTTGTTGGATGCAGCATTCTATTTCTATTATATCAATTATATTAACTACATCATTCCAGTGTCTATTCTATTTCTATTATATCAAGTATATTAACTACATCGTTCCAGTGTCTATTAACTTAATGTTCCAACTTAAGTTAATGATCCATCAACTTAATGTAAAAATGTGATAAAAAATCTCCAAATATATATAACTGTGCATTTGTCAATTTTTCCCTTTTTGATTTATGTGGTGATTCTCTGTTGTTAGGCCTGTGATTTGGGTGATTTGTGTCTTTTAACATTGTATCTTTAGGCCAGGCACGGTGGCTCATGCCTGTAATCCCAGCACTTTGGGAGGCCGAGGCGGGCGGATCACGAGGTCAATAGGTCGAGACCATCCTGGCCAACAAGGTGAAACCCCATCTCTACTAAAAATACAAAAATTAGCCAGGTGTGGTAGCATGTGCCTGTAGTCCCAGGTACTCAGGAGGCTGAGGCAGGAGAATTGCTTGAACCCGGGAGGCAGAGGTTGCAGTGAGCCGAGATTGTGCCACTGCACTCCAGCCTGGTGACAGAGGGAGACTCCATCTCAAAAAAAAAAAAAAAAAAAATTACGTCTTTTCTGAGTAGCACAATTGCTAGATTCTATTTTTATGCAATGATAGTTTTTGGATTTGTATAGGTGAGCTTAATCTGTTTCACTATATTGTGTCTTCCTGTATTAGAACATGTCTCTCCAGGAAAATGTAAGCTTCTTGAGTGTGGGGAGTTTGTTTTACTCGCTACTATATCTCTAGAGCTTGGAACAGTGCTGTACTTATTAGGTACTAAATAAATATCTATTCCTTGTTAATAGTGATTATTGCTATGTTCATTTCTATTATCTTGAATGTTTTCTTTTTACCGTTTTGCTTCTTTTTTTTTGAGATGGAGTCTCGCTCTGTTGCCCAGGCTGGAGTGTAGTGGCACGATCTTGGCTCACTGCAAGCTCCGCCTCCCGGGTTCAAGCAATTCTCCTGTCTCAGCCTCCTGAGTAGCTGGGATTACAGGCACACCCCACCACGCCCAGTTAATTTTTGTATTTTTAATAGAGATGGGGTTTCATCATATTGGTCAGGCTGGTCTCGAACTCCTGACCTCAGGTAATCCGCCAGCCTCAGCTTCCCAAAGTGCTGGGATTACTGGCGTGAGCCACCACGCCCGGCCTATTTTGCTTCTTTATTGTTCTTTTCTGTATTCTGTTGGATTGATAACGTTTTCTTGGCTTCCCTCTGCCCCACTGATGCCTTAGAAGATAAAAATTGTCTTTCTATTCTTTTAATGATTATCCTTAAAAAAGATATATATAAATTTAGCTATAAACTTCCATAAATTATCAGTGTCTCCATCCTCCTCCAAAGTAAGATGAAACCTTCAATATACTTTAACACTCACTGATCATTCCTCTTGAATTCCTTTTAATTAGTTTTTGTGCATGTCTAAAAATGATTTTATTTTTCCCTCACTCTTTTTTTCTTTTTTTTTTTTTTGAGACAGGGTCTTACTCTGTCACCCAGGCTGGAGTGCAGTGGCATGATCTCGTCTCACTGCAGCCTCGACCTCCTGAGCTCAAGCAATCCTCCCACCTCAGCCTTCAGCCTGCTGAGTAGCTGGGATGACAGGCACTCGCCACCCTGCTCAGCTAATTTTTGAGTGTTTCTTTTTGTAAAGGCAGGATCTCCCTCTGTTGCCCAGCTGGTCTTGAACTCCTAGGCACAAGCGATCCTCCCGACTTCAGACTCCCAAAGTGCTAAGATTACAGGCATGAGCCACCACACCCAGCTTTTCCCTCACTCTTGAATGATAGGTAATCACCTGTAATCCCAGCATTTTGGGAGGCCAAGGCAGGTGGATCACCTGAGGTCAGGAGTTCAAGACCAGACTGGCCAATAGGGTGAAACCTTGTCTCTACTAAAAATACAAAAATTAGCTGGGCATGGTGGTGGGCACCTGTAATCCCAGCTACTCAGGAGGCTGAGGCAGGAGAATCGCTTGAACCTAAGAGGCGGAGGTTGCAGTGAGCCAAGATTGTGCCATTGCACTCCAGCCTTGGTGACAAGAGTGAGACTCCATCTCAAAAAAAAAAAAAAAAGAATAGTCTCTGTGGCCTGAAAGAGTGGAGAAAGTAGGAAAGAGTATAACCAGCTGGTTGAAACAACCTCATCAGATAACGGCATGTTCGTAATCCATGGACAGAAATAAAACTCAGACCAAGTCACTGAAAAGGAATAGACATGCTGGGAAATGGGATGAGGAAAGTGAGGAGGATTATAGGGCTCTTTAAAAATTTAGCACACCAGTCTATCAACAGACATTTATCAAAACTCTACTTTGCTACATATTGAATGATTCCATTTACATGAAATTTCTTTAAAAAGGAAAATCTATAAAGACAGAGCACAGATCAGTTGTTGTTTGGGGGTAAGAGCAGTGATTGACTACAAACAGGTACAAGGAAACTTTGTGGGGTATTGGAAATGTTCTAAAATTGCATTGCAGTGATCTTCACACAACTGCATAGATTTATTAAAAATCACTGTGCACTTAAATTGGGCAAATTTTCTGGTATGTAAATTATACCTCAATAAAGCTTAAAAATGCTATTGCATGGCTAGCCATATGGAAGGTGCTAATGTGTGAGTAATGAGAACTAACTATAACATCCTAAGAATGGAACTGAAGGGGTTACAGCAATTCGTGGAGATGAAAATTTAGTAAAGTAGACATGTCTATTTTTGCCTCCATTTTCATATTTCTTTCTAAAGAACTTAGTTTGACAATACCTATAGAATGGCAGAGCTTTACGTTACACAAAGTCCCATCCTTCTGGCTGAATGGACCAGGGATGAGCATCTGATTCAGGTTAGATCAATCAGATTCTCTCTTTCTCTGGAATTTGGAATTAGGAAATGAAAAATAGAGCCAGCCATATGGTACCAAGTGCTTTATTAGAAAGGCAATGTAGAATGGGAGTGTAGGGTGCCATAGCAAACTGAAGGCTTTATTTAGTAAGCATTAGTATAGAGAAAACCATAAGTCCTATAACATTAGTATAGAGAAAAACCATGAGTAAGCCAAAAAAAAAAAAGTTATCCATAAAAAAAAAAAAAGGAAAGCTGAGAAGATGAACAGAGATAAGTAGAGATCAGAGACAAGGTGGGCCCACAAGAGAAAACCAGAGTGGCTTCAACAATCAGCTGCTCCATGTCAGTCCCCAGGAGGCTTGACTGAACTTTTGGTCCTGGTGGTTAGATTGTTCATTAAGCAATATACCCCCTCGGGTGGATGTGGTATATTAGTGCTCAACCTGTATTCTAAGCTCGTTTTAGTGTACCCTCTACTACAGAGACTGGAAAGATAGAAATAACATTTTTTTAGACTTTCTTAGAATTAAGATTTTATATCCAAATTAGGTTCCACCAATTAGAAGCACTCATGGGTGGTTGGGAAAGCAGAAGTTGGGCAGAGATTGTCTTCCTGCTGCTTTGCCTATTGCTGCCAGGAAGAAAAGTTATGGAGACTGGGTTTTCCTGCAGCAGTGCCTCAGTGACCAGTCACTAACTTTGTGGGTGTCAAGAGGAGTTGTCTAACTTCACATGCTCTCACTTGTTTGTGGGAGCTAAACATTAAAACAATTGGACTCATGGAGCTAGAAAATAGAATGATGGTTACTGTATTAGTCTGTTTTCACGCTGCTGATAAAGACATACCTGAGACTGGGTAATTTACAAAAGAAAGGTTTACTGGATTTATAGTTCCACATGGCTAGGGAGGCCTCACAATCACGGCAGAAGGCAAGGAGGAACAAGTCACATCTTACTTGGATGGTAGCAGGCAAAAAAAGAGAGAGCTTGTACAGGAAAACTCCCCGTTATAATACTGTCAGATCTTGTGAGACTTATTCCCTATCACAAGAACAGCATGGGAAAGACCTGCCCCCATAATTCAATTACCTCCCACTGGGTCCTTCCCACATCACTTGGGAATTCAAGATGAGATTTGGATGTTACACAGCAAAACCATATCAGTTACCAAAAGCCGGAAAGAGTAGCGGGGTAGAGGTGGGGGTGAGGGGAATAGTGGTTAGAGAGTACAAAAAAATAGTTGAAATGAATAAGCTCTAGTATTTGATACCACAACAGGGTGACTATAGCCAATAATAATTTAATTGTACATTTTAAATAACTAAAAGAGTATAATTGGATTATTTGTAACATAAAGGACGAATGCTTAAGGTGATGGATACCTCATTTACACTGGTGTGATTATCACACATGGTTTGTCTGTATCAAAATATTCCATATACCTCATAAATGTATATACCTACTATATACCCACAAAAATTTTAAAATAAAAAAAAATTTTTTTTTTGAGACAAAGTTTCACACTTGTTGCCCAGGCTGGAGTGCAATGGCGCAATCTCAGCTCACTGCAACCTCTGCCTCCTGGGTTCAAGCAATTCTCCTGCCTCAGCCTCCCGAGTAGCTGAGATTACAGGCGTCTGCCACCTCACCTGGTGAATTTTGTATTTTTAGTAGAGATGGGGTTTCACCATGTTGGTCAGGCTGATCTTGAACTCCTGACCTCAGGTGACCCACCCACCTTGGTCTCCCAAAGTGCTGGGATTACAGGCGTGAGCCACCATGCCTGGCCTAAACTTCTTAATGTAAAATTAAAATTTTAAAAAGGAGTTATCTAGAGCAGCAGCAGCATTCTGATTCTTCGGTTGCAACTATAATAGTGTGTTCTCGAACATCGGTAGTTCCGTCGATGGTTTTTTGATTCTCCACCTCTCTTACGGTAAAAGAGATGGCAGCTCCAGTGGCCAGCCAGTTTTGCAGTATTATTCTGGGGATTATTCCTGGAGGTCTAGCTTACAGCTCACTCCTCCTAACTTTGCAACAACTTCATAAACATCTCATTTCCTTTTAAATCCTCTTCCATTTACCATAGCTAGAGTGATTTCTGTTTTCTGCACTTGAAGCTTGACTGATACACACCCCTTTTTCTTGAGCTGGTTTAAAAAGGTTCCTGTTCCTTGCAGCCAAGTGATCCTAGTCTAAGATATCGGTGGGGGTATTAAAAGTTGACTATTGCAGGCCGGCCATGTGGCTCATGCCTGTAATCCTAGCACTTTGGGAGGCTGAGATGGGAAGATTCCTTGAGCAGCCTAGGAGTTCAAGACCAGCCTGGGCAACATAGCAAGATCCCATCTCAAAAAAAAAAGTTGACAATTGCAGAGGAGGAGGTGGGGCAAGATGGCTGAATAAAAGCCTCTACTAATTGTCCTCCCCACAGGAACACCAAATTGAACAACTATTCACACAAAAAAATCACCTTCATAACAACCAAAAATCAGGTGAGTAATCATAGTACCTGGTTTTAACTTCATATTACTTAAAGAGCACATAAAAGGGTAGAAAAAACCATCTTGAATTGCAGACACCACCCCTCTTCCATCCCCTGGCAGTGGCCACATGGCATGGAGAGAGAATCTATGTGTTTGGGGGAGGGAAAGCACAGTGATTGTGGCACACTTTGCATTGGAACTCACTGCCACCCTGTCACAGTGGGAAGCAACACCATCCAAAACTCAGCCAGAACCCATGGAAGCATGGAAGAGCATTTAGACCAGCCCTATCTGGGTGGGGAATTGTCTATCCCAGTAGCTGAGACCTGAGTTCCAGCAAGCCTCATCATTGTGGGCTAAAATGCTCTGGGGTTCTAAGTAAACTTGAGAGGCAGTCTAAGCCACAGGACTGCAATTCCTCGGCAAGTCCGGGTGCTGTTCCAGGATCAGAGCCAGTGGACTTAGGGGTTATGTGACCTAGTGAGACACTGGCCAGGGTAACCAAGGAAATGCTTGCACCACCTCTCCCACAGCACCAGGCAGCACAGCTCATGGCTCCAGGAGAGACTCCTTCCTTCCACCTGAGGAGAGGAGAGGGAAAAGTAAAGAGGACTTTGTCTTGCAACTTAGATACTTGCTCAGCCACAGTAGGATAGGGCAACAGGTAGAATCCTGAGGACCCCATTCGAGGCCCTAGCTCCTGGATGACATTTCTATACACACTCTGGGCCAGAAGGGAACATGCTGCCTTGAGGAAAAGAACCCACTAATAGCAGAATTTGTCATCATCTGCTGACTATACAGTCCTTGGGTCCTGAATAAACAGCAGGGATAGCCAGGTGGTACTCACCATGGGCCCTGGGTGAGAGATTCAGAGATGTGCTGGCTTCAGGTGTAAACCCAGCACATTCCCAGCTATGGTAGCCACAGGGAGGGACTCCTTCTGCTTGAGAAAAAAGTAGAGAGGACTTTGTCTTGCAGTTAGGTACCAGCTCAGCCACAGTAGGGTAGAGCACCAAGCAGGCTCTTGGGGTTCCTGATTCCAGGCCTTGGCTTGTGGATGGCATATCTGGACCTTCCCTGGGACCAGGGCCCTAAAGGGAGAGTCCCAGGCCCAGCAGCATTCACCACAAGTTGACTGAAGAGCCTTGGGTCTTGAGTGAACATTGGTGGTAGCCAGGCAGTACTTGCTGTGGGCCTGGGGCATGGTGGCCACAGGGAGAGATTCTTCTGCAAAGGGAGGGAAGAGTATGAAGAACTTTATCTTGTGTCTTGGGTACCAGCTCAGTCACAGTAGAATAGAGCACCAGGTAGATCCCTAAGGTTTCTGACTCTAGGCCTGGCTCCTGGACGGCATCTCTGAACCCACCTGGAGTCAGGGGAACTCACTGCCCTGAAGAGAAGGACACAAGCCTGGCTGGCTTCTATTGTAGAGCCCTAGGGCCTTGAGTGAACATAGGAAGTACCAGGCAGTAGTTACTGTGGCTCTTGGGCAAGACCCAGTTATGTACTGGCTTTAGGTCTGACTCAGTGCAGTCCCAATGGTAGTAGTCACAGAGGTGCTTGTATCACTCCTCTTCCAGCTCCAGGTGGCTCAGCATACAGAGAGAGACTTTATGTGTTTGGGAGAAAGTAAAGGAAGGGAGCAAGAGTCTCTACTTGGTAATCTGGATAATGCTTCTGCATCTTATCGAAGACCACCAAGGCACTACCTCTATGAGTCTGTAAGAGCCATAGTGTTACTGGGCTTGGGGTTGCCCCTAAGGCAAATATGGCTGTAGTGATTTAAAAAAAAACTTGGATCACAACACCCGAGTCCCTTCAAATACCTGGAAAGCCTTTCCAGTACAGGTGCAAACAAGCCCAAACTGTGAAGACCACAATAAATGCTTAATTCTTCAATGCCCAGACACCAATGGACATCCACAAGCATCAAGACCATCTATGAAAACATGAGATCACCAAATGAACTAAATCAGGCACCAGTGACCAATCCCAGAGTAATAGAGATATGTGACCTTTCAGAAGAAGAATTCAAAATAGCTGTTTTGAGGAAACTCAGCAAAATTCAAGATAATACAGAGAAGGAATTCAGAATCCGATCCAATAAATTTAGCAAAGAGATTGAAATAACTTAAAAGTGTCAAGCAGAAATTCTGGAGGTGAAAAATACAATTAATATACTGACGAATGTGGGAGTCTCTTAACACAGAATTGATCAAGCAGAAGAAAGAATTCATGAGCTTGAAGACAGGCTATTTGAAAATAGTCAAAGGAGACAAAAGAAAAAAGAATTTTTTAAAAAAGGAAGTATGATTAAAAAATCTAGAAAAGAGCCTCAAAAGGTCAAACCTAAGACTTATTGGCCATAAAAAGGAGGTCGAGAGAGAGATCTGGGTAAAAAGTTCATTCAAAGGGAAAATAATAGAGAACTTTCCAAACCTAGAAAAAGATATCAATATTCAAGTACAAGAAGGTTATAGAACACCAGGTAGATTTAGCCCAAATAAAACTACCTTGAGACATTTAATAACCAACTCCCAAAGGTCAAGGATAAAGAAAGGACCCGAAAAGCAGCAAGGGGAAAGAAACAAATAACATACAGTGGAGCTCTAATATACCTGACAGCAGGCTTTTCAGTGGAAATCTTACAAGCCAGGAGAGAGTGGCATGACAAATTTATAGTGCTGAAGGACTATACTATTCTATTTATCCTAGAATAGTATATGCAGTGAAAATATCCTTCAAATAATGAAGCAGCCTTATTCAAAATAGCCAGACAAACAAAAGCTGAGGGATTTCATCAACACCAGACTTGTCTTGTAAGAAATGCTAAAGATAGTTCTTCAATTTGAAAGAAAAGGATGTTAATGGGCTATAAGAAATCATTAGAAGCTCTCTCCTATCTCCCCTCCCTCCTCTCTCCTCTCTCCTCTCTCCTCTCTCCTCTCTCTCTCCCCTCTCCCCTCTCCCCTCTCCCCACGGTCTCCCTCTCCCTCTCTTTCCACGGTCTCCCTCTGATGCCAAGCCGAAGCTGGACTGTACTGCTGCCATCTCGGCTCACTGCAACCTCCCTGCCTGATTCTCCTGCCTCGGCCTGCGGAGTGCCTGCGATTGCAGGCGCGCGCCGCCACGCCTGACTGGTTTTCGTATTTTTTTGGTGGAGACGGGGTTTCACTGTGTTGGCCGGGCTGGTCTCCAGCTCCTAACCGCGAGTGATCCGCCAGCCTCGGCCTCCCGAGGTGCCGGGATTGCAGACGAAGTCTCGTTCACTCAGTGCTCAATGGTGCCCAGGCTGGAGTGCAGTGGCGTGATCTCGGCTCGCTACAACCTCCACCTCCCAGCAGCCTGCCTTGGCCTCCCAAAGTGCCGAGATTGCAGCCTCTGCCCGGCCACCACCCCGTCTGGGAAGTGAGAAGCGTCTCTGCCTGGCCGCCTATCGTCTGGGATGTGAGGAGCCCCTCTGCCCAGCTGCCCACTCTGGAAAGTGAGGAGCGTCTCTGCCCGGCCGCCATCCCATCTAGGAAGTGAGGAACGCCTCTTCCCGGCCGCCATCCCATCTAGGAAGTGAGGAGCGTCTCTGCCCGGCCGCCCATCGTCTGAGATGTGGGGAGCGCCTCTGCCCGGCCGCGACCCCATCTAGGAAGTGAGGAGCATCTCTGCCTGGCCGCCCCGTCTGAGAAGTGAGGAGACCCTCCGCCTGGCAACCGCCCCATCTGAGAAATGAGGAGCCCCTCCGCCCAGCAACCACACTGTCTGGGAAGTGAGGAGCGTCTCCGCCCGGCCAGCCGCCCCGTCTCAGAGGGAGGTGGGGGTCAGCCCCCCCACCCGGCCAGCCGCCCCGTCCGGGAGGGAGGTGGGGGGGTCAGCCCCCCACCCGGCCAGCCGCCCCGTCCGGGAGGTGAGGGGTGCCTCTGCCTGGCCGCCCCTACTGGGAAGTGAGGAGCCCCTCTGCCCGGCCAGCCGCCCCGTCTGGGAGGGAGGTGGGGGGGTCAGCCCCCCGCCCGGCCAGCCGCCCCGTCCGGGAGGGAGGTGGGGGGTCAGCCCCACGCCCGGCCAGCCGCCCCGTCTGGGAGGTGAGGGGCGTCTCTGCCCGGCCGCCCCTACTGGGAAGTGAGGAGCCCCTCTGCCCGGCCGCCACCCCGTCTGGGAGGTGTGCCCAACAGCTCATTGAGAACGGGCCAGGATGACAATGGCGGTTTTGTGGAATAGAAAGTGGGGAAAGGTGGGGAAAAGATTGAGAAATCGGATGGTTGCCGTGTCTGTGTAGAAAGAAGTAGACATGGGAAACTTTTCATTTTGTTCTGTACTAAGAAAAATTCTTCGGCCTTGGGATCCTGTTGATCTGTGACCTTACCCCCAACCCTGTGCCCTCTGAAACATGTGCTGTGTCCACTCAGGGTTAAATGGATTAAGGGTGGTGCAAGATGTGCTTTGTTAAACAGATGCTTGAAGGCAGCGTGCTTGTTGAGAGTCATCACCACTCCCTAATCTCAAGTACCCAGGGACACAAACACTGCGGAAGGCCGAAGGGTCCTCTGCCTAGGAAAACCAGAGACCTTTGTTCACTTGTTTATCTGCTGACCTTCCCTCCACTATTGTCCTATGACCCTGCCAAATCCCCCTCTGTGAGAAACACCCAAGAATGATCAATAAAAAAAAAAAGAAAAAAAAAATTAAAGAGACATAAATAAAAAGATATCCTATGTTTAAAAAAAAAAAAAGAAATCATTAGAAGGTACAAAACTCAATGGTAACAGTAAGTACACAGACTATTATAACACTGTAGTCATGTAGAAAGACTAAAAGATGAATCTGTCAAAAATAATAACTACAACATAGTACGATAAGATATAAATAGAAACAACAAAAAGTTAAAAGCAGGGGGATGAAGCTAAAGTGTAGAAGTTAGATGGAAATGGTGGCACACACCTGTAATCCCAGCAATTTGGGAGGCTGAGGTAGGAGGATTGCTTAAGCCTGGGAGGTCAAGGCTGCAGTGAGCCATGATCGTGTCACTGCACACCAGCCTGAGTGATAGAGTGAGACTCTGCCTCAAAAAAAAATAGAAAAGAAAAAAAATAAAGTGTAGAGTTTTTATTAGTTTTCTCTTTGCTTGTTAGTTTATGCAATCAGTGTTAAGTTGTCATCAGTTTAAAAAATGGGTTATAAAATATATGCAAGCCTCATGATAACCTCAAATCAAATACAACAGATACACAAAAAATAAAAAGCAAGATATTAAAACATACCACCAGAGAAAATCACCTTCACTAAAACAAAGACAGGAAAGAAGGAAAGAGGAAAGAGAAGACCACAAAACAACCAGAAAACAAATTTAAAAAAGACAGGAGTAAGTCTTTACTTATCAATAATAACACTGAATGTAAATGGACTAAACGCTCCAGTCAAAGACATAAGAGTGGCTGAATGGATCAAAAACAAGACCAATCATCTGTTGTCTACAAGAAACACACTTCATCTATAAAGACACACATACACTGACAACAAAGGGCTGTAAAAAGCACATGGAAATTAAAAGTTGAGTGTTGCAACAAGGAGTGGGAAACTGAAGAGTCCAGTGAGACTGTGCTAGGGTGAATTCAGTCAATCAACATATTTCACTCATCCCCTACCCTGTGTCAGTCTTATACTGGGTTCTGCAGATACAGAGATGGATCACGAACATTCCCTCCTCTCAAAGAGCTCAAAAGCTAGCCGGGCACGGTGGCAGGTGCCTGTAATCCCAGCTACTCGGGAGGCTGAGGCAGGAGAATCGCCTGAACCCGGGAGGCAGAGGTTGCAGTGAGCTGAGATCACGCCACTGCACACCAGCCTGGGCAACAAGAGCGAGACTCCATCTCACAAAAAAAACAAAAACAACAACAAAAAAAAAAACTCAAAAGCCAGTTGAGGAGACAAACACATATGCATAAATCACAGTACAATATGTTATGACCCATAAAAGGAATTAATTAAATGCAATAGGAACCCAGAGAAGAGAGCAATAATTATGTCTCTGCCCAGGGTATTAGGAGATTAAAAGATGGCATTTGAGCTGAGGTGGGTCTTTTTTTTTTTTTTTTTTTTTTAAAGACAAGGTCTCATTCTGTCGCCCAGGTTGCGGTGGCACAATCATAGCTCACTATAACCTCAAACTCCTGGGCTTAAGGTATCCTCCTTGTTATGGTTTGAATATGTGTCTCTGCCCAAATCTCATGTTCAATTGTAATTCCCAGTGTTGGAGGAGGGGCCTGGTGGGAGGTATTTGGATCTTGGGGGCAGAGTTCTCATAAATGGCTTAGAACCATCCTCCCTTGGTACTGTATAGTGATCTGATCACAAGATCTGATTGTTTAAAAGTGTATAGCACCTACCCCTGCTTTTGATCCTGCTCTGGCCATGTAAGACATTCCTGCTTCCCCTTCACCTTCCACCATGATTGTAGGTTTCCTGAAGCCTCCCAAAAAGCCGACCAGATTTCAGCACCATGCTTCCTGTACAGCCTGCAGAACTGCGTGCCCATTAAACCTCTTTTCTTTATAAATTACCCAGTCTCAGGTATTTCTTTATAGCAATGCGAGAATGGACTAATACACTCCTGCCTCAGCCTCCTGAATAGCTGGGACTACAGGTATATACCAGCATGCCTGGCTAATTTTTTAAAAATTGTGTAGAGATGGTGTCTCGCTCTGTTGCCCAGGTTGGTCTTAAACTCCTGGCCTCAAATGATCCTCCCACCTCGGCCTCCCAAGTAGCTGGGATTACAAGTGTGAGCCATTGCACTCAGTCATTTTTTTGTTGTTTTTTTTTTTTTTTGAGACAGGGTCTCTCTGTGTTGCCCAGGTTGGAGTGCAGCTGCAGTGGCGTGATCTTGGCTCACTACAACCTCCACCTCCCAGGTTTAAGCGATTCTCGTACCTCAGCCTCCCGAGTAGCTGGGATCACAGGCATGCACCACCATGCCCAGCTAATTTTTTTTTTTTTTTTTTTTTTTTTTTTTAGTAGAGACGGTTTCGCCATGTTGGCCAGGCTGGTCTTGAACTCCAGACCTCAGGCAGTCCACCTACCTCTGCCTCCCAAACTGTTGGGATTACAGACGTCAGCCACCATGCCTGGCCTGCACTCAGTCTTGAGCTGGGTCTTATAGGATGAGTTATCCTGAAAAGAAGGAAGAGAAAAAGGACTCACCACCCACAAACCTTACTGAACCGAGAGTGCGTCAGTCGTTTTGAATGTATCATTCCATTTAACCTCCACAACACCCCTATAAAATAGGTATTACTCTCTCCTTTTCACAAGTAAGGAAGCTGAGCCTCAGAAAAGGTAATGATTTGAGCATGTCTCACGATTAGGTATAGTAGAAAACAAGTTCACAGAATTCACTGTAGAAAGTATAAACTGACTGGATGTTGAGTAAGCCAGTCCATTATTTCTGTCATATTTGGTTTGATGTGTTTAAGAATATTCACTCAACAAACACTCAAAAGATTGATAATGCCAATGCTGATGAGATTGTAAGGAAATGAACACTCTCATACAATTTTGGTGGAAGTGCAAACTGACATAAATTTATCGGAAGGTACTTTGACAGCAATTAATAATATTTTTAAAAACATGCATACCCTATGACCCAGCAAAACCACTTATAGGAGTCTATCCTACAAAGAAAAAAAATAGCACAAATACATGAAGTTCAAAAATGCTTACTGCAGCACTGTAACCTCATAAATCTGGAAACAACCTGAATATCTGCTGATAGGTGAATAAGTAAATAAATAAATGATACACCCATACAACTGAATACTATGCAGGCATTAAAGGGAAATGTGTGGATCTCTATGTACTAGTGTGAAAAGATGTCCTTGATATGCTGCTAAATGTAAAACAAAAACAAGCTGCAGGTAATTTGTATAACATGATCCCATTTAAACATTTTTCTTTAGACAAAGAGTCTTGTTGCCCAGGCTGGTATCGAACTCCTGGGCTCAAGCAATCCTCCCACCTCAGCCTCCTAAGTAGCTGGGACTACAGGTACATGCCACTGCACCTGGCCCATTTTTTGTTTCTAAAAGGAACATACAAAGATGTCAGCACACCTGTTAGGATAGCTACTATTAAAAAAAAAAAAAAAAGGCAGAAAAGAACAAGCATTAGTGAAGATGTGGAGAAACTGGAATCCTTGTCCACTGTTGGTGGGAATGGAAAATGATACAGACACCATGGAAAACTATAGAAAATGTTTTCTTTACAGATTTAAAAATAGGGCCAGGCATGATGACTCACACCTGTAATTCTAGCACTTTGGGAAGCTGATGCAGGAGGATCTCTTGAGCCCAGGAGTTTGAGACCAGCCTAATCAATATAGTGAGACCCCCATCTATATACAAAATTAAAAAATTAAAAATTAGGCTGGGCGCGGTGGCTCACATCTGTAATCCCAGCATTTTGGGAGGCCAATATGGGAGGATCACAAGGTCAGGGGTTCGAGACCAACCTGGCCAACACAGTGAAACCTTGTCTCTACTATAAATACAAAAATTAGCCGGTTGTGGTGACATGCGCCTGTAGTCCCAGCTACTTGGGAGGCTGAGGCAGGAGAATCACTTGAACCTGGGAGGTGGAGTTTGCAGAGATCCAAGACCACGCCATTGCACTCCAGCCTGGGTGACAGAGTGAGACTCTGTCTCAAAAAAAAAAAAATTTTTTTTTAAATTAGAGGCCAGGTGCAGTGGCTCACACCTGTAATCCCAGCACTTTGGGAGACCAAAACGGGCAAATCATTTGAAGTCAGGAGTTCGAGACCAGCCTGGCCAACATGGTGAAACCCCATCTCCACTAAAAATACAAAAATTAGCCAGGCGCGGTGGTGCATGACTGTAATCCCAGCTACTCAAGAGGCTGAGGCAGGAGACTCACTTGAACCTGGGAGGTAGAGGTTGTAGTGAGCCAAGATCGCACAACTGCACTCCAGCCTGGGCAACAAAACAAGATTCCATCTCAAAAAAATAAAGTAAAGTAAAATAAAAATAGGATTACCATATTATCCAGCCAGTCCACTTCTGGATATATACCCAAAAGAATTGAAACCAGGGTCTCAAAGAGGTATTTGTATACCTATGTTTATAGCAGCATTATTCACAATTGCCAAAAGGTGGAAACAACCCAAGTATCCATGAAAGGATGGATGAATAAGCAAAATGTGGTATATACATACAATGGAATATTATTCAGCCTTGAAAAGGAAAGAACTTCTTGCACATGCTACAACATGAATGAACCTTGGCAATATTATGCTAAGTGAAATAAGACAGTCAAGAAATACAAACTCTATGATTCTACTTATATGAGATACCTAGAGCAGTCAAATTCATAGAGACAGAAAGTACAACGGTGGTTGCCAGGGGATGGGCTGCAGGGGAGAGAAAGGAGGTTATTGTTTAATGAGCATAGAGTTACATTTTGCAAGGTGGAAAGTATTCTGAAGATGGATGGTAGTGGTAGTTGCACAACAATGTGCATGTACTTAATACCACTGAACTGTACACTTTTTTTTTTTTTTTTTTGAGAAGGAGTCTCACTCTGTCGCCAGGCTGGAGTGCAGTGGCACCATCTCGGCTCACTGCAACCTCCGCTTCCCAGGTTCAAGTAATTCTTCTGCCTCAGCCTCCCGAGTAGCTGGGACTACAGGCGCCCACCACCATGCCTGGCTAATTTTTGTATTTTTAGTAGAGACGGGGTTTCACTCTGTTGGCCAGGATGGTCTCGATCTCTTGACTTCATGATCCACCCGCCTCAGCCTCCCAAAGTGCTGGATTACAGGCATGAGCCACCACACCTGGCCTGTATTTTTTAACTAGAAATAAAAATAGGCTGGGCAAGGTGGCTCGATCTTATAATCCCATCACTTTGGGAGGCGAGGTAAGCAGATCACTTGAGCCCAGGAGTTCAAGACCAGCCTGGTCAACACAGTGAAACCCTGGCTCTACAAAAAATACAAAAAAATTTGCCAGCGTGGTGGTGCACGCTTGTAGTCCCAGCTACCCAAGAGGCTGAGGTGGGAGGATTGTTTGAGCCTGGGAGGTAGAGGTTGCAGTGAGCCACTGCTCTCCAGCCTGGATAACAGAGCAAGAACCTGAAAAAAGAAAGAAAAGAAAAAGAAATAAAAATAAAAACTCAGGCTGAGCTCAGTGGCTCATGCCTATAATCCCAGCACTGTGGGAGGTCAAGCCAGGCAGATCACTTGAGGTCAGGAGTTTGAGACCAGCCTGGCCAATATGGCAAAACGCTGTCTCTACTGAAAATACAAAAATTAGCCTGGCGTGATGGTGAGTGCACATAATCACAGCTACTCAGGAGGCTGAGGTAGGAGAATTGTTTGAACCTGGGAGGTGGAGTTTGCAGTGAACCTAGATCATGCCATTGCACTCCAGCCTGGGCAACAGACTATGTCTCCAAAAAAAATAAAAATAAAAATAAAAAAACTGAAATGGGTGATTTGAACCCAGAACCAGTCTCAGTAGCCTCCTTTGAACTGAGGAGACTCTTCACTAGGCAGGGCTCTGGTGAAGGTCCATACTCACTCCTGAATCTGCAAGGTCAATGGAGCTTATCTAGCCTGAATCTGTCCCACTGTATAGAGGAGCAGGACAGGGTGTGGGAAGCCTTCAGGAACTGGGCGAACATCTCCAAGTCCAGGAAGGGGAAGGTGTGCCCAGGTCCTTATCTCCCCATGGAGATGAGTCTGTGGGATGGCTATGGTGGTAGGCACTAGAGGTATGGAGATGAATAAAATATAATTATTGCCCTCAAAAGGTTGACCAATGACAATTCACATCTGAAATAATAATTTTTACATTCATCTGTATAGCCCCTAACAATTTATAAAACACTTTCTTCTTCTCACTTGATTCTCCCAAAAGCCATATGGGGAAGCCCCATTTTACAGATGAGGAAACTGAGACCCAGAAGGAAAGTGACTCACTTAGAAGGAAAGTGACTCACTCAAAGTGCACATACCAACTGCCTTTTACCAACTGCTTTCACAGCCATTAATTCATTTACAAGGGGCACAGCCTGGCTTAGGAGAGGGACATGGGGACAGCATTGCTGGGCTCTGAGATCGTGTGTGTGGTGTATTTCTATCAAGTGATGAATTCTGTTCAGCTGCTTGAGCCAAGAATTCCATCCAACTCAGCAGCATGTAGGGAGTCAGTTCTATTCCAAAGGGCAAAGCTGTTCAGTACATCACTATGGAAGGAACAAAAGGATCTCTCTCTTGCTGTGTCCTCTGATTCCTACTGTCTTAGTTTCCTTTGCATTTTCTGACTTTGAGATATAGTGCTCACAATGCTGTATGCAAGTGTTTTTTGTTTTTCACTAGAATATTAATCTTCACAATGGCAAGAATATTTAATTTTTAGGTGTCTTCTAAGACTGTTTCTTTTTTAAAAAACTGCTACCTTCAGTAAAAAATACATCCTACATATGTAGTAGAAACAACTTTTCATAAAATAATACTTAACCTTAGTCTGTGCAAGTATTTTCTATTCTATTTTATATTATTTCATTTTTTAAAAAATTCTAATCTTCTAAATGTAATGTGGTATTCTGGAAACGTAGAACAGAAAAAGGACACTAGTGGAAAAACAGGTGAAACCCAAATAAAATCTATAGTTTAGTTAATAATATTACATTAATGTTAATTTCTTACTTTAACAAATGTACCATGGTTATGTAATATGTTAACATTAGGGGGAGCTGGGTGAAAAACATGTGGAAACTTTCTGAACTATCGTTCTATGCTTTTGGTAAATCTAAAATTATTCCAAAAGGAAAAGTTTATTTAAAAACAAAACAAAAATTTCCAGTCTTGACCATTTAAACTGATATCATGACCCACTCATGGGTCAGAATTCACACTTCCAGTGTGATGTCTGCTGTCTTTTTGGATAATGCTGACAGGAATCATTGCAGTGATTTATAAAAGCTCATTATTGCTCTTTCTCCGACACACACACACACACATGGTGCCACGGCCCACCTCTCACAGTCCTTGGCCTCTCTGCCTTGTCTTACATTCATTTTTTATCTATATGGCCTGCCTTTGAAGGGCTCTCCCTGCCTGTATCATCTGAGCAACCTCAAAAGAATACATGGTACATATTTGTTAAATGAATGCCCGAAGAAATAATTGTATTTTTAACACCCTTGCTTGTAATTTTTTTTTTTTTTTTTTTTTTTTTTTTGAGACAGAGTCTTGCTCTGTCACTAGGCTGGAATGCAATGGCAAGATCTCAGCTCACTGCAACCTCCGCCTCCCATGTTCAAGCATTTCTCCTGCCTCAGCCTCCTAAGTAGCTGGAACTACAGGCACACGCCACCATGCCAAGCTAATTTTTGTATTTTTAGTGGAGACTGGGTTTCACCATGTTGGACAGGGTGGTCTCGAACTCCTGACCTTGTGATCCACCCGCCTTGGCCTCCCAAAGTGCTGGGATTACAGGCATGAGCCACCACGCCCTGCCAAATTTTATTCCCTCTTCAAACTGCAAGAAATTTTTTTTATACATAGAAGTCTAATATAAAGCCTTCTATTAAATTTACCAAACTTGGCAGAAGGTCTTTAACTTTTCATATTAATGAGTGATACCCACTCACTACTAAAAAAAAAAAAAGAGAAGGATAATTTTTAAAGGGAGGAAAATAAAATTTCAAAAATTCACTTATAATCCTACCAGGAATATCTATTGTTAACATTTTTTTTCTTTGTGTTGAGATGGGGTCTCATTATGTTACCCAGTCTGGTCTTGAACTCCTGGGCTCAAGCAATCCTCGCAGTTTGGCCTCCTGAATACCTGGGACTACAGGTGCATGCCACCACACCTGGCTTATTGCTAACATTTTGGTGCATAGTCTCTTCCACATGTATACATGTAAATAAATATATTTTTCAGACAAATGTTCCTACTATTCATACAGTTTTAGAGATGTCTTCACTCAAGCTGTTCCCTCATCCTGGAATGCATTTCCTCCTTTTTATCCTTCACTGTATAGTTCCTACTCATCCTTCTAGATCCAACCCATGATCCCACCTCTGGGAAGTCTTTCATGCCCACTCTGCCCTTCTCAACTTTAGAGGAAGTAGGTACTGCCTCTTAAGTATTCCAGTGATACTTTCGTTATACCTTTATTACACTTTTTGTCTTAATTAGTTGTTTACATGCCTGTCTGTCCCAACAGTCAGGGAATGTTAATTTAGAGTTGATGTGGGCCCTGGATCCATATTGCTCCCTAAGCACTGAGTTGGTTTGTGCTGACACTGCACACACACACACACATACACACACAGAGCAGTAGACTTTCCGGCATTTTGGCTTCTACAGAACAGAATGGATACAGCCTGGCTAAATGTCTCACCCTTTTGACCTTCTCTAGCACTCACCTGATAAATCCACCATCCAGCATCAGCGAACACTTCCATCTCTGCTTCTACACCTGGCTCTGAAAGTGGCTGGAAGACCTCTGAACACACGCATCTGAGATAAGCAAGCCCTGACCATAAGTGAGTGGAAGAAGTTTGCTCCCTTGGAAAATTTTGTTATAATCAGTTCATAAAAATGAAAATTCACAAACACAGAATTTGTATAGCAAAGATGAATATACATAACTCAGATTCAACTGAGAGCCCTCCTGCCCTTAAAGATCAAAATATAAACCGGGTGCGGTGGCTCACGCCTGTAATCCCAGCACTTTGGGAGGCCGAGGTGGGCGGATCACAAGGTCAGGAGTTCGAGACCAGCCTGGTTAACATGGTGAAATCCCGTCTCTACTAAAAATACAAAAATTAGCCAGGCATGGTGGTGCATGCCTGCAGTCCCAGCTACTCAGGAGGCTGAGGCAGGAGAATTGCTGGAACCCAGGCAGCGAAGGTTGCAGTGAGCCGAGATTGTGCCACTGCACCCCAGCCTGGGCAACAGAGTGAGACTCCACCTCAAAAAAAGAAAAAAAAGTCGAAACATAATTAACTGGATTCCTCCCTCCAATTCCACGTCTTGTGGAAATCCAAAGCCCTCCTCAAGATTTCCGTTCTGGCTGGGTTCAGTGGCTCACACCTGTAATCTCAGCACTTTGGGAAGCCGAGGCAGGAGGATCATTTGAGCCCCAGAGTTCAGGATCAGCCTGGGCAACACACTGAGACTTGTCTCCACACACACAAAAAAATTAGCTGGGTGTGATGATGCATGCCTGTGGTCCCAGCTATTCAGGAGGCTGAGGCAGGAGGATTGCTTGAGCTTGGGAGGTTGAGGCAGCAATGTGCTGTGTTCACACCACTGCACTCCAGTCTAGGAGACAGAGTGAGACACTGTTTCAAAAAAAAAATTCAGTTCTTTCCCAACAGACTTCTCTTACCACAGCCAGCTAGCCTCTGGGCTCCTGGCTCCCCACATGGTCCTCTGTTCTGCAGTGTGCAGATCCACATTCAAAACTTAGTCCCTCCAATTTCCACCAAAAACCCAATCCCGGGTAATTAGCCGGGCGTGGTGGCAGGCGCCTGTAGTCCCAGCTACTTGGAAGGCTGAGGCAGGAGAATCGCTTGAACCCAGGAGGCGGAGGTTGCAGTGAGCTAAGATCCCACCACTGCACTCCAGCCTGGGTGACAGAGCGAGACTCCGTCTCAAAAAAAAAAACAAAAAACAAAAAACAAAAAACAACCCACTCCCATAGAGCAGTTTTGAAGTTAGTAGAATTTGCTGGCAATGTGGAGGATGAAGGGGAAATCCAGGAGAGTTTCACATCCATAGCAAAGCAAACAATTCAAAATGGAAGGACCACTATCTGCCAGAGGGGAGCTTCCCCGGCCCTTCACTCCACCCGGACTCAGTCTCTCCACTGACTCCTCTCTTCTTCATCCTTCTCTCTTCTCTCTACTCCCTGTGGTGGCATCTTTTCTCTGTGCCTGCTGAGCATTCACTGAATTCGACCCCTCTTCTCGGGTAATAAGCAACAGCTTTCCCTTGGGGAACCACCCTTACCCCTTCTCTCAAATGGCTTGAGCAGGGCTGATCCCACCCTGTTCCAGTGATCCATACAAGTGACCAGTCAGTGCATCCCACCTCTCTGGTCACACTGATGCTCAGGGACAGGCTTGTGGGAATGTTTGGTGAGTGAAAGACTCTTGCCCCCAGGGTCTCTGATAGGAAGATCAGTATTGCTCCTGGTGTCTTTGCCACCCCATGTGAAGGCCTGCTTGAGAATGAATCAAGATAAAGAAAAACAAGAGTCAAGACATGAAGAGAGAGCTCAAATATGGATGGGAAAGCTCCAGTCCCTGAATCCAAACGTTTCTAACTGGATACCTGGGTTTTCTTTGGTCTAGCTAGATAGAGTTAAATTTTTGTCATTTGCAATTGTGAGCACCCTGACCAATATCTTCCTCCTTCTGCTTCCTTTTCAGAAGCAATAAACCAAATTCCTCTTTGCTTCATGCAAAGCAGCTTCCCCTTCTCTGAGCTGGGAATCTGCTGACACCTGTGCCTGCTGGGCATTTAAATGTTTTCACCAAGATAGTTTTCTCCTTATGACATATATTGGCGCCAAAGATTAAGATGACCTTTTTATTCCCAACTTGTCACAAAAATATTTATATAATTGAGACTATACTGTAAATACAGTTTTGTATCCTGCTTTTGTGTGCGTGTATGTGCATGTGTATGTGTTTTTTTCTTTTTAAAGTTTTCTTAATTTTTCAGTTTTTGATCAACAAATATTTATCCAGGAACTACATATATGTCAGCCATATACAAGAGCAACTAACATACTATGTTGGAAATTTTCCCATGTCATTAAAGACTTCATAAATGTCTATTATTTTCAACCAGCACAGAATATACAATCACACAGTTTTAAAACTAAACGTTTATTGTTAAAACATTTAGTTTTATTTCCAAGTTTTATGAATAATGATAGACACATAATGTGTCTAAATCTTTCATCATTTCCTTAGGATAGATTCTCAGAAGTAGAATTCCCAGAGGAACTTCTTATTTTACCCCTCCCTGCAAAAATGCAGAAAGAAATTTACCAGACACCACTGTAGTAGTGTCAGTCTTCTCTAACCCCACATAGCTGGAAGAGACCTGCCCTGAAGTGTCTTCAGATGGCAGAAGCATCAGGCTTCTTCGCAGGAGCTTCCTGTTCCCTCTGAGTGCCCTGCCTCAGCTGCCCTCAAGGAGCTATGAACTCGCCAGCAGCTGTCCCACTCCACCAAGCAGTGGGCACTCTGTCAACCCCACAGACCTCGCAAGCTGGCATGGTGCACATATCTGCTTGTAAGGACTGTATGAAAAGAATGGCATTCAGGGCAAGCCCAAAAAGGAGAGATGCCAAGACAAGAAAGTCAGGGCTAATTGTGACCAAATTTTCTTTTCAAGCCTCTTTTCTTTTTACTTTTCTTTATTTTCCTTAATAAGCACGTGTGATTTATAATGGAAAAAAATTAACTTATGGAGGAAAACAATAACAACATGAATTTCTCAAATTTGATGTGAGGTTGGAGATGATCTTCGGGTTCCTGGGAAAGCAGCTGTGAGTTATCTGGCTTGGCAATGCCTCCTGCAAATCACTGGCTGACTCTGAAAAATGCATCTGTACTTTAGTCACCAGAAGGAAGGGCTGATTCCCTCTGGGGCCACCACAAAGGGCAATCGATGACTATCTTCCAGACCTGGAAGAGGGTTCCAAACTGCAATGTGTAAAACCAAGGAGTGGGTCTAAGGCCAATCAGTGGGAGCCTCCGAGAGACAGATCTTTGACTCACTGCCAGAACTTCTTAGCAAACAGAGTAGTGCAAAGATAAAACCAGCTGCTCCAGGAGGTGGTGGCCTCCCCATCCTATGCAGCATTAAAGCATATGCTGAGGCCAATTGCCCTGGATGGGTTGGTGGCGGTTCAAGTGCAAGGCAAGACAGCAGTTCTCAAACTGTTTGGTCTCAGGACCTTTTTACACTTTTAAAAATTATTGAGAACCCCAAAGAATGTTGTTTATGTGGGTTATCTCTATCAATATTAGCCATATTAGAAATTGAAATTGGAAGTTATAAAGTATTAGGTCAGGCATGGTAGCTCATGCCTGTAATTCCAACACTTTGGGAGGCCAAGATGGGAGGATTGCTTAAGCCCTGGAGTTCAAGACCAACCTGGCCAACAAAATGAGATTCCACCTCTATAAAAAAAGTTTAAAAATTTTCTGGGTGTGGTGGCACATGCCTGTGGTCCCAGCTACTCTGGAGGAACACTTGAGCCCAGAAAGTCGAGGTTGCAGTGAGCCATGATCGCACCACTCAACTCCAGTCTAGGCAACAGAGCAAGACCTTGTCTCAAAAATAAATTAATTAGTAATAAAATAAAGTATTTATGAATCTTTTTTTTGTTTTGAGATGGAGTCTCCTCTCTCTCCAGCCCAGGCTGGAGTGCAGTGGCGCGATCTCAACTCATTGCAGTCTCTGCCTCCCATGTTCAAGAAATTCTCCTGCCTCAGCCTCCCAAGTAGCGGGGATTATAGTCACCCACCACCACACTCAGTTAATTTTTGTATTTTTAATAGAGACAGCGGTTTTACCATGTTGGCCAGGCTGGTCTCAAACTCCTGACCTCAAGTGATCTGCCCGCCTCAGCCTTTCAAAGTGCTGGGATTATAGGCGTGAGCCACTGCACCCGGCCCCTATTAATTTATTTT
This sequence comes from Homo sapiens, assembly GCF_000001405.40. Lineage (NCBI taxonomy): Eukaryota > Metazoa > Chordata > Mammalia > Primates > Hominidae > Homo > Homo sapiens. Next base: position 77,504,209 of record NC_000011.10, read on the forward strand.
AAAACAACCTTAATAAATTATTAGTTTGTTAATATAAATAGCACATTTCCATGAAAAATAACTACACTTTCTAAAGCAAAAAAAAAAAAATAGTGAAAGGAGTAGCATTCCTTATATTTTTGTAATCTCTTTACTACCTAGATTAATGGAACACAGCTGGATTCTTATATTTGCTTCTACATTCAATCTGTTTCAGTGTGTTCTTTGGGTTGAAGTATAATGAAAAAAATCTTATGTGTGGCTAGAAAAGGCAGGAGTATTCTAATTGCTTTTTTCTGATAAGTTTGAATATTCTTCTTTGACACCACATTAAAACTTGACGAGTGGGAGTTTCTCAAAGGTTGTTGCAATGTGGAATCTGAAATCATATCAATGAGCTTTTCATACTGCATATACTTGTGTGAGAATGAGACTGAAAAAGACAAATAATACCTTAGTATTATTATGAAAGTGGGTTTAACTTTATGGACACCTGAAAGAGGTTTTGGGGATCTCTTGTGTTCTTATACCATACTTAAGGATTGCTGAGGTAGGGACTTGAAATAGAAGACTGTTCAGTCATTCATTCATTGCATATACGTGCATTGAGCACCTAAGGTGTTAGGCACCTGAAAACACTTATGAGTGCTCACCATTATCCAGACACCATATCAAGTATTCTACAGACATTACTTCATTTAATCTTCAAACAATTGTGTGAGGGAAATTTGCCTACTTTTACAGATGAAGAAACTGAAGTATAGAAAAGTCAGATACTTGCCACCAGATCACACAGCCTGATAGCCTAGTGGAGCCACGATCTGGAGCCAGGATGAGAACCACAAGGCTAAAACTGCTTCTCTGTACACTTTTTAAAATTTATTTTTTATTGCAGTAAAATATACATCATGTAAAATTTACCATTTTAACCATTTTTAAGTGTACCATTCAGTGGCATTAAGTACTTTCACAGTGTTGTGCAACCATTGCTACTATTTTTTCTTTTTCTTTTTTTTTTGAAATGGAGTCTTGCTCTGTCCCCCAGGCTGGAGCGCAGTGGTGCAATCTCAGCTCACTGCAGCCGCCACCTCCCGGGTTCAAGCGATTCTCCTGCCTCAGCCTCCTGAGTAGCTGGGATTACAGGTCCCTGCCATCAGGCCCAGCTAATTTTTATATTCGTAGTAGAGACAAGATTTCATCATATTGGCCAGGCTGCTCTCAAACTTCTGGCCTCAAGTGATCCACCCAACTTGGCCTCCCTAAGTGCTGAGATTACAGGCGTAAGGTAACATGCCTGGCCATTGCTACTATTTATTTATCTGGCTTTTCTCATCTTCCCAAACTGAAACTCCATATCCATTAAACAACAGCTCCCCATTCCTCTCCCCATCCCTTGCCCTCGATAACCACCATTCTACTTTTTGCCTCTATGAATTTGCCTATCCCAGGTATCTCACGTAAGTGGAATCACACAGTATTTGTCCTTTTGTGACTGGCTTATTTCCAGTAACATCCTCAAATTTCATCCATGTCATAGGTGTTGCAGAAATACTTTCTTTTTTAAGGATGAATAATATCCCATTGTATGTATATGTCACATTTTGTTTATCATCATCTGTTGATGGGGGCTTCTCAGTACATTTTAAATAAACAGTGACAAGAAGTGTGAACAGTGCTGTGTTAGAAGTAAGAGCAGGTCCTAAGAAGGAGCAATCAGCCCAGCCAGGTCCGGCGCCAGGGACTGGTGCCTGAGCTGAGATTTGAGGGATTAGTGGGAGCTGGGGAGGAAAAAGGTGGCAAGGGAGGAACATCAAGGCCTGGAGGTATAAGAGAGAAAACTGCAGCCAGTCCAGCAGGGCTCCCAGTCAGGTTTGGATGGAAAGGGGCATGAAGTGAGATTAGAGAGGCAATGATAACCAACGACTGACATTTAAAGACATTTACAATGGGCCAGGCACTGTGCCAAGCCCCTTGCATGTTTTAACTCATTTAAACATTACAGCAACCCTGTAAGAGAGAAAACCAGCTCTTCTTGTACATAGACGGAAGGCTAGACACTATTCTCAGGGCTTTGCATGAAGTAACAAATTTAACCCCACAACGACATGAGGTTGGAGCTGTTATTACTCCCATGTTATAGGTAGGAAAGTAAGGCATAGAGAGGATTCAAAAAATTGCCCAAGGTCATGCCAGATCAAACCTGGATTTAAACCCAGGTTTCAGCAGCTTTGCTTGTCACTACTGTGCCTGACAATTGAGGACATAAGGACAAGGTAAGGAATTTAGATTTTTAGCTGGCAGGCCCACTGGACAGGTTTAGGCAGAAAGCAGCCAGTTCCGATTTGTATTTTATAATCATCCTATTAATAACTACTGTATGGAGAATGACAGGCAGGGACAAGACAGAGAGAACAGTAAGCCAGGTGAGAAGGGGAATGGAGGAGGGGTTGGTGACAATACAGGAAAAATGGTGGGTTGTCGGGGTGGTTGAAAGAAATTAAGGAATCAGAATAGTCAACATATGGTGGTTTATTTATTTATTTTCTTCCTGATGGACCTATGACATACGATGATTTATTAAAGTGGGGCCAGGGATAACTCCCAGGTTTCTGAGAGAATAACAGTGCATTTCATAGAGATTGGGGGGTACATGGGAGGAGCAAACTTAGGGTTGGGGAGAAGCAAGGGATAAAAACAGTGAGATAATATGAGAAAGACTGAGTTTTGAGCACATCCAAGGAGCGTGATTTAAGCATATAGGCTCCATGAAGATAAAGATCTTCATCTAGTTCATTCACTGGTCTGGCCCAGTGCCAAGAACAATACCTGGCATAAGAAGATAACCCCATAAATAGTTGTTGAATGACCGAGTATGGATCTAGCAGAGAAAAAAGCTCTGAATTGGAGGTTAGGAAATTACAATGAGAACTGGAGCTACACAGCTGGTCAGCAGCATGTAGAGTGAGGACAGTTGTAAAGACAGAGCTCTGGGGACCCTAGCCTTTAAAAGAGTAACAGAGGAAAAGCAAGTGAACCTTAGAGAGACTGATGAGTGGCCAGAGATGGGGAGCAACCAGGGGCCAGGGGGGCTGTCAAAGGCCATCAGCAACCAGAGCACCTTAAGATTCTCTCCTTCACGGGGTCCTCTGGTCTACGTCTCTAACCAGCAAGGGGACACTCAGATTTTGAAGGTAAAAGAGGCTTTGCAGCTCTGCCTTCTTTAAGCACATTAAGAGCAACATGCATGTTAAGAGCAACTAAGGTTTGAACAGTGCTTTCCAGTTTATAAAACATGCCTTCTCAGATTCTTCTTTTTCTAATTTCAAATCCAATATACTTTTTTTTTCTTTTTCAGACAGGGTCTCACTCTGTCTCCTAGGCTGGAGTTACAGCAGTGCAATCATAGCTCACTGCTAACTCGACCTCCAGACTCAAGCAATCCTCCCAACTCAGCCTCCCGAGTAGCTAGGACCACAGGTGCACACCACCAAACTATTTTTAATTTTTAAAAATAATTTTATAGAGATGGGGTCTCCCTACATTGCCCTGGCTGGTCTTGAACTCCTGGCCTCAAGCAATCCTCTCACCTTGGCCTCCCAAAGCACTGGGATTACACGCATGAGCCACCACACCTGGCTCCCCAATATACCTTTTACCAAACTTTTTTTATTCAGGTAAAAAGTATCTACTATAAGATGCAATAATCTCAAGAGTATATAATGATGAATTTTTGCATCTATATGCATTTGTGTAACCACCATCCAGATCTCTCCAGCACTCCAACATTTCCTTCATGCCCCTTATCAGTCCCACCCCTCTCCCCACCGGGATAAGCATTCTTCTGGCTTCTATAACCTTCTTTCAGTTTCTGAACTTTCATCAGTTCTTAATTTTTCATATAAATGGAATCATACAGTATGTGTTACTTTGTGTCTGACTTCTCTCACTGAAAGCTATGAGATTCATTTGTGATGGTGCATATTTTAGTAGCTCGATTTCATGCATTGCAAAACACATGATTATCCTGGGAGATACTACTGCCTACCTCCACAGGCTGCCTTGGGAATTACATGTGATCATGCCTGGCAGCCACCCTATAAAATGTTTATTGATTACCTAGGTTTGGTTCAATACCAAAACAATTTAATTCTTACAGGGGAGTCATTATCCCCATTTTTACGTGATTTGGTGCACATTGGAGGGGAGTGTGACAGCAGTATGTTGGTAAACCTGTCCTGTGAGAGAAAGACATCCCTAATTTGAGGTGTTTGTCAATTTTCGTAACTCCTCCCACCATAGTTGATATTAAACTATCAGTGGTTTAACAACTGGCCAGTTCCAGCAAACCACTGAGTGCCGCAAATTCTAAAGCTCAGAGCAGCTAAGAATTTGCTCGTGGTCTCATAAGTGGGCACTGAAGACCAGCCTTTTCTGACTCTAATTCTCTATGCCTCTCCCCTACATAGAGATTCTTTTTTTTTTTTTTTTTTGCGACGGAGTCTCGCTCTGTCTCCCAGGCTGAAGTGCAGTGGCGCGATCTTGGCTCACTGCAAGCTCCGCCTGCCGGGTTCACGCCATTTTCCCGCCTCAGCCTCCTGAGTAGCTGGGACTACAGGCGCCCACCACCATGCCCGGCTAATTTTTTTGTATTTTTAGTAGAGATGGGGTTTCACCGTGTTAGCCAGGATGGCCTCGATCTCCTGACCTAGTGATCCGCCCGCCTCGGCCTCCCAAAGTGTTGGGATTACAGGCGTGAGCCACCGCGCCCGGCCCAGGGATTCTTTAAAATGAGCCAGCATCTGGCCGGGCGCGGTGGCTCAAGCCTGTAATCCCAACACTTTGGGAGGCCGAGGCGGGCGGATCACAAGGTCAGGAGATGGAGACCACGGTGAAACCCCGTCTCTACTAAAAATACAAAAAATTAGCTGGGTGCAGTGGTGAGGGCCTGTAGTCCCAGCTACTCGGGAGGCTGAGGCAGGAGAATGGCGTGAACCCGGGAGGCGGAGCTTGCCGTGAGCCAAGATCGCGCCACTGCACTCCAGCCTGGGCGACTGAGCGAGACTCCACCTCAAAAAAATAAATAAAATAAAATAAAATGAGCCAGCATCTGCTGATGGGCCTGAGTCTTGCTGATGTACCTCAAATGGACCCCCAAATTAATAATTTTATAAATCTATATTTTCACTAGTAAACTACTAAATGAATTATCCATTATAAAATGTGATGTTCATAAACAAACACTGGGCTGTTACAAGAGTTTATTAAAGCCTCTAAATTTTCAGTATTCCACTAGGAAATTTGTCTCCCAGGCCAATTGTGGCAACCCCAGTTTGCCTCCTACTGTTCATGGCCTCACACAGATAACTGGTGATATAGTTTGGATATTTGTCCCCACCCAGATCTCATGTTGAATTGTAATCCCCAATGCTGGAGGTAGGGCCTGGTGGGAGGTGTTGGTTCATGGCGGGTGGATCCCTTATGGTTTGGCGCTGTCTTTGTGATCGTGAATGAGTTCTTGTGAGATCTGGTCATTTAAAAGTATGTGGCACCTCCCACCACACTCACTCTTACTCCTGCTCTCACCGTGTGAAGTGCCTACTTCTGCTTCACCTTACACCATGAGTAAAAGCTCCCTGAGGCCTCCCCAGATGCCAAGCAGATGCTGGTGCCCTGCTTCCTGTACAGCCTGCAGAACCATGAGCCAATTAAACCTCTCTTCTGTATAAGTTACCCAGTCTCAGGTATTTCTTTATAGCAATGCACAAATGGCCTAACATAGCTGGAATGCCCTGAATTTGGGGAATAGACTCTCTGTTATCAGATCATCAAATCATTGGTGTTGTCTTGAGTTTGTCATGATTTTCAATTGCTGTTATTCTTCCTCTTTAATTTTAAATAACTGTTAGCTTACCTTTCCCTTTTTGGTTTAGGTTGTTAAGCATTATAGAACATGTAGGGAGACATATTTTCACCAGTAGCATTTTTGTCCTATAATCTGCTAATAACTGGATATTAAGACGTGTACTTTGTGATTCACTTATGACTTAGCCATACCCCCATTGCTAAAGCCAATGTAAATATTACCTCTCTAAATTTTGTTTTCATGGTCATACTTCTGTGGTGATACGTGTGACTGCCTGTGAAAGGGTGCTATTTAAACAACTTGCAACACACTCTCAATATAATGCATGTGCAATCATGCCCAGCTAATTGTTGTACTTTTAGTAGAGACGGGGTTTCACCATGTTGTCCAGGATGGTCTCAATCTCTTGATCTCATGATTCCCCCACCTCAGTCTCCCAAAGTGCTGAGATTACAGGTGTGTACAGGTGTGTACACCGCACCTGGCCAGCTGTTTACTCTTTGATAGGCTCTTCTTAGGACAATGATTTTGTAATATCATTTTCAGTTCAACAAATGGAAAGATATTCAGTTTTGTCTCTACGGTTGACCAAAGTTTGTTCTTTGCAATTGATAATTTGGAAGTTTCTTTGTGCTTCACATATGATATTATTCGTAATGTTCTCTAAACTGTTAGGATTGTTATCAACTTTGGGAAAGCCTCTATCTTGCACTGTGAGGTCTTCCCTTTTCATAGCAACCTGTTCTTATTTTGTGGATGCATCATCTTTATGAGAATACTAAGGAGGGTGATTCTTTTAAATTTGTTTATTTTATTTATTTGGCTTATTCCTCTGAGTGATCTCCCCTTCCTCCAGCATTGTTTCTTTCTGTTAGTTTAACTTATCCTTTTTGTTTTACTGAAATGTTTTTGCTTGCACATGTTTGAGAAGGTGGGCAAAGAAGAGCTGACTATGACTTCTGTGTGGGAAGGTAGGTGGGAGTTGTGTTACTGAAAGCTTTTTTTCATAACGAGCAGACAGGGAACCAACCATTATACAGTATTTGGCAATCCTGAAATACAGTCTAGTCCTAATTCACTCAGTTTCTTTAGAATAAACCATCTTCTTTCTTGCAAGGGTTGAGGAAGGAACCTGACAGCTCTGCACACAGGGAAGGGGGGCAGGATTTATTATTAAGGCTTCAGCTTTATAGCTCACTTCTGCCATCAGGATGGTGGTGGCAAAAACATCGAGAACACCAGCATACACACCTCCACAATGATTTGTCTCTAAGATCTATCATTTGTTATGGTGAGTCTGGAGTCTTGTTAAGGTGAGTCTAGGAGTCTGTCCTGCCATCTTCTTTTCAGTGTCAGCACTGGCTTAGATGCTTTTTATTATTTTTATTCCTTTCAGCACTAAATCTCAGAGATAGCTATCTATGTCTCCGGAGTTTTGCCTGCAGGCTATATATACAATGCCCTCAGCTCCAAGGCCCTTCCTCTTCCATGCTCACAGCTCAGAAAATACTTCCCAACACTCATCTTACCAGAGTGTAAGCCAGGTGCCAAGACGTGACAAGTAGCAATGCCACATTTTTTAACTTTTAAAAACTGGGTCAGTCACAGATCTGAATAGCACTGAAACACAGCTGCTTTAAATTTTTGTCCCCTAAAACAAGGTCTAATTATAAGCTGCATGAGCAACTAAATCAGAAGTGTGCATTTGATTAAAATATGAACATTGTTTTTGACAAGTGGGTTTTGCATTGACTCTATGTCCCAGCTCAGAGTGGGGGTAGTCTCCAGTTTGACTTAAAAACACATTGCCCCAAATCCTTAGTGTTTGCAGCTTGCAATATGCATAACAAGGAAGGGGTTGGGGGGCGTTCCACACCATCCCAACACAAAGGCAAGGTCAAGCTAATTATGTCCAGTCTCACTTTGGTAGGGGGATAAGGATTTCCCTTCAGGGCACCTTAACCCCTTGAGGAGGCCAGGTCCCCTCACTTTATGTTCTGGGGCTTACAAGAGTCGATACTGCTAACATGGGAAGGGTCCAGTGGGGAAGGAAAGCAGGCCACTGCCTCCAGGGTAGAAGAGCTCATTTCAAATTGGTTGCTCATGGGCAACCGAATTTTGCAGGCAGTTGATAGTCCACTCCAGACAGCAACATGAAGGACAGCTGGTCACCGAAGCAGTTCCCCCTTTGTGGTTCCTCCTGCCTCCAGTTTTCCCTCCCCTCCCCCTATTTCAGATTTCTCCCCATCTTCCTCTTCTGTGGTCCATGGTGAGTGCCACCCCCACCCTCTTCTCCTTCTACCCCAGTATGTGGTCATTTGTGTGGTCTCTGTGAGCAGGAAAACCTGCAAATTTGCAGACCAAACTTTGTGTTTGGAGCAGTATTTCTAATCTTTGTAGGTGACTCATGTCTACTGGTACAGGCCAGGAGTGGGGATGGGAGCTAGTATTGGGGATTGTAATGGTACAGGTTTGATGCTCTCAGTGGTACCAGTAGAGCATGGTGAAGGGAAGAATGATTGTATCCTTTTTTAAGGAAGATTCCCTCCTATAATCAACTTTTTCAATTAATTGACCAACTTCTAGTTCATAGACGAGGTTTCCTACTATGCTATTACTAGCTACAATGCATTGAATACCTATGAGTACCTATTATGTGTCAGCAGTGGCTTAGATGCTTTTCACTATTTTTATTCCTTTCATCATCCTTCCAAGGTGTATTCACTTGTATCTGCATATTATAAAGAAAATAAGGTTCCCAGGCCAGGCGTGGTGGCTCACACCTGTAATCTCAGCACTTTGGGAGGCTGAGGCAGGTAGATCGCTTGAGCCCAGGAGTTCGAGACTGGCCTGGGCAACATGGCGAAACCCTGTCTCTACAGAAAATACAATAATTAGCTGGACGTGGTGGCACACACCTGTAGTCCCCGCTACTTGGGAAGCTGAGGTGGGAGGATGGCTTGAGCCCAGGAAGTCATACAGTGAGCTATGATGGCGCCACTGCACTCCAGCCTGGGCGATGGACTGAGACCCTGTCTCAGAGAAAAAGAAAAGAAAATGAGATTTCCAGAGGCTCTTTGACTCTTTGACGTCATTGACTCCAGGTAAGCAGATAATTCAGTTGCTGCTGAGTCAAATCCTTTATGCCTCATTTTTCTCATTTGTATCATGGCAGTGTTATGGGTCTTTAATGAGTTAATCTAGATAAAGAGATTTGTAAGCACTTAATAAATGTTTGGATGAGGAAGTATACAGGTATATCTTAGTTGATATTACCTCTCTCAAGATAATCCTGCAAGTAAATAATGGAATATGAATTTGATTAATAGTCTTTCTGGCCAGGCATGGTGGCTCATGCCTGTAATCCCAGCAGTTTAAGAGGCTGAGGCAGGCGGATCAACTTGAGGCCAGTAGTTCGAGACAAGCCTGGCCAACATGGCAAAATCCCGTCTCTGCTAAAAATACAAAAAATTAGCCTGGCATGGTGGCACATCCCTGTAGTCCCAGCTTCTAGGGAGTCTGAGGTGGGAGAATCACTTGAGCCCGGGAGGTGGAAGTTGCAGTGAGCCAACATCGGGCCACTGCACTCCAGCCTGGGCAACAAAGTGAGACTCTGTCTCAAAAAAAAAAAAAAAAAAAAAAAAAAAGCATTTCTACTGAAAGACCGAGAAGAGACTGTGTGCACGGACAAAGCAATAGGCTACCCAGATCAGAGTCTTTGTGATGATGGTGGAAAGGAAGTATTGAAGGAAGGCCTGCCTGCTATTCCTTAGCTCACGGTTAAGAATGTCCTCTCTATATTCCCACCTACTTATAGTCCCCTATTAGGAGACTAACACATTTATTAGGTATTTATTATGTGCCAAGTACTGTGCTGGACACCTGTCACTTCATCTCATTTGCTCCTTATTCCATTTATATGAAATGAGAATTATTATCCTCATTTTACTGATAAGGAATGATAAGAGTCATTATATAACTTTCCCAAGGTCAAACAGCCAGTGAATGGTAGAGCCATGATTTGAACCCATAATTTGGAGAGATTCCAGAGCCTGCTCCATGTGGCTTCCATGAATGGGAACCTATTCCTTTTGAAGTTATTCCTATGGCCCCTTTAAGCTTCAGGACAAATCATTTTGTGACTAAGTATAAGACAGTCACAGTCGGGCACGGTGGCTAACGCCTGTAATCCTAACACTTTGGGAGGCTGAGGCGGGTGGATCACTTGAGGTCAGGAGTTCAAGACCAGCCTGGCCAACATGGTGAAACCTCATCTCTACTGAAAATACAAAAAATTAGTCGGGTGTAGTGGCGGACACCTGTAATCCCAGCTACTTGGGAGGCTGAGGCAGGAGAATCACTTGAACCTGGGAGGCAGAGGCTGCAGTGAACTGAGATCACACCACCGCACACCAGCCTGGGCGACAGAGCAAAACTCCATCTCAAAATAAATAAATAAAGACAGTCACCTGTGCTGGCGCTCTTCAGGATTAGTTAATAAATCAAATGTTAACTGAAAACCTGGATGACATAATGGTGTTGGTGTCTAAAAACATCTAGAAAAGTTTCCATCTACATTTATGAAAATCTGCTTCAGCTCACTAAGGGACAAGTGGAGCCAAAAGCAGGCAGTGATGTGTTAGTCTGAGGCTTCCTGGGCAGGGACTGTCTCGTTCATCAGTTTCCATAGCTCCTAACATGAGATCAGCACATCAAAATTAGGGCCATTTATCGAGTACCTGCTGTGGACCAGATAACTTAATAAGCATCATCTCAATCCTCATAACAATCCTGCACAGGTGCAGACTCTAAGGCTCAGAGACATTAAGCAACTCACCACTAATGAGTAGCAGAACTGGTAGAACTCAGACCATCCGAGGTTTCTCAAAAAAGATCATAGTTGAGCTGGATCCTGGAGGATACATTTGAAGGAGGAAAATATGAGAAAAGTCCTTCTAATTAGCAGCAACAGGCAAAGAGGAGGAAAAGAGCATGACATTACCTAATTGAATAGCAATAATTTTTTTAGAGAAAAGTCTTTCCAAAACATCCAACTTAGCTTTCATAGGAATAATAGCTCAACTTCTTTTTACACTCATATTTCATAGGTTTCCATTGTACATTTAATTTAATTACACCATGTGTGCCTGGCAAAAACTGGTTAGCAAACGTCACTGACTCCTGGTAAGCAGATAATTCAATTGCTGCTGAGTCAAGTCCTTTATGCCTCATTTTTCTCATTTGTGTCATGGCGGTGTTATGTGGCTTTAATGAGTTAATCTAGATAAAGAGATTTGTAAGCACTTAATAAATGTTTGGATGAGGAAGCATACAGGTGTATCTTAGCTGATATGTTTTCCCTGAAGGAATGTGGAGCATCAGTAAACCCCGTGCATGATTTGGTTACATGGAGGAACATTACCAGCTTCTCCTGTGTTACGGGATGGTTTTATTAGACAACAATGCCTTCTATGGATCATAGAAAACCTTCCCACCGAAATACTACCTTCTCATTCTCGGATTTCTTATGAAATGTGCACTTTGTCCCCAGGATACCTGACTCATTCCTTATCCAAAGGCCTTATTTGCAGGTCTGGCCTGAAGGCAGGAAGCAGCACAAAAGTAGTGTCTCCTCCTTCAACATTTGAATGACTGCCATAAAAATAAATAAATAACATCCTTTTTTTACTCCCAAAGGGGATGTTTACAACAAGTGTCTTACTCTCTCCTCAACTACAGCAAATATATGTTCAGGAGTATCAGGTTGCAAGGTATACACCAATTCCAAGAGCACTGCTGCAAGCAAAATATGCCATACTTTCTGATGTTAGAAAATTCTCCAAGTTGACTTCATTTCTCGGTTGCTGGCAGCCAATCATAAGCATCCTAGAAATGCTGCACGTCTAGTGGAAAAGTTGGAATGTAAGGCCCTCCAAGGTAATATGATGGAAAGAAGAAGGGCTTTAGAGGCAGACATGACTGGATCCAAATTCAGTCTGTGCCATTTGTTTTTAGCTGTGCAATTTGGTCAAGTCACTTAACCTCTCTAAGCCTCAGTTTCCTCAACTACACAAAGAATAATCTTTGCTGCATTAAATTCTTGAAAAGACTTAATGTGTTAAGGCAGAAATTCACCTAGTTTAGGACTGGACACACAGTGTGCATTCAATGTATGGTAGCCATTATTATTGATTATTTTTCAGTATAACTCCAGCATTGAACCTTAGGTGTAATGAAGCTATACAATGTCGTGACTAAAAGCCAGGCTACCTGGGTTTGAATTCCAGATCTTCTACTTCTGAACTGAGTAAACTTGGACAACTTTTTAAAGCTCTCTGTGCTTCATTTTCCTTCTCTAAAATAGAAAAAGTAACACAACCTATCTCAAAGGGTTGTTATCAGAGTTAAATAAGTTAGTATATGTAAAATGTTTAGAATAGTACTTAGAACATATTAAGCAGTAATGTGTCAGGTATTATATAATTACTGTATTATAACTGTCTCTTTAACTGTGAACTGTGAGATAAGGACTCTTTTGTTTCTGTATCTCCAGGGTGGTCAAGTGACTAGAGCAGATTAATAAATGTTAATTGAATAAATGAAGCATCTCACATGCCATGCTAGTCAAGACTTTCCCTAATTTAAACTAACCAATTTAAACTAACTACAAAGTCTAGGCATGGTGGTTCATGCCTGTAACCTTAGCCCTTGAGAGGCTGAGGTGAGGGGATCAGCTGAGCTCAGGAATTCAAGACCAGCCTGGGCAACATAGTGAGACCCCATCTCTCAAAAAAAAAAAAAAAAAAAAAGCTGGATGCGGTAGCACATTCCTGTAGTCCCAGTTAATTGGGAGGCTGAGACGGGAGGATTGCTGGAGCTCAGGAGTTCAAGGCTGCAGTGAGTCATGATCATGTCACCGCAGTCTAGAGTTGGTGACAGAGTGAGACCCTGTCTCAAAAAATAAAATAAAAATAAATAAACTAACTAAAGAAAAAATAAGGCAATTTATTGCTGCTCATATTTAAATAACCCAGGGATGAATCTTCCTTCAGGCATAATTAGAACCCAGGGCTCAAATAATTTAAGGAATTGTCTCTAGCATTTCTGTTTTGTTGGCTCTCTCCACACATAGGGCATTATAGCCACCAGCAACCCAAGCCTCAGAGCCAGCCACTTTAGCACTCAGTGGAAAAAGAGACTCTTCCAAAATATCTGGCCAGGAGAGAATTTTAATGTGCCCAGTTTGAGTCATGCACCCATCCTACTATTAACTTCTGTGGTCAAAGAAATGATGTAATCTGATTAGCTAGGTCTGCCCCACTGTGTAAAAAGGAAGGGGCAGCCCTATGCAAACACACAGATTTCCCCAAAGGAAATAACATTCTATTATAGGGATGAAGGGAAAGGGATGCTGAGCAGGCAAAAATGCCAGATGGCTTGACATATGCCAAAGAATGGTTGTCAAGCCCATTGGTCCTAGGTCAGCAGTCCCCAACCTTTTTGGCACCAGGGACCGGTTTCATGGAAGACGATGTTTCCACAGACCAGTGTGTGTATGTGGGGAGGGATGGTTTCAGGATGAAACCTGAAATATAATGTACAAGTGCATTATATTTATTGTGTGCTTTATTTCTATTATTATTACATTGTAATATGTAATGAAATAATTATACAACTCACCATAATGCATAATCAGTGGGAGCCCTGAGCTTGTTTTCTTGCAACTAGACAGTCCTATCTGAGGGTGATGAGAGACAGTGACAGATCATCAGGCATCAGATTCTCATAAGGAGCACACAACCTAGATCCCTTCCTTGCCCACTTCACAATAGGGTTCACGCTCCTAAAAGAACCTAATGCCATCTGAGAGGAGGCAGAGTTCAGGCAGTAATGAGAGCAATGGGGAGGGGCTATAAATACAGATGAAGCTTCGCTCGCCTGCCACTCACCTCCTGCTGTGTGGCCTCTCTAGATTATTCCAGACAATAAAACTCTGCCCACTTTTAACAGGGCTTTTAAGAAAAACACCTTAATCTTTCTAAGTAATTATTCCAGATTTCAATAATCTCCACATAAAGTTATTCTTAAATTCAATCTAGTCTAAATTCCTTGGTATTCAAGGTATTTTTCTTCTTGTTTGTTCTGCTGTGAAATGAAAAAAATGGCTTAGCAAGTTATTTAATCTATAAATTAATTTGAATACTTTTTATGAAGGAAGGACAAATAGATATTATGAATATGGGGTCACCTGGAGAAGCATGGTGAGAAGTCAAATCTAATGGGAAAGAAAGCTGTGATCAATTAACGAAGTCTACTTGCCCCAGGTTCTAGAGAGGAGAGTGGTCACACAGTTGGCTGTGTTTGCCATCTCTGGTTTTTGTAATTCTTCATCTTAAAAACAAAAGTTGTATCTACTTACAGGGCTAAAAATTATTCCCCAGTGAATCAGCAAAGAGAGTGTAATTAGTATGTTTTTTATGCAAAAGAAGATTGCAAACCACTCGGCACTCTGCTTGGATTTGCTGAGGTGCCACCTCAGGTGTTAACAAAAATGAGATGTGTGAGAGAGAAAATCATTACACCCACCAGCAGCCCTTCCTTCCACCCTGGATCTCATCATCTGAAGTGTCATCACTGACACCAGATGTGCTTTTGTGGCATCGTGGCAGCTGACAGCTAAAGATGAGCAAGTTAGTCTGATTTGCAGTAACTTTTCCCATTTATTTTGTTCCATTGATATACATGGACCAGGCTGAATTGTCATCCAGAAGATTCTATTTTGCCTGTCTCCACACTAACTTTTTTAATACAAACAGTTTAAAATAAACAAAATTAGAATCGTATTGTTTAAATGCCCATCACTTAGATTCAACAATTATTAGAATTGTGCCATATTTGCTTCATGTATCCCTCTCCTTTTTCTATTTGAGTATTTCAAAGCAAGTCTCAGACCTCATGTTATCTCTCCCTTGATACTGCATACACAAATATTTTCTACATAACCACACTGCTACCAACACACCTAACAAAAGTAACACCTCTTTGGTATCATCGAATTCTTAGATAATTTTTATACTTTCCTGATGTTTAAATACATGTATTTTTTATGGTTAGTTCATTAGAATCAGAATCTGAACAAGGTCGTTACATTGCATTTGAAGGTTATGTCTTTTGAGTCTTAAAATCTACAACAGTATCTCCCAGCTCTACCCCACCCTTTTTTTCATGCTATTGATTTGTTGATTAAACTAGTTCAATAGTTCTATAAAATATCCCACATTCTGGATTTATCCATTTATTTATAAGTAGTGTCACTTAAACTTGAGTCTGTATCCCCTGTATTTCATGTAAACTAGAAAATTAGTCCCAAAGGCCTTATTAGATTTGGGTTCCTTTTCTTTTTTCTCCCCATAAAGGGGGCATCTCAAGAGGTACATACTGTCTGGCTGTCCCACTCTGAGTGTAGTTAACACTGATCAGTGGTTCCAGGGGTGTCAGCCGGATCTCTCTATTGTAAAGTTCTCCAGAAGCTTTTAATCTAATTCTTTCATCCCTTATTGATCTTTGCAAAATGCTGGTTTTTTTTTCCTAATTCTATCATTCCTACCACATTTTTTAGCTGGGATTCGTCTGTAAAGAACTTTTCCTTATCAGTTAGGTCTAGTTGGTCACCTGGAAATGTAGATTGCATTGGGAAGGCAGGATAATACTGTTGCAGAATTTTGCTCCTTAGTTCAGCTAATACCAGGTTCTAGACACAAGCCAGGAAAATTTAGACACATGGACACACTGAAGGGTAAATAGAGCAGGATTTCATTGGGCAAAAAGGGAGAAAAAGAAAAAAGACTCAACAAAGCAAGATGGAGTCCTGCTAACAGGCCTCTCACCTCAGGGACTGAATCCCAGGCCACCACACAGGAATTGGAAGCCAGGCTCCTCCCCTGGCCTGTGGCCCCCCCCTCCGCCCGTGGCTCCACCCCATTCCCCCAGTGCACATGTGGGCATGGTCAGGCAAAGCCCTGCGCAGGTTCCCTCATCTGAACAAAAGCATCTGATATAAAGACTTGTGGGGCTGGTCAGAGGTTCTCCAGGAACCCCTTTTTATCTGCCTATGCATTTGGCTGTCTCATTCCCCCCTCTAAAGAAGTCCATCTTACTGCATTAGAATAAGGATAAGGACAAGGATAAGGATAAGGATGAAGACCACTCTTAACTGCTTCCTGTGACGGGGCACTCTCTCAGATCTCCCTCAGAGGCCTATCTAAAGGTCCCTGGCAAAAAGGGCCATCATCCAAGGCTCCAGTTGCATGACCATTTAGAGTGTGATGGCCTGAAGGGGAGAAGAGACAAACCGGGTTATTAGAAAACACGTATCAAAACGAAACAAGGTGGGGGTAAGGAAAGCTCAAAAATCCTGAGGCCTTTTACCTGTTTGCACAGGGAAAGGGAGACCAAAAGCCTGACTGGTAAAACAAACTTTTACCCTCTTGCCAGCATGTCAGGCTTCTGGGTTCCCTACCCCAAGCCCAATCCTAAGCCAACCAGTTTAAGGTTTGGGAATGCAGTTTGGAGGATGCATCCGAGAGGAGTGTCCCGTACTATGGAGACACAATTACCTGTAAGTGAAGAGAGGACAGAGGAGGAAAAAGGAAAAAGAAGGCAGTTTTTCGAAGAAGTCCCAGGGCTTCAGGATACATTTGAAAGGGGTACAGAAAGATGAATGGCTACTCATCTAGAAAGAGGGCACCAGGCATCCCTGGTTTCTTTCTCTTCCTAGCAAATACGCGGGGTATGTAAGGGAGAGAAAGTGAGGTGTCGCTCTTTCTCTCTTCCATCCTTATATACCCGAGTCCTGGCAACTGTGACAGGGTGCCACCCATGGGTGTTGAAGTGGCTTTCACCCATGTTAACAGGAAGGCCAAGGGAGTGGGAGTATCCACTTTTATCCATATATGCCCTATCTTCCCTGCTGTCAGTAGCCTTTGAATTCCCTAGACCTCATTTATGCCATGGATACTAGCATGACCTTTATGGGACCTTTATGGGAAGCTTGGCTTAATTGGCAGGAAGTAGTCATGCTCACTTGTGCTGTGCCTTTTAATTTCTGTTATTGTCTGCCTCTGGATCCCTCAGATCCAGTTTTCTTTCCTAGGGCTTTGACCCAAAGCTTGGAATTGAGTTTGGGTCAAAAATGTGAGGCCGGGTGCAGTGGCTCACACCTGTAATCCCAGCACTTTGGGAAGCCAAGGCAGGCAGATCCCCTGAGGTTGGGAGTTCGAGACCAGCCTGACCAACATGGAGAAACCCCATCTCTGCTAAAACTACAAAATTAGCCGGGCATGGTGGCGCATGCCTGTAATACCAGCTACTCGGGAGGCTGAGGCAGGAGAATTGCTTGAACCCGGGAGGTGGAGGTTGCTGTGAGCCAAGATCGTGCCATTGCACTCCAGCCTGGGCAACAAAACCGAAACTCCACCTCAAAAAAAAAAAAATGTGTCAGGAGGCGGGTGGTGCATGTACTCCTTATCATAAACCGAATGTTAAGGTGCAGCTGTGGAATTGAGTCCTCCTCCAACAAGGGAAAGAAAAGGATGTCTTGTGACACACCCAGATAGCTAGTGGTGATAGTTATGCTTGCCAAGATTTGGGTGCATGGGGCTTGGCTTGGTTAGCTCCCTTGATCTTACTTTCCCAAAAAGGAAACCTCCAGGGCATCCTATTTATTCCCATCACCTGGCAGGATTTGCAGGATAATTGCTCAGAACTAGAATATTGATCCGGATTTCTACATTACCCATCCCTTTTGTTCTTTCTGAGCTGCAGCCAGAGATTGCTGGATGGTTCACAGGAATAAGCAGGGTTAGCCGAAAATGTAGGCAAAAACTTAAAAACACCTAATGAGTCTAGAATCTAATGACGATGAGATTTGAAACATAATTTCACTCTCTAGTCCTCATTTTCATTAAAAACAAATTATGATAGGATTGCATTGTTTGCAAAATAGACTTTAGTCTTATACTTGGTCAGATTATTTGCATAAAGTGCAGCAAGAATAATTATTTCTACATAGACCTTTTAGATTGGCTTTAATGGAACTCTGTTCCACAAGGAATCTCAGATAAGACCTTTTAAAGCCAGGCCAGCGATGGGTTTGTATCCTCAAATACCTGCAAGTTGAATAAACTTCTCTTTTCTTGAGGTCCCAAGAACATGTGGTTCCTGGGCCTGCTGGAAAGTAACATTCTTTACTCACCACAGGTTAGGAATCCTGCATGGGGACTGTGTAGACAAGGGTGTGAGATCAGGTTTCCCAAGGAGCTTTTCTTAGTTCTGCAAGTTGAGCTTGACTCCTTAAAGGGAAGCACATACCCTTCCAGTCAAAGCCTTAGTAAGACAACCAGTTTCTCCAATTGCATCCTGTTGTGAACATCACTAATCATTGGAGAAATGCAGATCAAAACCACAATGAGATACCATCTCACACCAGTCAGAATGGCTATTACCAAAAAGTCAAAAAATAAAAGATGTTGAGGCTGCAGAGAAAAGGAAATGCTTATACACTGTGTTAGTGGGAATGTAAATTTATTCAGCCACTGTGGAAAACAATTTGGAGATTTCTCAAAGAACTAAAAATAGAACTCTCATTTGACCCAGAAATCCTATCACTGGACATATATCCAAAGGAAAATTAATTATTCTACCAAAAAAACACATGCACTCATATGTTCATCATAGCACTGTCCACAATAGCAAAGACATGAAATCAACCTAGGTGCCCATCAATGGTGGATTAGATAAAGAAAATGCCATACATATACACTATGGAATATGACACAGCCATAAAAAATTACAAAATCATGTTCTCTGCAGCAGCACACATGGAGCTGGAGGCCATTATCCTAAGCCAATTAATGCAGAATGGAAAGTCAAACACCACATGTTCTCACTTACAAGTGGGAGCGAAACACTGGGTACACATGGACATAAAGATGGGAACAATAGACACTTCAGGCTACTAGACAGCTGAGAGAGGGAAAGGGGCAAGGGTGGAAAAACTACTTGTTGGGTACTATGCTCACTACCTGGGTGATGGGGTCAGTTATACCCCAAACCTCAGCATCACGCAATATATCCATGGAATAAACGTGCACATGTACCCCTGAATCTAAAATAATAGTTGAAAAATTTTTTAAAAGGTTCTTATCCTTAAGAGATACATACTAAAATATATAATATCTCAGATTTATGTCAAAATAATGCAGTGGTCAAGGAGAGGGAAGGATATAAATAAAACAATTTTTGGCTAAGAGTTGTTAATTATTGAAGCTGGATGATGGGCACATGAGGGTTTATCATTCTATGCTTTCTACTTTTTTTTTTTTTTTTTGAGACAAAGCCTCACTCTGTTGCCTAGGCTGGAGTGCAGTGACGCGATCTCAGCTCACCACAACCTCCACCTCCCAGATTCAAGCGATTTTCCTGCCTCAGCCTCCCGAGTAGCTGGGACTACAGGCACACGCCACCATGTCTGGCTAATTTTTGTATTTTTAGTAGAGACGGGGTTTCACTATGTTGGCCAGGCTGGTCTCAAACTCCTGACCTCGTGATCCTCCCGCCTTGACCTCCCAAAGTGCTGGGATTACAGGCATAAGCCACCACACCCGGCCTCTTCATAC
Organism: Homo sapiens; assembly: GCF_000001405.40. Lineage (NCBI taxonomy): Eukaryota > Metazoa > Chordata > Mammalia > Primates > Hominidae > Homo > Homo sapiens. Next base: position 77,523,727 of record NC_000011.10, read on the forward strand.
TTTTAAAATATGCATTAATATATATGCATTTTTCCATAATAAAAAGTTTTTCAAAATGAGAATTTAAAAAATATAATGACAGTGAAGTGGCAATGGAAGTGTTAAATTTTTCAATCTGGTGAAGCTCCAGTTTCTCAGTGTCACGTTTGGACCAGATCACGGCCTTGTGTAATCTGGCTGCACCTTGCCAGTGTCTGTGGACATCAACAACAGCAAATCTTTACTGAGATCCTTCTGTGTGTCAAGTCCAATCAGAGAGAAAGGTTCTTTTACAGCAATAGAGAGACACAGAGAGATGTGCAATGTACTGGTAATAAAAATAGGAGAATGAAATCATTGTTCCCACAGAAAGGCCCCAATGAGTCTTCCAAAATAAACGCATATTATTTATGTAATTTTTCAAATACACCTTTATCAAGAAAAGAATAAAACATCGTTGGATCATGGCATATTGCTGTTTAAAATGATCCATTAATGTTCTAATTGTCATCAGGACAAAGGCCCATAACCATGCCTGCCTCATGTCTGGACTTTTCCTCCTTCCCCAGCTCCATCTCCTGCCCATCCCAACATACTTTAAATTTCAGCCACAGGAAGGGACTTACAGTTCCCAGAACATGCCCCCTGGAGTGTGCACTCCACTGGGGTAGTTTCATCCATTCAACTGCATTCATCCATCTCCTAGCATGCCTCATGCCACGTGCATGCCATGCTCGCTCTCTTCCCTACCTGGACCGCCTTTCTCCCTCACCAGTTTCATTCTTCAAGTTTCATCTTACATGCCATCTTCTTTGAGAAACTTTCTTTGAGCAAGCTGAGCAAGCCTGCCCTCTTCTGTGTTCTCTGTGTAGGGGAGGGTTGGAGGAGAGAAGGGCACACATCTTATTTCTCCCACTAAATTCTGAGATTAGAGCTAAAATCCTGTTTATTCACAGTATGTGGCTTAAGGCCTGAGTCATACTGGAAGATCAATGGGTGCTTGTTGAAAGAATGAATGAATGAATGAATGAATGAAGCTTCCTCACTAGAATGTAAACCCACAAGGGCAAGAATTTTCATTGTTTTGTTTTGCTTTATCTTTAGCACATGGGACAGTACCTGACACACAAATGTTTGTCAAAATAATTAAAATTACCTGTCAAAGAAAAAGCAACAGGTCTACAAGAAGGCTTATATCCAAACTAACCATTTGCTGGTTGTATCTGTGGATTAGTAGAAGACTTTGATCCTGGACTTACAAACAAATTAAAGACAAAAAGTGTTTTGAAGGTTGAATACAATGAGATGTTTTTCAAACTTTACTGAGTTAGTAACTCGGATTTAAAAGTGTAAAATAGGCCAGGCAATGTAGCTCACTCCTCTAATCCCAACATGTTGGGAGGTCGAGGTGGGCAGGTTACTTTAGCCCAGGAGTTTGAGACCAGCCCGGGCAACATGGCAAAATCCCACCCCTATCAAAAAAAAAAAAAAAAAATTGCTGGGTGTGGTGGTGTGCACCTGTAGTCCCAGGTACTAGGAGGCTGAGGCTGGAGGATCACTTGAGCCCTGGAGGCGGATCACGCCACTGTACTCCAGCCTGGGTGACAGAGCCAGACCGTGTCTCAAAAAAAAAAAGGAAAAAAAGTGTGAAATTAAAACTTATCTCTAAGTCCAAGAGTGATCAGGACATTTATTAACTTAATTATTTTAGAACTTGAATGGCTCTTACATGGAGCAGGCCATTTTCTATGTGCCCATATTATGGACCGAAAGAACTACATGCAGCCAGGGAGCAACTCATGATTTCCCACATCAGGAAGAGCCAGGATGCAAGGAAAGCCTTACATCATGAATGACATCACCTTACTGACCTAATTTCTACAAGACAATGGAATAATTTCTTCTTGCCCAAACCTTTCAGCAGCTTGGACCAGCATAGTGAGATGATGGGAGGGCTCCATAGACAAAGGACAATTGTTGGCCTTCCCTCGACAGAAGGGTGGTTTACAAAGTGATCTTTCTCAGGCGTCTGCCTGGGACCAATTGTACACCACATGACAGGTGCTCTTACATAAGTAAGGCAGAATTGGATTCAGTTTGGGTTTCTTTTCTTTTTGAAACCATCTTTCTCTGGAATTGTCCTTTCTAAAAGTCACTAGAACAACAGGAGGGAAAAGTGAGATCTTGAACTCCCCAGGGAATCAAAGTGGCACTTCCTTCCCCTTTCTTTCTTTGTCTACCTTTGCACTGTTGCCATCCGCTGGGACCTCTTTGGAGAGGAGGTTTTATTCCCCTGCTTTCTTTCAGAATCCTGCTTCACATAATCTTCACTAGCTCTTCACAAAGAAAACTAGGACTCTCATTTATTTTATCCAATCCACCACTACATCCAGCCTTGAAAACAGCAGGCAGCCTATTATTCTCTAACAGGGACAAATAGCAGGATGGAGCTTGACTATTTTCCATGAGGCTGATTTTTGCTAATCTAACGCATTTATTCTTTGACACCTTTTCATGGCCAATTGAGAAGTGGTACCCAGAAAGACAGTAATGCAACTTAGAAATGTATGGAAAATTGATAATGTTGAGATCTTAATTGAGGTGAAAATAACCAAATAACGTGTGGAGGGACATTAGGACCATTTTGTAGTATTGACAAAAGATACATGACACATAGCCTTCCATCCAACAACTCTGCTCTAGGATTCTAGCTCACAGAAATACACCAGGGAGCAAAGGCATAAGAGTAACATTGTTTATTGAATTATAACTGTAGAATCATATGAAATGACATAAAAAGATATGTATTGTAATGTGGAAAAAGTAAAATGCAGAACAATATTATATGTGTGGTTTCATTTTTGTTAAAAAACACCACATGTGGTTGCATATACCTGTGTATATTTATAGACATAAAGAAAAAGGCTGGAGGCCAGGTGTGGTGGCTCACGCCTGTAATCCCAGCACTTTGGGAGGCTGAGGTGGGCGGATCACGAGGTCAGGAGTTCAAGACCAGCCTGACCAACATGGTGAAACCCGGTCTCTACTAAGAATACAAAAATTAACTGGGTGTAGTGGCATGCACCTGTAATCCCAGCTACTCAGGAGGCTGAGGCAGGAGAATTGCTTGAACCCAGGAGGTGGAAGTTGCAGTGAGCCAAGATCACACCACTGCAGTCCAGCCTAGGCGACAGAGTGAGACTCCATCGCAAAAAAAAAAAAAAGGGCTGGAAAGATACATGCTAAAGCCTCCTTTTTCTGGAGAGTGAGACTGGGGAGTGTGGTGAGGGGAAATTTCACTCTGTTTCATACACTCTGGATTATTTAAATCTATTGTAAAAACCAATAAAGGAAATTAAGAATAAGTGGATTGGTATAAGGTAGTTAATTTATTTTTTATTTTCTTTATTCTTTCGAGACGGGTTCTCACTCTGTTGCCCAGGCTGGCATCCAGTGGCATGATCTCGGCTCACTGCAACCTCCGCCTCCCAGGCTCAAGGAATCCTCCCATCTCAGCCTCCTGAGTAGCTGGGATGACAGGTGTGCACCATCACACTGGGCTAATTTTTGTATTTTTTGTAGTGATGGGGATTCACCATTTTGCCCAGGCTGGTCTCTAACTCCTAAGCTCAAGTAATCTGCCCACCTCAGCCTCTCAAAGTGTTGGGATTACAGGCCTGTGCCACCGTACTGGGCCTGGGTCATTAATTTATAGAGCATTTATTTTGTGCCAGGCACATGATAGATACTTTATATAGATCACCTCACATGTCCCTCCAATCTTCTGATGTAGGTAATGTTATCCCTATTTATGAGTGAGAAAACAGATTCAGAGAAGTAACTTGTCCAAGGTAATAGAGGTAGTAAGTAGCAGACCTAGGGTTCAAACTCACACCTTTCTGATTCCAAAGCCAAGATCTTTCCATTGGTCTGACAATGCTCTCATATGATATAGTCCTGGCTCAGCAGATGGGCTTATTAACATTACTACATTGCCACTGAATGTTAGGTTTATTTTTAGAAACTTACGGAAAATTTTATACACAAAAAGGAAAAGTGTAATGAATCCATGTGTTCATTATCACCCAGAGTCAATAATTATTAATACTCTGCATCATTGTTTTATCTATCCCCACAAATACTTTTTTTTTTCTTTTTGAGACAGGGTCTCGCTCTGTCACCCAGGCTGGAGTGCATGCAGTAGCTCAATCACAGCTCACTGGAGCCTCAACCTCTCAGGCTCAAGTGATCCTCCCACCTCAGCCTCCCAAGTAGCTGGGACTACAGGCGAGTGCCACCATGCCCAGCTAATTTTTTCTATTTTTTGTAGAGACGGAATCTCACTATTCTGCTTAGGCTGGTCTCGAACTCCTGGGCTCAAGCAATCCTACAGTCATGGGCCACCCCACCCAGCCTATCCCCACAAACACATTTTTGGGAGAGCATTTTAAAGTAAATTCAAGGTTTATCATTTCATCATCAATATTTCAATCTCTAAAAATAAGAACTTAAGAAAACATAGCCACAATACCATTATCACACATAATAAATTTAACAGTAATTCCTTAATATTATCTAATATCCAATCCACGTAATTTTCCTACATTATCTCCAAAAAATAACTTTTTTTTTTGTTTGTATGTGTTACATATGTCTCTTTTTTTTTTTTTAAGAGATGGGGTCTTCCTCTGTTGCCCAGGCTGGAATGCAGTGGCACAATCATAGCTCACTGCAGCCTCAAACTTCTGGGCTCAAGTGATTCTCCCACCTCGGCGTCCTCAGGCACATGCCATCACGCCTGGCTAATTTTTAAACTTTTGGTAGAGATGAAGCCTTGCTATGTTGAGCAGACTGGTCTCAAATTTCTGGCCTCAAGCAATCCTCCCACCTAGGCCTCCCAAAGTGCTAGGATTACAGGCATCAGCCACCACACCCAACCTGTCTTAAGTCTTCAAGTCTTCTTGAATCTGTACTTTTCCAGCTCCCTTTTTCTTCATACCATTTATTTCTTGAAGAAATTGAGTCATGTGTCTTGGAGAATTTCCCATCTTTTTTATTTGATGTTTTATATCCTTATGGTGTCAATTTGCATGCTTCTCGGTTTTTCATATTTCTCACAAACCAGTGGTTAGAAAATTGTTAAATTCAGGTTCAATTATTTTGGCAAGAATATTTCTTAATTGGTGTTGTATACTTCCTACTACATCATATCAGGAGGCAATTAATGTCTGGCTGTCCCACTGTTAATAATGCAAAGGTGGTACAGTAGGTTCAAAGGTTGTCAGCCTCATCTATCTATTGCAAAGTTTCTTATCAACCATTCACCTAATAATTTTAGCAACCACTGATGATTTTTGCCTAGATCTGTTATTTTGTTAGGGATTAAGTTCATTTTTAATCCCGCAAGACAGGTATTTTTAAACACCATCCTGAGATGGGATGTAGGTCTCAAAAATATACATTTTATGACCTATTGTGTATTTACACAAGAATCATTGAGCTTTTAGCCTTATTTTCCTAAGACTATCAGCATTCTGCCACCTCATAAGGCCCATTTAGAATCATTTTGCTACTTAGAGTCACATTTTTATTAATCTATTTGGAATTTTTATCTATGCTGCAATCTCTAAATAATTCATAAAAAGGAAGAAGGCAGGAGGGGACAGAGGAAAGATATTATATCACCAGTCTTGATATATGCCTCAGTAAGCCACTTCAACATCTTTGAGTCCTTTTAAACTTCATGCCCAGGGCAACCTTTTACATTAGAAAAAGATGTTATTTTAGTCTCAGTGATTCTATGTCTATTCTTATTTTTTCCACATTCCTTGTAGCTTTTGTCCTGAGCCAAGTTCTGAAGGTAAACAAAGGGGAAGGCCTGGGTTCTGTTCTCCAGGGGTTCACAATCACCTACATGTAACAGAGAAATGCCCAGAAGGCTCTTGGAATGCAGGAAAGAGACACTCCCAGACTACAGAATCAGGGACAGCATCTCAAAGGAGAAGATGTTTAGCAGAGTTTTGAAGGATGAGCAGAAAGTAAGGGGAGGGCATTCCAAGAAAAGAAAAAACCCATACAAAGGCAAGAAGACGGAAAAGAATAGGCCTTTTCAGAGCACTGCACATGGTTTTGAATGACTGGGAGAGCAAGGTTTATAGGGAGAGGTAGCTGTGCTGGAGCAGTGACAGGGATAGGCCATGAGGAGCCAGGCCAAAGAGTTAGGATGGCTCTGAAGGACTTACAGCAGAAGAGTGGCAGAGTCTGATTGATCTTGTCTTGTTCCCCAGTACATTTTTTTCCTCCTTTTTCCTATTGGGGTGAAATTCACATAACATAAAATTAACTTTTTTAAGGTGAAAATTCAGTGGCATTGAGTACATTCATAATGTTGTGCAACCACCACCTCTATCCAGTTCTAAAACATTTGCATCATGCTAAAAGGAAAGTCTATACCCATTAAGCAATTACTCCCCTTTCCCCTCTCCCCTCAGCTCCTGATAACAACCAGACAGCTTTCTATACCTGTGGATTGATCTATCCACTCAGTATATTTTCTTTTTAAAATTTATTCAAGTAAAATGGATTTATTATAGAAGAATCAAGATAGAGATGAACAGAAAGAAAAATAAATATTGCTATCATCTTAGCATCATGGGTAAATTTTTTATGCTGTGTATTCTTCTAAACAATTTTCCAAGGCTTCTCCCTCTCCTCACCTCAGCATGTCACCCAACCCCCATATATTTCACAAGGTCCTCCAACCTTCTGGAGTCTCCCCAACCTTTGAGATATAAAAGAATCCTGCTCAAACCCCTATCCTATGAATGTCATGAAACCCAAGTCCCTACCGATATCTCTGAAGGGTCTCATATTGAGCCAGAGGTATGTTTCTTTTGATCACCTCTACCTCTGATTTTCTGCCTTGATCTCCACCCCTCATACTTCCTGCGCACCTTGCCCTTTCTTCTACAACACATCACCCTGTTGGACACTTGCTCAACCTCTTCTCTCCCCAAAAGATGGCCTAAATACGGTTGTGTGTTTAGCAAACTTTGAGGAAAGATTTGGGGGCTAGAGGGGCTAGCTTATATTGAAGCTCAGAGAACATCTTGAAACCAAGTATTCACAGTTCTTTTAAGAGTCCACCAGTCATTCCTGGCATTGGACAATTCTCACTGGCCATGCCTCCACCAGCTGCCCACCCTCTCCCCCTCTTCCCTTCCTCCCCTTTTCATTTTCCAGATTTAATCTGGCTGTAAACTCCAAAGCACTTATTGCCAATTCCCATTTCCTTTTGTGCAAGGCAATTTGTTGCTCCTTTTGTTTGCTCCAGCTGACAGAGATTCTAAATTATTTTGCTAACTCAAAACAGTCTCTCCCCATCAGAACGCTAGTGCCAGCTTGTCAAACTGACACTTTTCCCCCTACTGGCTGTATTTCCAGATTGCCTTGTTATTTTAAATGTCCTTCCTTAATTTGCCCAGGAGGTTTTCAGGATTTGTTGTTGTTGTTGTTGTTTTTAACTTCTATTTTAAGCTCAGAAGTACATGTGCAGGTTTGCTATACAGGTGAATTGCATGTCACAGGGCTTGGGTTTACAGATTATTTTGTCACCCAGGTAAGAAGCACAGTATCCCATAGGTAGTTTTTCGATCCTCTCCATCCTCCCTCCCTCCACCTCCCAGTGTCTGTTGTTCCCTTCTTTGTGTCCATACGGACTCAATGTTTAGCTCCCGCTTGTAAGTAAGAACACGTGGTATTTGATTTTCTGTTCCTGCTTTAATTTGCTTAGGATAATGGCTTCCAGCTCCATCCATGTTGGGTTTTCAGGTTCTTACTGGAAAACCCCCAATAAAAAACTAAGTAAATAGGCTAGGCGCAGTGGCTCTCGCCTGTAATCCCAGCACTTTGGGAGGCTGAGGTGGGTGGATCACTTGAGGTCAGGAGTTTGAGACCAGCCTGGCCAACATGGTGAAACCCCATCTCTACTAAAAATACAAAACTTAGCCAAGCATGGTGGCACATGCCTGTAATTCCAACTATTCAGGAGGCTGAGACAGGAGAATTGCATGAACCCAGGAGGTGGAGGCTGCAGTGAGCCGAGATTGTGCCACTGCACTCCAGCCTGGGTGACAAAGCAAGACTCCATCTCAAAAAAACAAAAAAACCCAAGTAAATAAATATATCCTTCTTTAAATTTTTTTTGTTGTTGTTCCTATCCATTCTTCTACTTCTTTTGAAATGGCTACATATATCCCCTGTTTTTGGTCACTGAGGTTTCCACTTCTTTATTATTATAGGCAGCACATCATGATATATATTAAGAAGATTAGTGGAATATGTATATGTGTGTGTGTATATATATATATATATATATATATATCTCCTTAATTATTTCTTAGCTATACATTCCTAGTAGAACACCCCCTATAAGGACTGTATACATTTATAGACCTAACCATGTTTGACAGTGCCTGAATCTCCAAACTCTTCTTTACAGTGCATTTATTAATCCTTGTTTTTTTCTTTGTGGTTTTAATTTGCATTTCTTTGACTAAACATGAAGGTGATAAATGCTTGACGTGACAGATATCCCAATTACACTGATTTGATCATTATGCCTTGTATGTTTGTATCAAAATATGACATTACCTCATAAGCATGTACAATTATATACCCACAAAAATTTTAAACAATAATAAATAAAAGAAGTTGAACATTTTTCATGTTTACTGGCCATCTTGGGTTTTTCTTATATAAAATGCCTTTTCTAGTCAATCTTTTTTTTGTTTTTGTTTTTGTTTTGAGACAGAGTCTCGCTCTGTAGCCCAGATTGGAGTGCAGTGGCGCCATCTCGGCTCACTGCAACCTCTTGCCTCCCAGGTTCAAGCGATTCTCCTGCCTCAGCCTCCCGGATAGCTGGGACTACAGGCGCCCGCCGCCACACCCAGCTAATTTTTTGTATTTTTAGTAGAGACGGGGTTTCACTGTATTAGCCAGGATGGTCTCAATCTCCTGATCTCGTGATCGGCCCACCTCGGCCTCCCAAAGTGCTGGGATTACAGGCATGAGCCACTGTGCCCAGCCCCTTTTTTTCTTTTTAATTTAATTTTGTTTTTAGGCTAGTCAAGTGAAGCAGTGTGAGTGGAGAAGTATTTTCATTTATTGATTTGAAGAAAATCTTTGAATGTTAAAGAGAAGAATCTTTGGTCTGGATGTGGTGGCTCAAGCCTGTAATCTCAACACTTTGGGAGGCTGAAGTGGAGGATCACTTGAGCCCAGGAGTTAAGATGAGCTTGGGCAACACAGTGAGACTCCATCTCTAAAAAAAATGAAAAAGTTAGCTGGGCATGGTGGCGCATGCCTGTAGTCCAAACTACTTGGGAGGATGAGGCAGGAGAATCACTTGAGCCCCAGAGTTTAGGTAATTCACTGCACTCCAGCCTCAGCAACAGAGTGAAACTCTGTCAAAGAAGAAAAGAAAAACAAAAAGAAAGAATCTTTGGTTAAGGATACTTTCCTCCAGTGTAATTTGTCTTTCAACTTAGTTTATGATAAATTTTGCTACATAAAAGTTTTACATTTTCATATAATCAGATCTATCATCCTTTATACTTTAAGCCTTTAGTTTCATGTTTACAAAGTCATCCCTTACCCCCAAAGTTTTATAAATATTCACCTGTATTTTCTTGTACTTACATTAAAATTTTTAATCCTTCTGGATTTATCTTAGTGTACTATGTGAGTTTGGATTTAACTTTGTTTTAATGATTAGACAGTTCATCTTAACACTCTCTCCACTGACATGAGGCAGCAGATTTATTATATACTAAACTCTTATACACATTTGGATATATTTCTGAACTGTCTCTTTTTTAGCTAAAACAGCAATGTTTTAGTTATTATATCTTGCTAGTTCACATTAATATCTGTTAGGAAAGAACTTTTCACTACTGTTCTTCCTAAAAGTGTGCTTGACATTCTTCATTTATTTTTCTAAATAAGCCTTAAAATAGTTTTTTTTTCACATTCTAAAAATAGTTCCCAGGTATTTTTATTGGGATTTTGTTAAATTTATAGGTTTAGCTTGAGGAAATTTAATACCTTTACAATTTTAAATTTTCTAATACAGAAATGTGGACTGCCTTTCCCTGTATTCAAATTTCTTTCTAGATTTCATGGTAAAGTTTTGTAGATATGTACATTTATCATTAAGTTTATTCCTAGGTGCTTTGATTTTTTTATTGCTGTCATATATGAGTTCTTTCTTCCATTATCTATCTTAACAGAGTATTGCTGATATATATAGGAAAGCTATTAGTTTTTTAATATTTCTGTTATAATTGCCAAACTTTCTAAGTGTCTTAAGTCTAATAGTTTCTCAAGCAACCATATCATCTTGGAAAAATGATAATTTTATCTCTTCCTATCAAATATTTATACCTCCCTCATTTCCTTTTCTCATTGTTACATTGATGAGCACTTCCAGAATAATGTTAAATAATGGTAATTATAGTTGAATTACTAACATCAGTGGAAATGCTTCTAATGTTTTATTGCTAAGTATAATATTGGTTATTGGTCTGAGATCAATATTCTTTAACATATAAAATGTTAACTATGATTTTTCTTAAATCAAAACTGTATGTTGAGAGGAGTGACATTAGCTATAGCTATGTGGCAGAGTACTATGTGTCTGCAACCTCCATCCCTTTCAATAGCGGAAGGAAAACTGGAAAATTCATAAATATGTGAAAATTAGACAACACACTCTTGAACTCTGTCAAAAAAGAAATCAAAAAGGAAATTTAAAAATACCTTGAGACAAAAATGAAAACACAACATGTCAAAACTTATGGGATGCAGCAAAAGCAGTATTAAACAGGAAGTTCATAGTGAAAAATGCCTACATTTAAAAAGAAGAAAGGCCGGGCACAGTGGCTCACACCTATAATCCCAGCACTTTGGAAGGTGGGCAGATCACTTGAACTTAGGAGATCGAGACCAGTCTGGGCAATCTGGCGAAACCCCATCTCTACAACAGATACAAAAATTAGCCAGATGTGCTGACACATGCTTGTAGTCCCAGCTACTTAGGAGTCTGATGTGGGAGGATGGCTTAAACCCCGGGGAGGCTGAGGCTGCAGTGAACCAAGATCAGGTCCCTGCATTACAGCCTGGCCGATAGAGCCAGAACCTGTCTCAAAAATAAAATAAAATAAAGAAAGATTTCAAACAACCTAACTTAACAAGCCAAGGAATTTTTTTTAAAAAGAATGTATTGCCGGGCGCAGTGGCTCACGCCTGTAATCCCAGCACTTTGGGAGGCTGAGGCGGGTGGATCACGAGGTCAGGAGATTGCGACCATCCTGACTAACACGGTGAAAACCTGTCTCTACTAAAAATACAAAAAATTAGCTGGGCGTGGTGGCGGGCGCCTGTAGTCCCAGCTACTCAGGAGGCTGAGGCAGGAGAATGGCGTGAACCCGGGAGGCGGAGCTTGCAGTGAGCCGAGATTGTCCACTGCACTCCAGCCTGTGCGACAGAGCGAGACTCCACCTAAAAAAAAAAAAAAAAAAAAGAATAAACTAAGCCCAAAGTTACCAGAAGGAAGAAAATAACAAAGATTACAGCAGAAATAAATAAAATAAAACAATAGAAACAAATTAATAAAATTGAGTTTTTTTTAAAAGATAAAACAAAATTGACAAAATCTTAGCTAGACTAGGAAAGAAAAGAGAGAAGACTGAAATAAAAACAATCAGAAATGAAAGAAAAACAGATGTCACAGAAATAAAAAGGATCATAAGAGACTATTATGAACTATTATATGCCAACAAAAAGCTGGACAATGTAGAAAAAAAGAATGAATTTCTAGACACATACAACCTACCAAGACTAAATGAAAGTCTAAACAGATTTATAACTAGTATGAAGATTGGGTCAGTAACTAAAAGTCTCCCAACAACAGCAACAAAAATACCTAAGGCCAGATGTCTTCACTTGGGGAATTCTACCAAACATTTAAAGAAGAATTAACATCAATCCTTCTCAAACTCTTCCAAAGAATTGAAGAAGGAACACTTTCAAACTCATTTTATGAATATAGCACTACCCCAATACCAAAGCTAGACAAAGACATCACAAGAAAAGGAAAGTACGGGCCAATATCCCTGATGAATACAGATGCAGATACTCAACAAAATACTAGCTAACCAAATCCAATAGCACACTGAAAATATCATACATCATGACCAAGTGAGATTCATCCCTAGGATGCAGGGATGGTTCAAAATATGCAAATCAATAAATTTAATATACCACATTAACAGAATAAAAGATAAAAATCACATAATCCTCTGAATAGGTGCAGAAAAAGCATTTAACAAAGTTTAACACCCTTTCATCATAAAAGCTCTCAACAAACTAAGGCCAGAATGAAATTACCTCAACATAATAAAGGCTATAAATGAAAAGTCCTCAGCTAATATCACACTAATGGTGAAAACAGAAGAACAAGGCAAGGATGCCTACTCTCACCACTTCTGTTCAACATAGTACTGCAAGTCCTAGGCAAAGCAATTAGGGAAGAAAAAGAAATAAAAGCCATCCAAATAAGAAAGAAAAAGTAAAATTTTCCCTGTCTGCAGATGACACAATCTCATACGTAGAAAACCCTAAAGACACTATCCAAAAAAAAAAACAAAAAACAAACAAAAAAAAAACCTGTTAGAACTAATAAATAAATTCAGTGAAGTTGCAGGGTACAAAATATAAAAATCAATTGCATTTTTGTATGCTCACAATGAAGTATCTGGAAAGGAAATTAGGAAAATAATTTAATTTACAATAGCATCAAAAAGAATGAGATACCAGCCAGGCACGGTCGCTCACGCCTGTAATCCCAGCACTTTGGGAGGCCGAGACGGGTGGATCACCTAAGGTCAGGAGTTCGAGACTAGCCTGGCTAACATGGTGAAACCCTGTCTCTACTAAAAATACAAAAATTAGCTGGGCCTGGTGGCAGGCGCCTGTAATCCCAGCTACTTGGGAGGCTGAGGCAAGAGAATCGCTTGAACCCAGGAGTCAGAGGTTGCAGTGAGCTGAAATTGCACCACTACACTGCAGTCTGGATGACAGAGCAAGACTCCATCTCAAAAAAAAAAAAAAAAAAAAAGAATGAGATACCTAGAACTAAACTTGACTAAAAGGGTGAAAAGTTGTATACTGAAAACTCAAAACATTGATGAAAGAAATTAAATAAGACATAAGTAAATGGAAAGACATCCATTGCTTAAAGATTGGAAAACTTGGTATTGTTAAAATACCTATACTACCCAAAGTGATCTACACATTCAGTGCAATCCCTATCAAAATCCCAATGGCATTTCCTACAGAAATAGAAAAAAAAAAAAATTCTGAAAAATCCATACGGAAATAGCCAGAGCAATCTTGAGCAAAAAGAACAAAGCTAAAAGGCCAGGCGTGGTGGCTCATGCCTGTAATCCCAGCACTTTGGGAGGCCAAGGCGGCCGGATCACCTGAGGTTGGGAGTTCGAGACAAGCCTGACCAACATGGAGAAACCCCGTCTCTACTAAAAATACAAAATTAGCCACGCGTGGTGGTGCATGCCTGTAATCCCAGCTACTTGGGAGGCTGAGGCAGGAGAATTGCTTGAATCTGGGAGGTAGAGGTTGCGGTGAGCCAAGATCGTGCCATTGCACTCCAGTCTGGGCAACAAGAGCAAAACTCCATCTCAAGAAAAAAAAAAAAAAGAACAAAGCTGGAGTTATCACACCTCCTGATTTCAAAATATATTACAAAGCTAATATATTAGAATATATTACAAATCAAAACAGCATGGTACTGGCACAAAGACAGACATATAGACTGACGGAACAGAATAGAGAGCCCAGAAATAAATCCACATATACACAGTCAATTGATCTTTAACATGGATTCCAAGGATACACAATGGGGAAAAGATAGCCTTTTCAACAAATTTTCGAAAAATGGTGTTGGAAAAACTGGATATCCACATGCAAAAGAAAGAAATTGTCAGCCTGGGCAACAAAGTGAGACCTCATCTGTAGTACCAAAAGCAAAGGCAACAAAAACAAAATAAGCAAATGGGACTACATCAAACTAAAAAGCTTCTGTACAGCAATGGAAAAAACTCAACAGAGTGAAAAGGCAACCTGAAGAATGGGAGAAAATATTTGTAAACCATAAACTGATAAAGGATTAATCTCTAAAATATATAAGAAACTTCTGCAACTCAATCGTTAAAAAAAAGAACCAAAACCTAATACCCTAATACACTATTGAAAAACAGGCAAGGACCTGACCTGAACAGACATTTCTTCAAAGCAGACATATAAATGGCCAATAGGCATATGAAAAAATGCTAAACAGCATCGCTAATCATCAGGGAAATGCAAATCAAAACCACAATGAGCTATCACCTCCCACCTGCCAGGATAGCCATTATCAAAAAGACAAAAGATAACAATTATTGGTAAAGATGTGGAGAAAAGGGAACCCTTGCACACCATTGGTGAGAATGCAAAATGGTCAGCTGCTATGGAAAACAGAATGAAATTTCTTCAAAAAATTAAAAATAGAACTGCCATTTGACTGAGCAATTCCACTTCTGGATGTTTAAAAAGAATTGAGATTAGGATCTTAAAGAAATACTAGCATTCCCATGTTTACTGCAGCACCATTCACAACAGCCAAGATGTACAAACAATCTAAATGTCCATCAACAGATGAACAGATAAAGAAAATGATGGTACATACAGACAATAGAATACTATTCAGCCTTTAAAAAGGAGGACATTCTACAATATGTGACAACATGAATGAACAATGAGGACATTATGCTAAGTGAAACAAGCCAGGTACAGAAAGACAAATATGGCACAATTCTGCCTAGTCCAATTCATAGAATCAAAGAGTGAAATGGTGGTTACCAACGACTGGAGGAGAGGGAAATTAAGAATTAATAACCCCGAGGCATAAAATTTCAGTCAAGCAAGATAAGTAAGTGTAGAGATCTGTTGTACAGCATTGAACCTATAGTCCACAATAATGTAAAGTTAAAAATTTGTTGGCCAGGCACAGTGGCTCATGCCTGTAATTCCAGCACTTTGGGAGGCCAAGACAAGTGGATCACCTGAGGTCAGGAGTTTGAGACCAACCTGGCCAACATGGTGAAACCCTGTCTCTACTAATAATACAAAACATTAGCCAGGGGTGGTGGTGGGCACCTGTAATCCCAGCTACTTGGGAAGCTGAGACAGGAGAATCACTTGAACCTGGGAGACGGAGGCTGCAGTGAGCCAAGATTGTGCCACTTCACTCCAGCCTGGGCAACACAGCAAGACTCCATCTCAAAAAAAAAAAAATAGTGACTTATTGAATGTGAGATGTGAAGGAAAGACAGGAGTTCAAGAGAACTGCCCAGTTCTTGTTTTTGTGATATTTACCAAGACAGGGTCACAGGAAGAAAAGCAGGTTTGGTGGGGGTTGGTGGGGGCAGTATAGAGGATGAATCAATTTTAGCATTGTTATATTTGACATCCTGAGGTGAACATCCAGGTAGAGACATGTAAACAGTTATACACATAGACCTGGAGCAGAGAGATTTGGGCCTCAGATACTGATTTGGCAATGATCAGCGCATAGAAGACAGCTAAATGTGGAGAGTGAGGATACAAGAAAGAAGGCTGAAAATGGAACCACAGAGAATAGCCAGTTTTAAGAGATGGAAGAAGGAAGCCGTCCTTAAGAAGACACTGCCAGAGAGGTAGGAATAGAACCTATTCTGTGAATCAGGAAAACAAAAGGAGGACAGAGTTTTGGGTAGAACATGGCCAGCTGTGTCAGATGGAGCAAAGCTGTCCAGTAAGACAAGGACTAGAAAGGGTCCTCTGGATTTGCCAAGACCTCTTTGATGACCTCAGCAAAAGCAATTTCAGTAGAAAGGTGAGGGTGAATTCTGCCTGTGTTGTGTATCGGGCATAACCTCGTGCTCCCTGTCACATTCCTTCAACTACTTCCTTCTCTCCAAAGGCACCACTCGCCTCCCACTACTCTGGACCTCTGCTGACTTCCCTGAGTTGCCTGAAGTCAGAACTGAAGTCCTAGACCTGCATGGCCTACACATGCTCCCTTCTGCATAAAATTACTCCTCCACTTTCAGATAGAATGAAACATTTGCCATACCTACCACAAGGCATGAAATCTTGCTTCCTGAGCTGGTGCCAATGGACCAGATGATGCACCATGGAAGTTACACAGCAGAAGTGGAAGGGAATTATCTTCTTGTGGGGCAAACCTTGACAAATGGGAAATAGGAGACAGAAGTGAGGCAAACAGATACGTTTTTCTCATTGTTCCCTTCCATTTTAAGGTGTGATTGCTCCTTGCAGCCATGCCAGAGAACTCCCACGGCTGAAGGACACTACCTGCTAAGTCACCTGCCGTTTCTCATCATGGCTTGCTGGAAGCAGGGACCAACATTGTAACACATCATCCTGCCTCCACTGACTTGTCTTCATTTTTCCCTTTCTAAGCTCCCAGAAAGAGAATCAGCACCTGAATCCTGACCCCAGGCTCTGCAATCTAGAGAACCTGGGCTAAGACACAGTTAGCGAGATAAGCTATAAGTTGAATAGGATGTAAGATACAGAGAAAGACAATGTAGACAATATTTTCAAGAAATTCCCTTCCCTGTGAAGGAAAGGAAAAAAAGTGGATTTCGGGGAGGGAAAGGAAACAGGTCCCAAAATTGTTTAGAAGGTGCCTCTAAAGCTGATACAGGCTTTGGTTAAAATGTTGCTATAAGAAAGAACATTTAAATTCACTCTCCATTTAGACTACTTGAGCCAATAGGCTCTCAAGAGCAAGTGTTCTATTTTTCTGACGTTTCAATACGATGTAATGAGAAAGGGAATAAAAAGGAGGGTACCATAACAGAGTGAATAGGAATTAGATTTGAGAAAGGCAGAGTTGGACAAGGTAGAGAATTGTCAAATTAGAAGATGAAAGGAATATTAAACATCCATGTTAGAGCAACTATTGATCCGGCTCAGACTCACATATTTGCTGTATTCCCTAGGTCAGGTTATCCAAAGAACATAGCAATATCATTTTATTTATAGATGACTATCAAAAGTACTAGTAACATCCAGCAAAAACTATCATCCAAAGATGTCTATTTACTTTGCTACAACAGAACCAGCCTTTAACCCAATTCAACTTAACAAATATTTATTTGCCCCTGTCATGTGGGGGCTCTGTGAAAGTAGGGTGGTTGGGGACATAGGGACCCTTCTCAGATGAATAAGATCCACTGGTAACCTAAAGATGACTATAATCTCAGAGTTAGAAATAAAATAGAGCACACTGATTATTATCATTGAAGGTCCGTGATGGTTAATTTTATGTGTCAGCTTGATTGGGTTAAGAGATACCCAGATCACTGGTAAAACATGATTACTGGGTGTGTCTGTGAGGGTGTTTCCAGCAGAGATCAGCATTCCAATCAGTAGACTGAGTAAAGAAGATCCCCTCACCAATGTGAGCAAGCGTCATCACATCTGGTGAGGTCCTGGATAGAACAAAAAATCAGAGGAAGGGTGCATATGCTGTCTCTTTCTGGGACACCAACCCTCTCTCTTGCTCTAGGATATCAGAGCTCCAGATTCTCTGCCTTTGGACTCTGGGACTTACACCAGTGGCCTCCCAATTTCTCAGCCTTTGGCCTCTGGGACTTACACCAGTGGCCTCCCAGTTTCTCAGCCTTTGGCCTCGGACTTAGAGTAACACCATCAGCTTCCCTGGTTCTCAGGCCTTCAAACTCAGACTGAATTAACCACCTGCTCTCCTGGTTCTTCAGCTCGAAGACAGCATATCATGGGCCTTCTCAGCCTCTATAATTGCGTGAGTCAATTCCCATAATAAATCCCCTCTTATGTAGCTAAATATATTCTGTTGGTTCTGTTTCTCCAGTGAACCCTAATACAAGATTGGATAAAACAAAAGCCATAAAGAAGATACAAACAAAATTCTAAGGAGGTCCTAAGCAGGGAGAGATTATGCTAGTGAAAAATAATTAAGAAAAACTTAATTGAGAGAGGTGACATGCTTCTTAAACATAATTTTAATAGTTGGATATGGGGGGAGGCTGGGCAGATATAAGAGTAAATCCAAAGACATGGAAGCAGGAAATAACAGAGTAGAATTGAAGAATGATAGACTTTGACAGTTTTGAAGGATATATCCAAAGTACTTTTAGAACCCTAAATGTTCCTATGTACCACTATATCAAGAAATTTTTCTCATAAAGTGCACACATGATGCTGAGTATATAGCTACCAAGCTACACGTGCTGTAAAGGATGGACCATTAGCTGGGCTAACTTAGCAACTAACTATGTGACTTGCTTTTTTTAAGTAACACTAGAAATTGATTTCTCCCAGTTCTGGAAGCTGGGAAGTCTGAGATCAGGGTGTTGCAGGGTCAGGTTCTGGTGAGGGACTTCTGGGTTGCAGGCCGCTGACCTCTCATTGCATCCTCACATGTTAAAGAGCAGAGCCCACCAGCCTGCCTTTTCATGTCCATGTCCTAGTGTGCAGGATTCAGATTTAGGTCTCAGAAAAATGAACATGACCACCGTTTACTCAGGAATGGTAAAAGCCTTGAATGTTAAATCCATAAATATCTACTGCCCACAGCAGTTCCATTTGGCTGCAGTGCTCAGCATGAATCATCCCAGAGATGAATCCTGCTTATTTTAAGATGAATGAGAACATTCTATCATTTGTTGGAAATTTCTTAATATTTCTTCTACTTTGATGAATCACTTCTGCATGAACATACCCCATGTTTTGTCTTCTCTCCTATCCCACCTCTTAGCTAAAACAAAGGGAAAATGGATTTGCAGATCAAGAACTGGAGAGGCCCAGCCCTTCAGGAGGCCTCGTAGGCCTCTGCTGACCGTCAGAAGAGTGGCCCATAGTAGCTCCCCGACCATAGGTCAAGAAATACTGTCTTTCTTTTTTTTTTTTTTTTTTTTTTTTTGAGATGCAGTCTCGCTCTTGTTGTCTAGGCGCAATCTCGGCTAATTGCAACCTCTACCTCCCAGGTTCAAGCGATTCTCGTGCCTCCGCCTCCTGAGTAGCTGGGATTACAGGTGCCCGCCACAACACCTGGCTAATTTTTGTATTTTTAGTAGAGATGGGATTTCACCATTTTGGCCAGGCTGGTCTCAAGCTCCTGCCCTCAGGTGATCCGCCCATCTTGGCCTCCCAAAGTGCTGGGATTACAAACGTGAGCCACCGTGCCCGGCCTGAAATACTCTTTTAAGTACAAGCCTTAGAGATAAGCATGACCTTACAGTACTGACTGGGGGAAAAAACCTCTAACCTTGGTCACATCCCAGTTTCTCTCTCCTGCTGCCTCTGGCAGCCTTTAAGCTGTAGAAGAGGAGATTGCAGAAAGAAACACATTTAAGCCGGGCACGGTCTCTATTTTTGTACTAAAAATACAAAAAATTACCCGGGCGTGGTGGTGCATGCCTGTAATCCCAGCTACTCGGGAGGCTGTGGCAGGAGAATCACTTGAACCTGGGAGGCGGAGGTTGCAGTGAGCTGAGGTCGCACCATTGAACTCCAGTCTTGGCAACAACAGCGAAACTCCATCTCAAAAAAAAAGAAGAAACACATTTAAGATTGCACAAAAAAGCAATGACAAAAACAACAGCAAAAAAACACAAAACCGTGGTCTCCACTGCTTGACTCACTGCCAGAAATAGTAGGCACTGGCCAGGCACAGTGGCTCACGCCTGTAATCCCCACACTTTGGGAGGCCAAGGCAGGCAGATCACTGGAGGTCAGGAGTTCAAGACCAGCCTGGCCAACATGGTGAAACCCCGTCTCTACTAAAAATACAAAAATTAGCTGGGCATGATGACATGCACCTGTAATCCCAGCTACTCAGAAGGCTGTGGCAGGAAAATCATTTGAACCCGGGAGGCGGAGGTTGTACTGCACTCTAGCCTGGGCGATAGAGTGAGACTCCATCTCAAAAAAAAAAAAAAAAAAAAAAAAAGTAGGCACTGAAAGAACAAAACCAGGAAGAACCTTTGTCCACCAAGCAAAGCCCTGATGAATAACTGACTAACTGAAGCCTAACTAGGTTTTCAGAAGCTGCAACTGAGGGCTTCAGCAGGCAGGAGCCATGATCAGAGCACTGAGGATTTGAGAAGAAATAAGAACCGATTCGACTCATGGCCACTATCTTGAGATACTAATACTGCAAATCCAATTCTGACAAAAACCTCCAAAACCAAAAAGACACTGTCCTACTTATTAGAAAAATAGTTTTCTATCCTCTTGGTGTTGTAACACATTGAATGGATACTGCAAAAAGAATTAAAGCTGTGCTTCAGCAGATTGCTTAAATCATGAATTAAAAAGGGAGAAAACATTTTTTTTTCAGTAATCCTTGAACTTCATCTCTAAAGGCCTTAAAATATGTAAATTGATAGACTATTGGTCAGCCGTTAAATGTGATCCTTAGGAAGGCTACATAGAGGCGGGCAGATAGCTTGGGCCCAGGAGTTTGAGACCAGCCTCGGCAACATGGACAAACCTTGTATCTACTAAAAATAGAAAAATTAGGCTGGGCGCGATGGCTCATGCCTGTGATCCCAGCACTTCGGGAGGCCAAGGTGGGCGGATCACCTGAGATCAGGCGAGACCAGCCTGACCAACATGGAGAAACTCCATCTCTACTAAAAATACAAAATTAGGTGTGGCAGCTACTCAGGAGGCTGAAGCAGGAGAATCACTTGAACCCGGGAGGCGGAGGTTGTGGTGAGCTGAGACTGAGCCATTGCACACCAGCCTGGGCAACAAGAGTGAAACTCCATCTCAAAAAAAAAAGAAAAGAAAGAAAGAAGATAGAAAAATTAGCTGGGCGTGGTTCTGTTGTCCCAGCTACTTGGGAGGCTAAGGTGGGAGGATCACCTGAGCCCAGGACACGGAGGTTGCAGTGAGCTGAGGCCACACCACGTTACTCTACTCCAGACTGGGCCACAAACCAAGACCCTGTCTGAAAAAAAAAAAGGCTACATAGGGCTGGGCATGGTGGTTCAAGCCTGTAATCCTAGCACTTTGGGAGGCAGGAGGATCACTTGAGCTCAGGAGTTCAAGAACAGCCTGAGCAACGTAGTGAGATCTTGCCTCTACAAAAAATTTTAAAATTAGCCAGATGTGATGGCACACACCTGTGGTCCCAGCTACTCGGGAGGCTGAGACGGGAGGATTGCTTGAGCCCAGGAGGTCGAGGCTGCAGCGAGTTATGATCACACCACTGTATTCCAGCCTGAGGGACAGTAAGACCCTCTCTAAAAAAAAAAAAAAAAAAGAAAAAAAAAGAGGGCTACATAGAAACATGAGTAAATGATCCTTAAATAATGTTGAGTGAAAATAATCAAAATAATAGCCTACGTTTATTTACGATAGAATTTACAAAGAAAAATATGTACTATGAGTATGAATTACAATGAAAATAGTTGTATTAGAATACGAGACTTGGGGTAATCTTTTTTATTTTCTTGAAAATTTTCTTTGATATTCTTAACATAGCAACTGATCAATTAAAATAAATATAATCAAGTAAAGACAAACTATGGCCAGGCGTGGTGGCTCATGCCTGTAATCCCAGCACTTTGGGAGGCTGAGGCAGGAGGATCACTTGAGGTCAGGAGTTCGAGACCAGCCTGGCCAACATGGCAAAACCCTGTTTCTACTAAAAAAAAAAAAAAAAAAATTAGCTGGGCATGGTGGCATGTGCCTGTAGTCCTAGCTACTCGGGAGGCTAAGTATGAGAATCGCTTGAAGCGGGAGGTGGAGGTTGCAGTGAGCCAAGATTGACCCACTGCATTCCAGTCTGGGTGACAGAGCAAGACTCTGTCTCAAACAAAAACAAAAACAAAAACAAACAAACAAACAAAAAATAAAAACAAACTAATGAATACCCAAATTACACATGATTACATATGAAATATTGATTTTCATGTGCTCTGTCCCGTGTCCAAGTTTATAACAGAAAGTATTGATGGGAAATTTGACTTTTATGAGAAACCACAAGTAAATCACTCTAAAAATATAAGTTTTTTAAAAAGCTGAAAATGAGGGATTTGGGTGTGAAAGTGTAAAAAGAAAACCTAACTTAAAGCAATATGTCACCAGGCACAGTGGCTCATGCCTGTAATCCCAGCACTTTGGGAGGCCGAGGTGGGGGGATCACCTGAGGTCAGTAGTTTGAGACCAGCCTGGCCAACATGGTGAAACCCCATCTCTACTAAAAATACAAAATTAGCCAGGCATGGTGGCGGCCACCTGTAATTCCAGCTACTCAGGAGGCTGAGGCTGGAGAATCACTTGAACCTGGGAGGTGGAGGTTGAGCAAGCCGAGATTGCACCCCTGCACTCCTCCAGCCTGAGCGACAGAGCAAGACTCCATCTCAAAAAAAAAAAAAAAAAAAAAAAAAGCAATATTTATATCAGACACAGGACAGGAGGGGACCATGTTGTCCCTTCTGCTGTTCTAGGGAGCCCCATGCAAGGCTCACAGTGTGGTGGTTTTGCAGTTGGGGACCTCTGTATCCAGACTCCAGCTCCATCACTTCCTGGCTGTTGGTCCTTGGTCCAGTTATTAAGCTCTCTAATCCTCAGCTTCCTCCTTTGTAAAGTGGAGATGGAGATAACCTATCTCATTAGATAGTCTTAAACAGTATAAGGCATGTAAAGCAAGCACCTAGCACCTTGCCTAATAGGCAACTCTTCAGTAAATGCTAGTTCCCTTGTCTCTCCAATCTCTTCTCAAAAATGTACCATGTAGAGTGCAGTGGCTCATGCCTGTAATCCCAGCATTTTGGGAGGCTGAGGTGGGCGGATCACGAGGTCAGGAGTTCGAGACCAACCTGACCAACATGGTGAAACCCTGTCTCTACTAAAAATACAAAAATTAGCCGGGCGTGATGGCGCACACCTGTAATCCCAGCTACTCAGGAGGCTGAGGCAGGAGAATCGCTTGAACCCGGGAGGCGGAGGCTACAGTGAGCTGAGATCGTGCCACTGCACTCCAGCCTGGGCAACAGAGCGAGACTCTGTCTCAAAAAAAAAAAAAAAAAAGTACCATGTAAAATTGGACCTACCTGTGACTGAGTTAGTCATCAGGTTATTAGGGATTTATCACTTATTGACTGCCCACTAGCAGACTCAGTGCCTGTAACATAGTAGGCTCCAAGTAAAGATATGTTTGATGGATGGACAAATGGATGGATGGATGGATGGATGACTCAATCTCTGTCTTTAGATCCCTAGAAGAAGAGACACTTGTTTGTTCTATATATACATTTTTTCATTTCTTTTAATTTTTTAATTTTTTATTTTTGTGGGTACATAGTCAGTGTATATATTTGTTTCCTTCCCTCCCTTCCTTCCGTTCCTTTGTTCCTTCCTTCCTTCCTCTCTTTCTCTCTCCCTTCCTTCCCTTCCCTTCCTCCTTCCCTCCCTCCTTCCCTTCCCTTCCCCTTCCTTCCTTCCTTCCTTCCTCTCTCTCTCTTTCTTTCTTTCTTTCTCTTTCTTTCTCTCTCTCTCTTTCTTTCTCTCACTTTGTTGCCCAGGCTGCAATCGCGGTTCACTCCAACCTCTGCCTCCCAGGTTCAAGCCATCCTCCCACCTCAGCCTCCTGAGTAACTGGGCACGCACCACTGCACCCGGCCAGTTCTTGTATTTTTTGTAGAGATGGGGTTTTGCCACATTGTCCAGGCTGGTCTCAAACTCCTGGGCTCAAGGGATCCACCTGCTTTGGCCTCTTAAAGTGCTAGGCGTGAGTCACCACACCTGGCCTTGTCCTATATATTTCTAAAGAATACATTTGAGACCAGGAAGTGCAGTATTAATCTCTCTTTGTTATTTTATTTTTATTTTTTTGAGATGAGGTCTTGCTCTGTTGCTCAGGCTGAAGTGCAGTGGCACAATCATGGCTCACTGCAACCTCTGCCTCCTGGGCTCAAGCCATCGTCCCACCTCAGCCACCTGAGTAGCTGGGACTACAGGCATGTGCCACCATGTCCAACTAATTTTTAAATTTTTTTTATTGGCAGGGTCTCACCATTTTGCCCAGGCTGGTCTTGAATCCCTGGGCTCAAATGATCAGCCCACCTCAACCTCCCAAAGTGCTGGAATTACAGGCATGAACCGCCTGCCCTGGCCTCTTTGTTATTTTGATCAGAGAAAGTGGGTTTGGCTAAACGAAGTCCAGGCTCTTGGGGAGAAGCCCTTGGGAAGAATAGAAGTGAAAAGGAGGCTTCTCTGAGCCAGTCAAACGCTCTCCAGATCTTCAGACTCTGCTGTTCTCACATCCCTAGGCCCAGATACACTTAGTTTCTTTCTGGAGTAGGTAGAAGCTACAAGGAAGCAGTTTTCACATAAAATCAAGAACGATATTCTAATAAACTGACCACACATGGAAAAAGTGCTTCGAAAAAAGGGAGTTTCTCATCACCAGCCCCTGAGATGGAAGAAATATTGCCATAGTTGTTGTTATGTCAGGGAGGGAATTCTAGCTTTGAATTGGTAGTTAGATGAGAAAAACTCCTTTCAGCCTGAGATTTTGTGACTTCATTTATGAGACACTCACGCTCTCACAACTAGGCTTTCGACTGCCACCTAGAGGCTTACTTATGGAAAAGAGAATAAATATTACTACAAATCTGAACCCGAAGAGAACGCTGTTCTTCTTCATTTTGAATTTTCAACTCCGCTTGGGCCTACAGGCATCCCTTCCCTAGGTATTTCTAAGGGCAGAATCTCATAACAGACTAAATGTTATGCTCTTGCAATATCAACACAACTCAACACAGCTACAGGGCAAGGACAGAAACACAGAGGAAGCGTCTTCTCTTTCTCAGCCTCAGAGATAAGGAAGCAAGTAATATACACGACAAAATAAATTACAATGTGAGTTAGACTTTGCCAAACAGCTAATGCAGGTGATTATTGCCATGAAAGTTGAGTCAATGAAGGGATCCCTGTGGTCTGGGGTGGAAGGGCTTTTGGGGAGGGAGTAGAATTAGAGCTAGCTCTTGATGAAGAAATAACCTGGGGAAGGTAAGATGGAGCAGGAACAGATGGAGGTGAGTGTAGCTAAACAGCGTAGGCTTTGGAGTCCAAAAGACTGCATCAAATTCTGAACTGTCTTCACTAGCTGTGACTTTAGCTACTCTCTTAAAGTCTCTGAGCAGCAGCTTCCTCCTCTTATAATGGGGATATGCTCACCTTTCTTGAAAGCATGTTGTTTGGATTAGAGATAATATATGTAAAGTAGCACAATAATAAACACTCACATTGTTGTTGGCATTGCTGTGGATTAGACACCGGGGTGGACCTGGTATGGGCTGAGCCTTTGTGGAAGCACATGAAGTGAGGCCAAGGCAGTGTCGAGTGCTGAGAGAACCCATGACTAGGAGTCAGCAGACCTCAGTTTGAGTTCTTGATTTCATGTCACCAGGCAAATCACTTTCATTTTCTCCAGGCTTGTCTTTCGCATCTGTACAGTGAGGGTATTGGTCTGGAGAAATAATTCTCTACCCTGGCTACTTAGTACATGAGGAGACTGAAAATCACCTGGTGACCATTGAACAGGCCCCAGAGAAAAAGCTCCTTACCTGAGAATTTAGAATTTAGAAGGGAGCAAATAGCACCTGGTGACCATCAAACAGGCCATCCAGAGGCAAAACTCCTTATCTGGGGAAAATTAGATGTAATTAGACTTCCCTACTTTCCAAAGCAGGTATCTGGTTCCTCTGGTTTTTGGTAAAAGATGTGCTCTGGATTACCTCCTAGCTGAAGAGGGAGGAGTCTTTGCTGTCATC
This sequence comes from Homo sapiens, assembly GCF_000001405.40. Lineage (NCBI taxonomy): Eukaryota > Metazoa > Chordata > Mammalia > Primates > Hominidae > Homo > Homo sapiens. The sequence continues at coordinate 77,549,664 of NC_000011.10, forward strand.
AACAAAACCTGTTGCACCTACATTAATGTGTCCGGAGAAGTGGAAACTGATGTCCAAGAAATTTTCAAACAAGCTAAATGACTACACACACTTTCCCAAAGTAACCAAGACTGGACCAAAACTTTTACTAATTGGTTTCCAAAAATCACTTGGCTTCTCCCATTCCTTGGACCTTTGTTCCTTGTCATTCTTCTTTTAATATCTGATCCCTGCTTTTTTTTTTTAACATGCTCATTAAATTTATATCTTCCAGATTGCAAAGATTCCACCTACAGATGGCTATGCAATCCCAATACCAGCCTGTAACAGCAACTTCCATTTGCATGGGGCCTTTTGATGGAACCCGGTTTTCCCTGTCCTGAACGAGTTTTTCGTGACCCTTCATTCCCTTCATGACAGAGCAAGAAAGGAAAAAATGCAACCTATCCCTTCAATGCCCCCTTTCAGCAGGAAGTAACCAGACTCCACACTCCTCTTCACTGTGGTGTTTTCCCTTTCTTGAGACCCCAATTGTCAGGCCTGAGCCCAAGCTAAGTGATCATATCCCCTGCGACCTGCACATATATATCCAGATGGCCTGAAGCAACTGAAGAACCACAAAAGAAGTGAAAATAGCCAGTTCCTGCCTTAACTGATGGCATTCCACCACTGTGATTTGTTCCTGCCCCACCCTAACTGACCAATTGACCTTGTGACATTCCTTCTCCGGGGCAATGAATCTCAGGAGCTCCCCACCAAGCATCTTGTGACCCCCACTCCTGCCCACAAGAGAACAACCCCCTTTAACTGTAATTTTCCACTACCTACCCAAATCCTATAAAACTGTCCCACCCCATCTCTCTCCCTTTGCTGACTCCTTTTTCAGATTCGCCCACCTACGCCCAGGTGATTAAAAAGCTTTATTGCTCACACAAAGACTGTTTGGTGGTCTCTTCACACGGACGCATGTAACATTTGGTGCTGAAGACCTGGGACAGGGGGATTCCTTCAGGAGACTGGTCCCCTGTCCTCGCCCTCACTCCTTGAGGAGATCCACCTACGACCTTGGGTCCTGAAATCAGCCCAAGGAACATCTCACCAATTTCAAATCAGGTAAGTGGTCTCTTCACTCTCTTCTCCAGCCTCTCTCACTACCCTTCAGTCTCCCTGTGCTTCCAATTCCAGCTCTTTTTCCTCTCTAGCAGAGACAAAGGAGACACATTTTATCCGTGAACTCAAAAACTCCAACGTCGGTCACAAATTTAGGAAGACAGTCTTCCCTTGGTGTCTGATCACTGCAGGGATGCCTGCCTTGATCATTCACCCACATTCCATTGGTGTCTGATCACTGCGGGGATGCCTGCCTTGGTCATTTACCCACATTTCCTTGGTGGTAAGTCAACTGTGGGGATGCCTGCTTTGGCTGCTCACCCATATTACAGCCCAGGGCTGCTCACCCCTGCCCTCCACCCTGTGTCTCTACCTTTCTCTTTAGACTTACCTCCTTCACTATGGGCAACTTTCTGCCCTCCATTCCCCCTTCTTCTCCCTTAGCCTGTGTTCTTAAAAACCTAAAACCCCTTCAACTAACACCTGACCTAAAACCTAAACATCTTATTTTCTTCTGTAATACCACTTGGCCCCAATACAAACTCGAAAATAGTTCCAAGTGGCCAGAGAATGGCACTTTCGATTTGTCTATCCTACAAGACCTAGATAATTTTTGTCGAAAATTGGGCAAATGGTCTGAGGTGCCTGACGTCTAAGCATTCTTTACACATTGGTCCCTCCCTAGTCTCTGCTCCCAATATGACTCGTCCCAAATCTTTCTTCTTTCTCTCCTGTCTGTTCCTTCAGGCTCCACCCCAAGCTCTGAGCCCTTTGAATCCTCCTTTTCTACAGACCCATCTGACCTTTCCCCATTCCCCAGGCTGCTCCTCGCCAGGCCAAGCCAGATCTCAATTCTTCCTCAGCCTCTGCTCCTCCACCCTATAATCCTTCTATCACCTCCCCTCCTCACACCCGGTCCGGCTTACAGTTTCGTTCCGTGGCTAGCCCTCCCCTACCTGCCCAACAATTTCCTCTTACAGAGGTGGCTGGAGCTGAAGGCATAGTCAAGGTTAATGCTCCTTTTTCTTTATCCGACCTCTCCCAAATCAGTTAGCGTTTAGGCTCTTTTTCATCAAATATAAAAACCCAGCCCAGTCCATGGCCTGTTTGGCAACAACCCTTAGACACTTTACCACCCTAGATCCAGAGGGGCCAGAAGGCCGTCTTATTCTTAATATGCATTTTATTATCCAATCCACTCCTGACATTAGAAAAAGCTCCAAAAATTAGATTCCGGCCCTCAAACCCCACAACAGGACTTAATTAACCTTGCCTTCAAGGTGTACAATAATAGAGAAGAGGCAGCCGAGCGGCAGTGTATTTCTCAATTGCAATTACTTGCCTCCACTGTGAGAGAAACCCCAGCCACATCTCCAGCACATAAGAACTTCAAAACGCCTAAACCATAGCAGTCAGGCATTCCTCCTGGACTTTTTCCCCCAGGATCTTGCTCCAAGTGCTGGAAATCTGGCCAGTGGGCCAAGGAATGCCCACAGCCTGGGATTCCTCCTAAGCCATGTCCCATCTGTGCAGGACCCCACTGGAAATCAGACTGTCCAACTTGCCCAGCAGCCATTCCTAGAGCCCCTGGAACTCTGGCCCAAGGCTCTCTGACTGACTCCTTCCCAGATCTTCTCGGCTTATCAGCTGAGGACTGACGCTGCCCAATCGCCTCGCAAGCCTCCTGGACCATCACAGACACTTCAGGTAACTGCTACAGTGGAGGGTAAGTCCATCCCTTTCTTAATTGATAAGGAGGCTACCCACTCCACATTACCTTCTTTTCAAGGGCCTGTTTCCCTTGCCTCCATAACTGTTGTGGGTATTGACGGCCAGGCTTCTAAACCTCTTAAAACTCCCCCACTCTGGTGCCAACTTGGACAACATTCTTTTATGCACTCTTTTTTAGTTATCCCCACCTGCCCAGTTCCCTTATTAGGCCGAGTCATTTTAACCAAATTATCTACTTCCCTGACTATTCCTGGGCTACAGCCACATCTCATTGCTGCACTTTTACCCAACTCAAGGCCTCTTTTACATCCTCCCCTTGTATCTCCCTACCTTAATCCATAATTATGGGATACCTCTACTCCCTCCTTGGTGACCAATCATGCATACCTTATCATCCTGTTAAAACCTAATCACCCTTACCCCACTCAATGCCAATATCCCATCCCATGGCATGCTTTAAAAGGGTTACAACTCCCCTATCCTACCTGTCCAAAAACTGGACAAGTCTTGCAGGTTGGTTCAGGATCTTTACCTTATTAATCAAATCATCCTTCCCATCTATCCTATAGTGCCAAACCCATATACTCTCCTATCCTCAATACCTCCCTCCACAACCCATTATTCTGTTCTGGATCTCCAAGATGCTTTCTTTACCATTCCTTTACACCCTTCATCCCAGCCTCTCTTCGCTTTCACTTGGACTAACCCTGACACCCATCAGTCTCAGCAACTTACCTGGGCTGTACTGCTGCAAGGCTTCAGGGACAGCCCTCATTACTTCAGCCAAGCTCTTTCTCATGATTTAATTTATTTCCACCCATGTGCTTCTCACCTTATTCAATATATTGATGACCTTCTACTTTGTAGCCCCTCCTTTGAATCTTCTCAACAAGACACACTCCAGCTCCTTCAACATTTATTCTCCAAGAGATATTGGGTATCCCCCTCCAAAGCTCAAATTTCTTCTCCACCCGTTACCTACTTCAGCATAATTCTTCATGAAAACACATGTGCTCTCCCTGCCGATCATGTCCGGCTAATCTCTCAAACCCCAACCCCTTCTACAAAGCAACAACTCCTTTCCTTCCTGGGCGTGGTTGGATACTTTCGCCTTTGGATACCTGGTTTTGCCATCCTAACAAAACCATTATATAAACTCACAAAGGGAAACCTAGCTGACCCCATAGATCCTAAATCCTTTCCCCACTCCTCTTTCCATTCCTTGAAAACAGCTCTAGAGACTGCTCCCACACTAGCTCTCCCTGACTCATCCCAACTTTTTTCATTACACACAGCTGAAGTGCAGGGCTGTGCAGTCAGAATTCTTACACAAGGACCAGGACTGAGCCCTGTAGCCTTTTTGTCCAAACAACTTGACCTTACTGTTTTAGGCTGGCCCTCATGTTTGCATGCGGCGGCTGCTGCTGCTCTAATACTTTTAGAGACCCTCAAAATCACAAGCTATGTTCCACTTACTCTCTACAGTTCCCATAACTTTCAAAATCTATTTTCCTCCTAATGTTGGATGCCTATACCGCCCCCCCGGCTCCTTCAGCTGTACTCACTATTTGTTGAATCTCCCACAATTACCATTGTTCCTGGGCCAGACTTCAATCCAGCCTCTCATCTTATTCCTGATACTACATCTGAGTCCCATGACTGTATCTCTCTAATCCACATGGCATTCTCCCCATTTCCCCATATTTCCCTCTTTCCTGTTCCCCACCTAGGCCACACTTGGTTTATTGATGGTAGTTCCTCCAGGCCCAGTCACCAATCACCAGTAAAGGCAGGCTATGCTATAGTGTCTTCCACATCTATCATTGAGTCTATGGCCCTGCCCGCTTCCACTACCTCTCAACAAGCTGAACTCATTGCCTTAACTTGAGCTGTCATTCTTGCAAAGGGACTACGTGTCAATATCTATACAGATTCCAAGTATGCCTTCCACATCCTTCACCACCATGCTGTTATATGGGCAGAAAGAGGTTTCCTCACTACACAAGGGTCCTCCATTATTAATGCCTCCTTAATAAATAAACTCTTCTTAAAGCTGCTCTACTTCCAAGGAAGCTGGGGTCATTCACTGCAAGGGGCATCAAAGGGCATCAGATCCCATCACTAAGGACAATGCTTATGCTGATAAGGTACCTAAAGAAGCAGCTAGCAAACAGCTTCCTGTTCCCCTCATGACACCAACACTTCACTACTATTTTGTTTTGTTTTTCTTATTATTAATATAAGAAGACAGGAATAGGCCTCGACTTACTGCTAAAAAAGGAGGACTCTGTATATTTTTAAATGAAGAGTGTTGTTTTTACCTAAATCAGTCTGGCCTGGTATATGACAACATAAAAAACTCAAGGATAGAGCCCAAAAACTCGCCAACCAAGAAAATAATTACGCTAAATCCCCTTGGGTACTCTCTAATTGGATGTCCTGGGTCCTCCCAGTTCTTAGTCCTTTAATACCTGTTTTTCTCCTTCTCTTATTTGGACTTGTGTCTTCTGTTTAGTTTCTCAATTCGTACAAAACTGCATCCAGGCCATCACCAATCATTCTATATGACAAATGCTCCAACAACCCCACAATATCACCCCTTACCCCAAAATCTTTCTTCAGTTTAATCTTTCCCACTCTAGGTTCCCACACTGCCCCAATCTCACTCAAAGCAACCCTGAGAAACATTGCCATTATCTCTCCATATCACCCCCCAAAATTTTCGCCGCCCCAACACTTCACCACCATTTTGTTTTGTTTTTCTTATTAATATAAGAAGACAGGAATGTCAGGCCTCTGAACCCAAGCTAAGCCATCATATCTCCTGTGACCTGCACGTATACATCCAGATGGCCTGAAGCAACTGAAGAACCACAAAAGAAGTGAAAATAGCCAGTTCCTGCCTTAACTGATGACACTTCACCACTGTGATTTATTCCTGCCCCATCCTAACTGATCTTGTGACATTCCTTCTCCTGGGCAATGAATCTCAGGAACTCCCCACCAAGCACCTTGTGACCCCTGCCCCTGCCCACAAGAGAACAACCCCCTTTAACTGTAATTTTCCACTACCTACCTAAATCCTATGAAACTGCCCCACCCCTATCTCTCCCCTTTTGCTGACTCCTTTTTCGTATTCAGCTCACTTGCACTCAGGTGATTAAAAAGCTTTATTGCTCACACAAAGCCTGTTTGGTGGTCTCTTCACACAGATGCGGGTAACACCAATAGGCAGTAGGTAGACATGAGCACGGGGGAATTAAAGGGTCAAAGATTTGACCAAAATATTGGTTGGGGGAAAATGAGGAGAGTGAAAATCACCTGGTGACCACTGAACAGGTCCCAGAGACTAAAACTCCTAATCTGAGGAATTTAGAAGGGAAGAAAGACCACCTGGTGACCATCAAAGAGGCCATACAGAGGCAAAACTCCTTATCTGGGAGAAAATTAGAAGTAATTAGACTTCCCTGCGGGGCATGGTGGCTCACACTTGTAATCCCAGCACTGTGGGAGGCTGAGGCAGGCAGATCACCTGAGGTCAGAGTTTGAGACCAGCCTGGCCAACATGGTGAAACCCCGTCTCTACTAAAAAAAATACAAAAAAAAAAAAAAATTAGCCAGGCTTGGTGGCAGGTGCCTGCAGACCCAGCTACTCGGGAGGCTGAGGCACAAGAATTGCTTGAACCCAAGAGGCAGAGGTTGCAGTGAGCCAAGATAGCACCAAAAGGACTTTCCTATTATCTAAAGCAGGGTTCTGGTTTCAGATTTCCTTCCCCCCAAAAAACTTATAAGTAAAATTTCTATACATCTCTGGAATGCCAAAACTCATTTGACAACCATAAATACCCCAAAGGAAAAACCCATGGAGGGCAGCGCTCTCAGTCCTCTCACTGACGCACCCTGCTGCACCCTTTTGCAACATTCTTCCTTTCTAATAAACTTTCCTTTTTTCAAACCTATACTGTTGTCGGTAAATTCTCTTACCAAACCACAAGTCGACCACTGCCCGGTGTCGGGGCTCTGAAACCTTGCCTGGCAGTAGAATCATCCAGAGAGCTTTAAGAAATCCAAATGGGCCGGGCATGGTGGCTCACGCCTGTAATCCCAGCACTCTGGGAAGCCAAGGCATGTGGATTGCTTGAGCTCAGTTCACAGCCTGGGCAACATGGCAAAACCCCATTTCTACAAAAAATACAAAACTCAACTGGGTATGGTGGTGCATAGCTGTAGTCCCAGCTATTGGGGAGGCTGAGGTGGGAGGATGGCTTGAGCCCAGGAAGTCGAGGCTGCAATGAGCCATGATCTTGCTACTGCACTCCAGCCTGGGGTGACAGAGGAGACTGTCTTCTAATGCCTGTGCTGTACCCCAGACCAGAGCCTCGGGCTGGGACCCTGGGCAGCAGACTTTTTCAGCTCCCCAAGTGATTCCAAAGTGCATCCAAGATGGAGAGGCATTGGACTAGATAATCTCTAAGGTTTCCTACCATTCTGGCATTAGGAAGCTAGAGAAAAACAACAATAAATAATTATTATATAATGGCTACTACACATTGAGTGGTGTCAAGCACTTCACCTAGAGCTCTATGTGTGCTATTTAATATTCACAGTTAACTTAAGGGGTAGGAATTATACAAATGAAGAAATAAGTTTGAAATGATTTTCATTTGCCCAACATCATGTAGCTAAATGTCAGAGCTAGAATTTTTACACAGGTCTGTCTGCTGCCCCAAATGGAAACTTGAAATTATTGCATTCTACTATTTTGCATAACTCTCACATGGCATTGAAAATGATTTTTTTAAATCTTCCTTACTTGGATGGAGGCAAATGCCTAACGCTTGTGAATGGGTAAAATATTTCCGTGAACTTAGGGGCTTTCACTCTATTTCCAGATACATATTTCTTGTTATAATGGCTCCACTTCTAAATACGGGCTGTAACCATCTTTTTTTTAGACAGAGTCTAGCTCTGTCACCCAGGCTAGAGTGCAATGGCATGAGCTCAGCTCACTACAACCACAGCCTCCAAAGTAGCTGGGACTACAGGCACGCACCACCACACCTGGCCAGTTTTTATATTTTTTGTAGAGATGGGGTTTTGTCATGTTGCCCAGGCTAGTCTTGAACTCCTGAGCTAAAGCAATCCTCCTGCCTTGGCCTCCCAAAGCGCTATTTTTTATTCAGTATCTTCATACTGAAAAAGTCGACTGTGGAGCATGAATGACCACCAAACAAATGAGGTTAAGATGCTGCCATCTTGTGGCATTTTGGGCCAGGCCAAGTGTGTAAGTAACCAACAGCGAGGACAGCCCCGCACATGAAACTCTACCCACACCTGCTGTTTTGCCATCTTTCCAGTGCCTTCCTACCGGTAACATCATTTTCTTTCTTCAAATTTAACACTAAGAAGGAATCAATGACAGCAACACAAGAAAATAAATAAGAACTGAGGATCAAATAATAAAGTCCTCTAAGGATCAAATAATAAGGCCCTCTCCTTTTTTTTTTGACACGGAGTCTTGCTCTGTCACCCAGGCTGGAGTGCAGTGGCGCGATCTCAGCTCACTGCAACCTACACCTCCCAGGTTCAAGCGATTCTCCTGCCTCAGCCTCCCGAGTAGCTGGGATTACAAGCATATGTCACCATGTCCAGCTAATTTTTGTATTTTTAGTAGAGACGGGGTTTCACTATGTTGGTCAGGCTGGTCTCGAACTCCTGACCTTGTGATCCACCCACCTCGGCCTCCCAAAGTACTGGGATTACAGGCATGAGCCACCACACCCGGCCCTCCTTCTAATAACTTGTCGTGTATAATCTTTGTCAGGTTAATTTTTCTGGGTCTGAAATTTCCTTCTATAAAATGGGGACAGTAACACTCATCTCATAGTATTGTTGTAAGTTCAAATTAGAACACGTGTGTAAATTCCTGGCAAATTGTAGGCATTTAACAAATGTGGCCAGACGTTCCTCCACTTAAACATTTGTGCTGTTGTGGGTGTTGCAATGCAAAACCCCTATCACTGAGTTCCCCCCACCACCCCCAGCAGTTTCCCCATTACTCACAGCATTCCAAGATCCTATCAGAGTCTGTATCCTCCAATTCTGCTTATCTCTTACCCCTGGACTTTTCACCCGGCCGACCCTGGGTGACCTGATACACAGCTCCCTCTCTGGCCTCAGTTCCCAACACCATGCCTCTCCTTCACCCTGCTCTGCCCACTGGCCTCCTCCCTTTTGCTGTTCCTCTGCCTGAAAGGCTCCCCTAGATACTCTCACAAAGTAGCACAAACACACAAATCCATCCCCAGTCCCTTTCTATCCCCTTTGACCTGTGTAGTTTTAATTTGCAGCACCTCTACCACTCATCTCATATTATATGTTTATTATTTTCTGGCTCCCTGCCCCAACTTAAGCACCTGAAGAGAGAGACTTCATCTGTCCCTAGCGCCTTGCACAGTGCCTGGCACAGACTAGGCACCCAATTCATATTCGTTGAGAGAATGAACAAACACCCGGGTAAAGGAATCTAGATGGGTGGCCAAGGCCATTTCCAGAGCACCAGCTCTCACGGTTTCAAGAATCACTGGAAGCTTATTCCAGGACCCCATCCACAGAGATCTGAGTAAGGATCTGTAAGTAGGCATGTTATTTATTTTATTTTTTAAAATTTTTTTATTTTTTATTTTTTTGAGACAGAGTCTCGCTCTGTCGCCCAGGCTGGAGTGCAGTGGCGCAATCTCGGCTCACCGCAAGCTCCGCCTCCCAGGTTCATGCCATTCTCCTGCCCCAGCCTCCCGAGTAGCTGGGACTACATGTAGGCGCCCACAACCGCGCCTGGCTAATTTTTTTTTTGTATTTTCAGTAGAGATGGGGTTTCACTGTGGTCTCGATCTCCTGACCTCATGATCCGCCCGCCTCGGCCTCCCAAAGTGGATTACAGGTGTGAGCCACTGTGCCCAGCAAGTAGGCATTTTAAATGACATCCATGTGAGTCTGAGGCAGTGGTCTGTGGCTCCTTTTGAAAAACACTGCTGTAGGGGAACAGATAAGCCTAAGAATAAGTTTACTAGAACAGGGATGCCCTAACAGAGTTTCTTAATCTTGGCACTAATAGCATTTGGGACCAAATCAATTCTTTGTCCTGGGTGCTGTCCTGTGCACTGCAGGATGTTTCATAGGATCCCTGGCCTCTGCTTGCTAGATGCCAGTAGCAATGCCCGCTCCCACCTGCTGTGACAATCAAAACTGTCTACAGACAATGCCAAATGCCCCAAGGGGTGGTGGGGTGGAGGGGGGTGCAAACTTGCTGCCACCACCTTCCACAGAAAACTATTTCCCTGGAGTGTGCAAGGCCCTGGGCCAGTGTGTGTGGGTGTGTGTACGGGTGGGGGGAATGTTAATATTAACAATATGTTTTAAAATGTATTGCAAAACTCATGAGCTCATGTGAGCTATGGTGATTTACTGATGAAGATTTAGAATGAGTATAGAAGAGGTATTCAGGTATTTGTTGTCAAGTCAGTGCGCATGAAGATTCTTTGTAGTGTCCAGGTGCCGTGTCTTTCTGTTCTGGTTTGAGAACCACCTTTTTATGTTCTTTATTTTCAAATGCACCATTCCTTGCTGGTTTCATGGCTCCTACTCCTGAAGAAGGTAGCAATGCTGTTATTACTCACAATGCCATGACTGCTTGGAACCTGTTTGTATTGAAGCAATATAGACCTTTTGGCTTCTGCTGATCCTCAAAACCTTTAACTCATGACACTGAATCATCCACCATAAGCACGTGGCTCCAGTGGCTCTGTTATAAAGATTGTTATCATGCTTCATTGATGACTAACACAAATGCACGTCTTATCCAGAGTCTGAATGGAAATGATAACTACTTTTCTGGTAATGTTAAATTATCATTTCAGATTTTTTTTTTTTTTTGAGACAGAGTTTCACTCTTGTTGCCCAGGCTGGAGTGCGATGGTGCGATCTCGGCTCACTGCAACCTCTGCCTCCCAGGTTCAAGCAATTCTCCTGCCTCAACCTCCCGAGTAGCTGGGATTACAGGCATGCACCACCACGCCTGGCTAATTTTGTATTTTTAGTAGAGACAAGGTTTCTCCATGTTGGTCAGGCTTGTCTCGAACTCCTGACCTCAGGTGATCCCCCCGCCTGGGCCTCCCAAAGTTCTGGGATTACAGGCATGAGCCACCATGCCCAGCCTATCATTTCAGATTTTATGGCACAACCACATGACTCACCTTCCAACTATGTCTTCTCTTGAACTCATTAGGGTGTTATCATTGCATTTCCTTGAATGTAATCTTCCTCAGTATCAGTGGAACCCTTCCCTTTCATCAGCAGGCAGAATAGATGAGTGGCCCATCTGCACAAGAGTGCTCTGGATAGGAGGTGTCACAGTGTACACAGGCAAGAGTCAGTGGACAGGCCCACACATGCAGCCCAAGCCAAAAGGTCAGTAGTAGAGAAGGAGCAGAAATTCCAAGATATGTGAGGGGGAAGATCAACAAAGTGCTAAGGTATAGCAGCTCAGTGTCTGCTTGTGACAGTCAACCGAAATCTGCATCGGCACCATCCTAATGGTCCAACTTCACATGAGCCAGTAAAATAATATTGTGCTAGCCAGCAGGAGTGATCTGCCCCACAGGCTGTCCTTTTGGAAATGTGGCCTGGCCACTGGGCTCTGAGACCATTCCATAGGCACACGTTCTACAGCTCCTCAGGACATCTGTTTGACCCCATGCACTAGGAAGAAGGTTAGAGAGCACTTGAAGGGGAGAAACTGAGTTTAGAGCACCCCACCTGGAGAACACTACTAGCCCCAGCCTGTCCCAGTCAAAAGAGAGAAACTTAAAATTTCAAGGTGGGTACTCCACAGCGGGATGGAGGGTGACAGGGCCCTGTCTGCCCAGGGCCAAGGGTGGTAGTACTGCACTAGAGCAATGGTGAGTAAGTCAGTAGCTTCTTAAAGTGTTCTTTCATGGGAGGGCAAGGTTCACTTGGTGGAGCATTGGGACTTCAGTACTGGATTATTCCTGGGATGTTAATTATTAATGTTATATATGTTAGCTGGTGGTAAAACATGTAAGATAAAGCTAGAGAAATTATTTTTTTAATTTTTAATTTTTATGGGTACATAGTAAGTGTATACATTTATGGAGTGTATGGGATATTTTGATACAGGCATACAATGTGTAGTAACCACATCAGGATAAATTGGTATCCATCACCTCAAGCATTCATCCTTTCTTTGTGTTACAAACATTCCAACTGTACTCCCTCAGTTATTCTAAAATATACGACAAATTATTGCTGACTGCAGTCACCCTGTTGTGCTATCAAACACTAGATCTTATTCATTGTATCTAACTATATTTTTATATATGTTACCCATCCCCATTTCTCACCCACTGGCCTTCTCAGTCTCTGGTAACCATCACTCTACACTCTCTGTGAGTTCAATGGTTTTAACTTTTAGCTCCCACAAATGAGTAAGAACATGAGAAGTTTGTCTTTCTGTGCCTGGCTTATTTCACTTAATATAATGTCCTCCAGTTCCATCCATGTTGTTGCAAATGACAGGATCTCATTCTCTTTTATGGGTGAATAGTACTCCATTGTGTATATATACTACATTTTCTTTATCCATTCATCTGTTGATGGACATTGAGGTTGCTTCCAAATCTTGGCTATTGTGAATAGTGCTGCAGTAAACAAGGGAGTGCAGATATGTCTTCAACATACTGATTTCCTTTGAGTATATACCTAGCAATGGGATTCTTGGATCATATGGTAGCTCCATGTTTAGTTTTTTGAGGAAATTCTATACTGTTCTCCATAGGGGTTAAACTAATATGTACTCCCATCAACAGTGTATGAGGGTTCCCCTTTCTCCACATCTGTGCCAGTGTTTGTTATTGACTATCTTTTGGATAAAATCAATTTTAACTAGGGTGAGATGATATCTCATTGTAGTTTTCATTTGCATTTCACCTTTTTAAATACCTGTTTCCCATTTGTATGTTTTCTTTTGAGAAAAGTCTATTCAGATCTTTTATCCATTTTTTAATCAGATTATTATATCTTTCCCTTTGAGTTGTTTGAGCTCCTTATATATTCTGGTTATTCATATCGTGTCAGATGGATAGTTTGCAAATATCTTCTTTCATTCTGTGGGTTTCCTCTTTACTCTGTTGATTGTTTCCTTTGCTGTGTAGAAGCTTTTTAACTTGATGTGATCCCATTTGTCCATTTTTGTTTGGTAGCCTGTGTTTATGAGCTATTACTCAAGAAATCCTTACCCAATAGCTACAAATAAAAGACATATATGACAGACCCACAAAATACCCCTGGAAAGTTTCCCCAATGTTCTATTTTAGTAGTTTCATAGTTTCAGTTCTTAGATTTAAGTCTTTAATCCACTTCAATTTTATTTTTGTATATGGTGAGAGATAGGAGTCCAGTTTCATTCTTTTGCATATGGATATCCAGTTTTCCCACCATCATTAATTGAAGAGACTGTCCTTTCCCCAAGGTATGTTGTTGGCATCTTTGTCAAAAATGTTCACTGTAGTTATATGGATTTGTTTATGAGTTCTCTATTCTGTTTCACTGGTCTATGTGTCTGGTTTTATGCCAGCACCATACTGTTTTGGTTACTATTGCTCTGTAGTATAATTTGAAGTCAGGTAATGTGATGCCTCCAGTTTTGTACTTTTTGCTCAGGATGGATTTAGCTATTCTGGGTCTTTTGCAGTTCCATATATATTTTAGGATTACATTTCTGTGAAGAATGTCACTTATATTTTGATAGGGATTGCACTGAATCTGTAGAGTGCTTAGAGTAATATAGACATTTTAATAATATTGATTCTTCTAATTCATGAACAGGGAATATCTTTTCACTTTTTGGGTGTCCTCTTCAATTCTTGTATCAGTGTTTCATAGTTTTCATTGTAGAGATATTTCACTTATTTGGCTAAGTTTATTCCTTGATATTTTATTTGTAGCTATTATAAATAAGATTACTTTATTTCTTTTTCAGATTGTTCACTGTTGGAATATAGAAATGCTACTGATTTTTGTATGTTGATTTTGTGTTCTGCAACTTTACTGAATTTGTTTGTCAGTTCTAGTAGTTTTATGGTGGAGTCTTTAGGTTTTTCCAAATATAAGCTCTTATCATTTGCAAACAAGGACAATTTGACTTCTTTCTTTTCAATTTGGATGCTTTTTATTTCTTTCTCTAGTCTGATTGCTCAGTACTATGTTGAATAGCAGTGGTGAAAGGGGACTTCCTTGTCTTGTTCCAGAACTTAGAGAAAATGCTTTCAGTTTTTCCCCATTCAGTGTGATACCAGCTGTGGGTCTGTCATATATAGCTTTTATTGTGTTGAGGCATGTTCCTTCTACACCCAGTTTGCTGAGGATTTTTATCATGAAAGGATGTTGAATTTTACCAAATGCTTTTTTGGCAGCAATTGAAATGATCACATGATTTTTGTCCCTCATTCTGTTGATATGATGTATTACATTGATTAAGTTGAACCATCTTTGTATCCCTGGGATGAATTCCACTTGGTCATGATAAATGATCTTATTAATGTGTTGTTAAATTCAGTTTGCCAATATTTTGTTAAGATTTTTGCATCAATGTTCACCAGAGATACTGGCCCTTAGTTTTCTTTTTTTGATGTGTCTTTGTGTGGTTTTGGTATCAGGGTAATACTTGTCTTATAGAATGAGTTTGGAAAAGTATTCCTGCCTCCTCTATTTTTTGGAATAACTTAAGTTGGACTGTTATTAGTTTTTCTTTAAATGTTTGGTAGAATTCAGCAGCGAAGCCATTGGGCTCTGAGCATTACTTTGCTGGGAGACTTTTATTACACCTTTAATCCCATTATTTGTTACTGGTCTAGTCAGGATTTGTATTTCTTCATGGTTCGATCTTGGTAAGTTGTAGGTGTCTAGGAATTTATCCATTTCTTCTAGGTTTTTCCAATTTATTGGCATACAGTTGTTCATAGTAGTCTATAACGAAGTTTGAATTTCTGTGGTATCAGTTGTAATGTCTTCCTTTTCATCTCTGATTTTATTCATTTGGAACTTCTTTTTTTCTTAGTCTGGCTAAAGGTTTGTCACTTTTGTTTATCATTTCAAAAATGCAACTTTTCGGCCAGGCGCAGTGGCTCACGCCTGTAATCCCAGCACTTTGGGAGGCCAAGGTGGGTGGATTATGAGGTCAGGAGTTCAAAACCAGCCTGACCAATATGGTGAAACCCTGTGTCTACTAAAAGTACAAAAAAAAAGAAAAAGAAAAATTAGCCAGGCGTGGTGGCAGGTGCCTGTAATCTTAGCTACTCGGGAGGCTGAGGTAGGAGAATTGCTTGAACCCAAGAGGCAGAGGTTGCAATAAGCCGAGATCGCACCACTACACTCCAGCCTGGGCAACAGTGCAAGACTCAGTCTCAAAAAAAAAAAAAAAGCAGCTTTTCATTTTGTTGATCTTTTGTATTGTTTTCTTCATTTCAAATGCATTTATTTCTGCTCTGATCTTTATTATTTCTTTTCTTCTAATTTTGGGTTTGATTTACTCTTGCTTTTCTAGCTCGCTGTCTCTCTCTCTCTCTCTCTTTCCCTCTCTCTCTCTTTTGTATTTTCTATATAGATGGGGTTTTGACATGTTGCCCAGGCTGGTCTTGAACTCCTGGGCTCAAGCAATCTGCCCACTTCAACCTCCCAAAGTGCGGGCCACAGGTGTGAGCCACCAAGCTGGCCTTCTAGGTCTTTAAGATGCATCATTAGGATGTTTGTTTGATGTTTTTTTTTTAAATGTAGGTGCTTATTGTTATAAACTTTCCTCTTCATACTGCTTTTGTTGTATCCCATAGGTTTTGGCATGTTGTGTTTCCATTTTCATTTGTTGCAAGACATTTTAAAAATTCTTTTTTAATTTCTTCATTGACCCATGATCACTCAGGAGCATATTGTTTAATTTCCATATGTTTGTATAGTTTTCAAAAATCCTTTTATTATTGATTTTTGGCTGTATTCCATTGTAGTAAGAGAAGATACCTGATATAATTTATTTTTTTTCAATTATTTTTCAATTTTTTCTTTTTCTTTTTTTTTTTTTTGAGATGGAGTTTCACTCTTGTTGTCCAGGCTGGAGTGCAATGGTGCGATCTCGGCTCACCACAACCTCCGTCTCCTGGGTTCAAGCGCTTATCCTGACTCAGCCTTCCAAGTAGCTGGGATTACTGGCATGCGCCTACACACCCAGCTCATTTTATTTGTATTTTTAGTAGAGTCAGGGTTTCTCCATGTTGGTCAGGCTGGTCTCGAATTCCCAACTTCAGGTGATCTGCCCGCCTCGGCCTCCCAGAGTGCTGGGAATACAGGCGTGAGCCACCAAGTCTGGCTTTTTTTTTCAATTTTTAAAGTCTTATTTTGTGGTCTAACATATAGTCTATCCTCAAAAGTGATGTAAGTGCTGAGGAGAAGAATGCGTATTCTGTAGCTGTTGGATGAAATGTTCTGTAAATATCTATTAGGTCCATTTGGTCTATAGTGCAAACGAAGTCTGATGTTTCTTTTTTGATTTTCTGTCTGGATGATCTGTCCAATGTTGCAAATGTGGTGTAGAAGGCTCCAGCTATTATTGCATTGGGGTCTCTCTCTCTCTTTAGCTCTAATAATATGTGCTTTATATGTCTGGGTGCTCCTGTGTTGAGTGCATATATTTTTATAACTGTTATTATCTTGCTAAATTGACCCCTTTATCATTTTACAATAATATTCTTTGTCTTTTTAAAATAGGTTTTGTCCTGAAATGTATTTTGTCTTAAAAAAATATAGCTACTCCTGCCCTTTCTTTTTCCATCCATTTATTTTCAGTGTTTATGTGTCTTCATAGGAGAAGTATATTTCTTGCAGGCAGTAGATCATTGGGTCTTGTTTTTTTAATCCATTCAGCCACTCTGTGTCTTTTGATTGAAGTTTAGTCCATTTATATTCAATGTTATTATTGATAAGAACTTATTACTGCCTTTTATTTGTTTTCTGGTTGTTTTGTAGTCTTCACCTCCTTCTTTCCTTTCTTCCTGTCTTCCTTGTAGTGAAGGTGATTTTCTCTGGTGGTATGTTTTAAATTCTTGCTTTTTATTTTTCATGTATCTGTTGTATGTTTTTCAATTTGAGGTTACCATACAGCTTGCAGATAATATCTTACAACCCATATTTTAAGCTGATGACAACTTAACACTGGTTGCATAAACAAATGAACAAACATGCAATAAGAAAACTTATAAAAACTCTACATTTTAACTTCATCTGCTTGCTTTTTACCTTTTTGCTTTTTCTATTTATATCTTATTATATTGTCTGTATCTTGGAAAGTTGTTGTACTTCTTATTTTTGACAGGTTCATTTTTTGCGAGGGAGGCTTCCAGTGAAAACAAGAAAGCCTGCTGGACAAATTCTAAAAAAGCTGTAACACTGACAGGTTCGTCTTTTAGTCTTTCTACTGCAGATACGAGCAGTTTACATACCAAAATTACAGTGTTATAATATTCTGTGCTTTTCTGTGTACTTACTATTACCAGTGAGTTTTATATCTTCAGATGACTTCTTATTGCTCATTAGCATTCTTTTCTTTCAGATTGAAGAACTCTCGTTTGCATTTCTGGTAGGACAGGTCTGGTGTTGATGAACTCCCTCAGCTTTTGTTTGTCTGGGGAATTCGTTGTTTCTCCTTTATGTTTGAAGGATATTTTCACTGGATATACTATTCTAGTATTAAAGTTTTTTTCCTTCAGCACTGTAAATTTGTCCCACCACTCTCTCCTGGCCTTTAAGATTTCCACTGAAAAGTCTGCTCCTGGGCATATTAGAGCTCCATTGTATGTAATTTGTTTCTTTTCCCCTTGCTGCTTTTAGGGTCCTTTCTTTACCCTTGACCTTTGGGAGTTTGGTTATTAAGTGTCTCAAGGTACTTTTATTTGGGCTAAATCTGCTTGGTGTTCTACAACCTTCTTGTACTTAAATATTGATATCCTTTTCTAGGTTTGGAAAACTATCTGTTACCTCTTTATATAAACTTTCTACCCAGATCTATAAGGCCAATAACTCTTAGATTTCCCCCTTTGAGGCTATTTTCTAGATCTTGCAGTCATGCTTCCTTCTTCTTAATTCTTTTTTGTCTCCTCTGGCTGTGTATTTTCAAACAGCCTGTCTTGAAACTCACTAATTCTTTCTTCTGCTTGATCAGTTTTGCTAAGAGACAGCCGGGACTGGTGGCTGGTGCTTTATTTAGATCATTCGGTGAGGTCATGTTTTCCAGGATGGTCTTGATGCTTGTGGATGTTCATCGGTGTCTGGGCATTGAAGAATTAGGTATTTATTATAGTCTTCACAGTCTGGGCTTGTTTGTACCTGTCCTTCTTGGGAAGGATTTCCAGCCATTCGAAGGGACTTGGATGCTGTGATTTAAGTTTTTTATCACTGCAGCCGTATCTGCACTAGGGGAAACCCCAAGTCCAGTAATGTTGTGGCTCTTGCAGACTCAGAAGTAGTGCCTTAGTGGTCTTGGGTAAGATTTAGGAGAATTCCCTGGATTACCAGGTAGAGACTCTTGTTCTCATCCTTTACTTTCCCCCACAAATGAAGTCTCTCTCTCTCTGTACTGAACTTCCTGGAGCTGGGAGAGGGGTGACATAAGTTCCCCTGTGGTCACCACCACTGGGACTGTCCTGGGTCAGACCTGAAACAAACATAGCACTGGGTTTCACCCAAGGTCCACAGTGACCGTTGCTTGACTACCACTTAGGTTCACTCAAGACCCAAGAGATCTACAATCAGCAGGTGGCAAATACAGCAGGCTTGTGTCCTTCCTTTTAGGGTGGTAAGGTCCCCCTGGCCCTGGGTGTGTCCAAAGATGCCACTGGGAGCCAGAGTCTGGAGCCAGGAACCTTAGAAATCTTATCTACTGCTGCTGAGCTGGCATCCAAGCCACAAAACAAAGTCCTTCCCCCTCTTCCCTCCCCTTTCCACAAACAGGAGTCTCTCTTCATGGCTACTGCTGCCCTGAGCCCGTGGCAAGTACTGCCAGGCTACCACCAATGTTCACTCAACGTCCAAGGGCTCTTCAATCAGCTTGCGGTGAATGCTGTGAGGCCCGGGACTCACCCTTCAGGGAAAAGGACTCCCCTCTGGCCCAGGGCAGGTCCAGAAATGCCATCCATGAGCCAAGACCTGGAACTGGGGACACCAAGAGCCTGCTTGGTGCTCTATCCCACTGTGGCTGAGCTGGTACCCAAGCTATAAGACAAAATGCCCTTTACTCCTCCGTCTTCTTTCTTCAAGTAGCCACCACAGCTAGGAATGTGCTGGGTCACATCTAAAGGCAACACAGCTCTGAGTTTTACCCAAGGCCCAGGAGGAATAATGCCTGGTTACCACCGCTGATTATTCCTTCCCTTTAAGGCAGTTGGTTCCCTTCTGGCCCAGGGTGTGTCTTGAAATGTCATGTGATGGCTAGACCCTGGAATGGGGTCCTCAGGACTCTGTCTGGTGCCCTATCCTGCTGTGGCTGAGCAGGTATCCAAGCTGCAAGACAAAGTCCTCTTTACTCTCCCTTCTCTCCTCAGGTAGAGGGAAGGAGTCTCTCCCAGAGCTGTGAACTGCACTGCCTGAGGTTGGGAGAGGGATGATGCAAGCACTGCCTTGGCCTCCCTGGCTCCATGTACATGTTACATGTACCTGAGTACGAGTACCCTGGCTCCAAGCCCAGCACAGCACCAGGACTTGCCCAGCAATTGCAATCCTTAGGGCCTAGACTGCCTTTCAAGTTTACTTAGGACCCCAGAGCCCTTTACCAAATGGTGGTGGCTTGCCAGAGGTCAAGTTCTGACCACTGGGATGGGTAATATGCCTCTGGCTAGGGCTGATGCAAATGCTCCCTCCTTGGCCTCCAGCTGAGTTCTGCCTTGTGTTGTTTTCTGCTGTGACAGGGCAGCACTGAGCTCTAATGCAAAGTCCCATAATCACTGCACTCTCCCTCCCACAAGTGCACAGACTCTCTGTGCTATGCAGCCACAGCTAGGCGATCAGAGAAGGGTGCTGTAGACAATTTGAGACTATTTTTCCTGCCCTCTTCAGTGCCTCTTTCCTTAATGTGATGTTAAAACCAGGTACTATGATTACTCACCTGATTTTTGGTTGTAATGAAGGTGTTTTTTGTGTGAATAGTTGTTCGATTTGGTGTTCCTGCAGGGAGGACAATTTCTGGAGGCCTCTACTTGGCCATATTGCTCCCTAGTCTGTACTCCTTTTGCATTGAGTTTTACAGGATCCACCCATTTCCAAAGTTACTTAGGTCAGCAATTTTCTCCCATTTCCTTCATTGAGTTTTGTTCATAATACAGTTAGATTATTTTGTCACGTTCTTTATTTCATCTTGGGATCATCTATCTGAGCTCCTAAATGATTTTTTTAAATTTGCATACTTTAGGTTCTAAGGGTTCTGACAAATGCAAGGTGTCATGTATCATGTCACTATCATTATGGTATTACACAAAATAATGTCACCATCCTAAAATGTCCTGTGATTTACCTATTCAATCCTCCTTACTGAATTCCTACCAACTTGTTTTTCATCTCTGTAGTTTTACCTTTCATAATGTATATAAGTAGAATCACGGCCAGGCACGGTGGCTCACACCTGCAATACTAGCACTTTCGGAGGCTGAGGCGGGTGGATCACGAGGTCAAGAGATCGAGACAATACTGGCTAACATGGTGAAACGCCGTCTCTGCTAAAAATACAAAAGTTAGCCAGGCATGGTGGCAGGCCCCTGTAGTCCCAGCTACTCGGGAGCCTGAGGCAGGAGAACCGCTCGAACCCAGGAGGTGGAGGTTGCAGTGAGCCGAGATCATGCCACTGCACTCCAGCCTGGCAACAGAGCCAGACTCCGTCTCAAAAAAAAAAAAAAAAAAAGAATTATATAGTAAAAAGCCATCAGACTTGCTTCTTTGACTTACTGATATACATTCAACATTTATCCATGTCTTTGCTTTGCTTGATAGCTCATTTCTTTAAAAAAAAAAAAAAAACTGTGGTAAAATAAACATAACAATTTCCATTTTAACCATTTTCTTTTCTTTTTTTTTTTTTTGAGGCGGAGTCTTCCTCTGTTGCCAGGCTGGAGTGTAGTGGCACAGTCTCGGCTCACTGCAACCTCCACCTCCCAGGTTCAAGCAATTCCCCTGCCTCAGCCCCCCAAGTAGCTGGGACTACAGGAGGGTGCCACCGCGCCTGGCTAACTTATGTATTTTTAGTAGAGACAGAGTTTCACCATGTTGGCCAGGCTGGTCTCAATCTCCTGACTTCGTGATCCACCCACCTTAGCCTCCCAAAGTGCTGAGATTGAGGCAGAAATTTAAAAATAAATATGCATTCATTCACTCCAAGAAAAGTAACAGGCAAGGCAAGGGTTAAAAAGAAAAGAACAAGTTTTCCTCGGCCTAGCAAGCTCACTTCAAGGACAGTTATAAGATAATGCTGTTTGAGAAGCCAAGGCCAAAGGAATGGGCTGCAGACATCCCTCCCCTCCAGAACAAGGTTGAAGGAAAAAAAAAAAGAGAAAGACAAATTCCTTTACTGTTACTTCTTTCCCTGGCTTCTTAAGCATGATTATGTTTTACAAATGTCTGTATTTAGCCAGTTCTTGATTTTCTTTTGACACAGCTCCAAGGCCACCAGCTATGCAAGGCCACAAGTTATGCACTATATGATTAACTGCTTTTGTTTTACTTTTGTAAGTCCACTTATAAAAACCCTGCTCTGTCTTTGTTTAATGCTCAGGTTTTTGGATATAAATCCACTCAGCCAGTGCGTACCTAAAAATAAATATCTTCCTGTACTCTCATATTGGTCTCGCCATTCCTCAGTTTCCTGCAACATTTCTTGGCAAGCCAGCCAGGAGTGGAGATGACAGGCTTACTGTCTCCTTTGCCTATAGGGGGCTGGAGCCCTGGGCCAAGGGAGACCTGTGACCCCAGGTGCCGCCGGGAGAACTTCAGCCCAGAGGGGAAATCAGCTCTCCGTGACCCAGCACCCCTACCCAGCAGCGCAACAGATCCTGAGAGGAGCTACAGGATGATTCTAGAAACAGCGCACTTCAGGAATCATGGTAAGGTTTTGGGGCCCAAGGCAGGACCCATCCTGTAAGGACGGAAAGGGAGCCTGATCACCTCCCGGGGTATGCCTAATAGTCCGACCCAGAGGGACTGGGGGCGATGAGAGCGGCTGTCAATTTGGATGAAACTCTCACCCCAATCAACACAGGAAGCAAGAGTGGCTCACTAAGTTGGTTAGGAAAAGGAAACTGGAGGTGGCGAGAATGGCTTGCCACCCCAACTAAGGAAACTGGAGATGGTGATAGTGGCTCGTCACCCCAATTAGGTACACAGGAACTGGGAGTCGGTCCATCAGAGTTATGACTGAGTGTGGCTCCCGAATGGTTAACTGCTGTCTTAGAGTCAATTTGCTAGCCTCTTGTGTTTAGCAAGGTGGTGGCGGCTAATGCCTTAACACAGGGAGGCCATCCTAGCATCACAGAATCCAATTGTTTGGATCAGTATGTTACTGGGTGATGTTATGACCTTACAACTTGAGTCAGAACTCCTATAGCCATTCCTTTTTGTTCATGAACATATAGAAAGGCTTAGTTATATCTGGTAGTCCTAAGGCTAGGGCCTAAGTTAAAGCTTCCTTGATTTGTTGGAATGCATTTTCTGATTAGTCTCCCAAAGGAGGGTTTTTTTGTCCTCCTTTTGTGGCTTCATATAACGGCACAGCCATCAAGGAAAGATTTGGAATCCAGATGGGGCAAATTCCTGCTGCCCCTAAAAATTCTCTTATTTGGCATCGGGTGGTTGGGATTGGTAGTGCACAAACGTCTTGTTTTCACTCATAGCCAAGCCAGCATTCCCCGTGACTCACTACGAAACCTAGATATTTAACCTCTTTATGGCAAATTTAGGCTTTCTTTTTAGATACTTTGTAACCTGCTTTCCACAGGAGATGAAGGAGGTCCTGAGTTCTCTGATAATAGTCCTCTTGGGTTGGGGCTGCCAAAAGAAGGTCGCCCGTGTACTGTAACAAGCACAGTTATCATTTGGCGGGGTATAGGCCTTGAGGTCTGAAGCCAGTGTTTCCCCAAAGATTGTAGGAGAGTTTTTGAACCCTTGTGGGAGCCTAGTCCACATGAGTTGCATAGCTTCCTTGTCCCATTGAAATGCAAATATGGGCTAACTCGTGCTAAGCGAATATAAAAGAAAGCGTCCTTTAAGTCTAAGACTGTAAACCTAGTGGCACTTGTTGGAATAAGTACCATTAAAGTATATGGATTTGGTGCCACGGGATGGATGGTCACCATGGCCCGGTTTACGGCATGCAAATCTTGCACCGGTATCTACTCATCAGACCTTGGTCCCAGCAGCGGCTTTCATACTGGCAAAAGTGGAGTATTCCGGGGGACTGGCATCGGATTAAGATCCCATATTTATAGAGCCGTTCTAAATGTTTGCAGACACCCTGTACAGCCTTTTGGGGAACTGGGTACTGACGAACCCAGACCGGAGTTGCTCCCGGTTTCAGTTCAGCTACTACTGGTGAAAACTTACTTATAGACTTTACCGAACTGCCCCATGCTGGAGGCTATCAGTACATGCCAGTGTTTGTTTGCACCTTTTCAGGGTGGGTTGAAGCTTTCCCCATCAAAACAGAAAAAGCATGAGAAGTGACTAAAGTACTGTTAAGAGATATTATCCACAGGTTTAGACTGCCTTTAACTTTAGAGTCAGGCAATAAGTTGGCATTTGTAGCTGAAATAATGCAAGATTTAACAAAACTGTTAAAAATAAAATGGAAGTTACATACAGCCTATTGGCCACAAAGTTCAGGAAAAGTAAAATGCATGAACCGCACACTCAAGCAGCTACTGAAGAAATATTGCCAAAAGACTCATCTGAAATGAAATCAGGTTTTGCCTATAGTCCTCTTCCACGTCAGGTGCACCCCCACCAAACAAACTCAGTATTCAACCTATGAGATTTTATTCAGTCAGCCTCCCCCAATCCTAAGTCAAATTAAAGGAAACCTCTGAGAACTAGGGGAATTAACTTTAAGGAAACAAATGTGGCTGGGTGTGGTGGCTCACGCCTGTAATCCCAGCACTTTAGGAGGCCGAGGCAGGTGGATCACGAGGTCAGGAGATCGAGACCATCCTGGCTAACACAGTGAAACCCCATCTCTACTAAAAATACAAAAAATTAGCCGGGCGTGGTGGCAGGCACCTGTAGTCCCAGCTACTCAGGAGGCTGAGGCAGGAGAATGGCATGAACCCGGGAGGCGGAGCCTGCAGTGAGCCAAGATCGCACCACTGCACTCCAGCCTGGGTGACAGAGCGAGACTCTGTCTCAAAAAAAAAAAAAAAAAAAGAAAACAAAACATAACAAATGCAGGCTTTAGGAATAGCCATGCAAGAGATCCATGGCTGGGTACAGAAAAGAATGCCTATAAGTCTAACAGACCCAGAACACCCCTTTAAACCAGGAGATTCTGTTTGGGTTAAAAAGTGGACTCCAACTTCTCTAGGACCCATATGAGATGGGCCCTATACTGAAATCTTACCCACTCCCACTATTGTTAAAGTTGCAGGTGTTGTGCATTGGATCCACCACAGTCGGCTGAAACTGACAACTCAAGACAAGTGGACCAGCCAGCAGGACCCAGATCATCCAACTCGGCTGATCCTGAGACGGGACCAAACTGCTGCCGAAGACGACCGCCCTGTTCTGGTCACTCCGGAGGCTAACCAGCCTACGCATGGCTGAAGTTTGAGGAAACAACAAGCCCTGCTCTAGTCACACACTGAAAGCTGACTAGTCTATGCACGGCCAAAGCTTGAGGACTCATCAAGCAAGTAAATGTAGTTAGAAATCTTAGAACTAGTAGTTTTCCTTGTAATATTAACTGTTTTACTATTGTTCTGTCACTGTGCTCAACCTCCTCTCCCAAATAAGGACCTCTTCTGTCCTTACTAGATATGAATATACTGTACATTGTTTTACTGTTGTTACCCCACTTAACCATGCTAGAAGAAACACCCATAGAAGGGTGTCCCCATCGTACACATACTACATGGTCAGAAAACAGTATAACCAGGACTCTATTATACCATACTTATTATGAGTATACAGGGACTCACCTAGGAACTTGTACTTACAATCAGATCACCTATTCAATTTATGACCCAGGAAATGGCCAGCTACCTAGGTGGAAGATAGGTCATGGAGTTACCGTACTCCTACTTACGTGCTTAAGCGCATCATAAGGTTACAGGCAGGGCTTGAGATCATCACTAATAAACATCAAATGCATTAGATTTACTGACCCAGCAAGCTACAAAAAATGAGGAATGCTATCTATCAGAACAGATTAGCTTTAGACTATCTCCTAGCCCAGGAAGGAGGAGTATGTGGAAAATTCAATCTAACTAATTGTTGCCTGGAAATCAATGACAATGGAAAGACATTTATGGAAATAACTGCAAGAATAAGAAAATTAACCCACGTTCCAGTTCAAACGTAGAAAGGGTGGTCTCCAGATTCTCTCTTTGGAGGCTGTTTTTCATTTTTCGGAGGGTTCAAGACTTTAATAAGATTGATTCTGGCCATACTAGGAAGTTGCCTAATACTACCTTGTCTCTTACCTCTCCTTGTTAGAAACATTCAGTCAACTATAGAGGCAATAGTAGCTAGGCAAACTACCAGTCAGCTAATGGCTCTATGTAAATGTCAACCTTTGTCTAAAGAAGAAAACTTGTCTCTTCATGCAAAATTAAATAATAGTGATGCCTCCTATTAAATTTCTTTTATAAAAGGCATCAAAGGGGGGAAACTGAGGCAGAAATTTAAAAATAAATATGCATTCATTCACTCCAAGAAAAGTTAACAGGCAAGGCAAGGGTTAAAAAGAAAAGAACAAGTTTTCCTCGGCCTAGCAAGCTCACTTCAAGGACAGTTATAAGATAATGTTGTTTGAGAAGCCAAGTCCAAAGGAATGGGTTCCAGACATCCCTCCCCTCTAGAACAAGGTTGAAGGAAAAAAAAAAAAAAAGAAGAAGACAAATTCCTTTACTGTTACTCCTTTCCCTGGCTTCTTAAGCATGATTATGTTTTACAAATGTCTGTATTTAGCCAGTTCTTGATTTTCTTTTGACACAGCTCCAAGGCCACCAGCTATGCAAGGCCACAAGTTATGCACTATATGATTAACTGCTTTTGTTTTACTTTTGTAAGTCCACTTATAAAAACCCTGCTCTGTCTTTGTTTAATGCTCAGCTTTTTGGATTTGAATCCACTCAGCCGGTGCACACCTTAAAATAAACATCCTCCTGTACTCTCATATTGGTCTCTCCATTCCTCAGTTTCCCACAAGATTACAAGCATGAGCCACCGCACCGGGCCCATTTTAACCATTTTCAAATGGAGAATTCAGTGGTATTAGGTACATTTATATTGTTGTGCAACCATCACCACTATCCATCTACAGAACTCTTTTTATCTTGTGAAACTAAAACTCTATACCCATTAAACACTAACTCCTCACTCCTCCCTTCCCTCATCACTTGACAGCCATCCTTCTACTTTATGTCTCTATTCATAGGTATGAGCTCCCCCATGCCTGCCCAAATCACTAATCTAAAAGGAAATGTCAAGCTGAGAACTTCTTAGGGCAAACCTGCCTCCCATTCTATTCAAAGTTACCCCTCTGCTCAGAGATAAATGCATATCTCATTGCCTCCTTTGGAGAAGCTAATCAGAAACTCAAAAGAATGCAACCATTTGTCTCTTTTCTACCTATGACCTGGAAGCCCCCTCCCTGCTTTGAGCTGTCCCGCCTTTCTGGACCAAACCAATGTTCATCTTACATATATTAACTGATGTCTCATTTCTCCCTAAAATGTATAAAACCAAGCTATGGTCTGACTACCCTGGGCACATGACATCAGGACCTCCTGAGACTGCGCCATGGGTGCACATCCTCAACTGTGGCAAAATAAACTTTATTTTTTATTTTTATTTATTTTTTAGAGACAGAGTCTCGCTCTGTAGCCCAGGCTGGAGTACAGTGATGCAGTCTCGACTCACTGCAACCTCCACCTCCCAGGTTCAAACAATTCTCGTGCCTCAGCCTCCTGAGTAGCTGGAATTACAGGCTTGCGCCACCACACCCGGTTAATTAGCAAAATAAATTTTCTAAATTAACTAAGACTTGTCTCAAATTACTGGGGTTAACATTTTGGTAACCACAGAGGGACTCTGCATGGAGGAACACTTGAACTTTGACAAATCTTTTACTGGTGTTTGGTATCAGCATAAGCTAACTTTATGAATAGTTTGCTGAGGCCTGGGAGCACTCCTTCCAGAGAATCCCTGCTCTCCCAAAGTTTGGTTGAGATCTAAAGTTTATTTTGCTGTACAACTCCCTCTTATTTATTTTTTTTTTTTTTGGAGTTTTACTTGCTTCCAACAAGAAAGGCAAGTTTTCCTGCTTCCATGACAATGGAAGGCAGGTAATTCCTTTATGGAGTTTGAGCTTGCTTCCAACAGAAAAGACTATTTTTTTTTTCCTGCTTCTAGGACGTAGAGAGTAGTCTTCAGCCTGAGACCCATCCCTAGGTAAGTAGCTGAATTGAGGTTTTGTCTTGGCTAAAGTTAACAACCAAATGGTCATAATTTCTCCTTACTGTTAAAGTGTTCAGTAATCATGTAAGTTGTGTGATCATTTGTTTTGTTTAACTGTTTTTCGTTGTTGTTGTTTCTGTTTTTGTTGTTGTTTGGGTCTTTGTCCCATTAGGTTTGACCAACTCTATCAGACTTGATCAAATCTGAAGGAAAGTTCCAAATTATGGGGAAGGCCTATCAAATACTTAAATTCCCATACACACACAAAAAGGTGGTATGGTGGGGGAGAAAAACTGCCAGCAAAAAGAAAAAAGAGGTAAGATTTTTGATTTTGAGTACTACACGGGCTTTATTTACAAGGCCACCTTTTAGCTAGCCAGGCCAATCTGAAAGAGCAATGGTTGTACTTCTGAAATAGCAGCAATTTTAAAAACAAAAGCAAACAAACAAAAAATTAAAAACAAAAAAATAAAGGCAGCAGCAGTGGCTCATGCCTGTAATCCTAGCACTTTGGGAGGCCGAGGCAGACGGATTGCCTGAGCTCAGGAGTTCGCAACCAGCCTGGGCAACATGGTGAAACCCTGCCTCTACTAAAATACAAAAAATTAGCCGGACATGGCGGTGTGCACCTGTAGTCCCAGCTACTCAGGAGGCTGAGGGAGGAAAATTGCTTGAACCCAGGAGGCAGAGGTTGTAGTGAGCTGAGACTGCACCACTGCACTCCAGCCTGGGCAACAGAGCGAGACTCCGTCTCAAAAAAAAAAAAAAAAAGAAAATGAAAATGAAATACAAAAATCAGCTGGGCATGGTGGCACATGCCTGTAATCCTGCCTACTCAAGAAGCTGAGGCAGGAGAATCACTTGAACCCAGGGGCAGAGGTTGCAGTGAGCTGAGATCGTGCCATTGCACTCCAGCCTGGGCAACAGAGCAAGACTCCATCTCAAAAAAAGAAAAAAGAAAAGCAGATGAAATAGCACCAATTTGTTCCAGTTGAAATATGGTAATGAGATTTAAAAACTTCTTTTTTTAAAGGAGCTCATTTGTTAAAGCCAACTTAATTAAAAGCTAACATCCAAGATATGTGTGTATATGGGTGTGTGTGTTTGTATTTAAAAGGTCTTCATTGTTTGTTTGTTTTTTTCTCTCCTAGGACCTTGTCATTCTTTTGAGCAAGGTTTTTCTTCTCAGTTGACTGAATTCTGTTTTCTTCATTTACTTCTGCTGTCTCTCCTTTCTCTTGCACCCTCTGCTGCATGAGGGAACTGAAATAGTTTATAATAGCCTGGGGTTCCTTTAAGAAAGTGGAGAAGGTGCCAAAAGTATAAACAGACAAGTTCATCTCAGCTTTTAAACTGCTTGCTTTTGTATTGTGTTACATGATTTGTTGACTAAAATAGTTATTTGTAACAGAGGCTAGCCTTAGGTTTTTAAGGAAGAGTGTATTCAACACTGAGAAACGTCTTTGTTTAAAAAAAATTATCTTTAAGTGCAGTGTAAAAACATCACTTAGTCTAGCCTCATAATAATTCTCCCTTTTTGGAAACCCAGGATTTCGTATAGGTTCTGCCTAGAGCTCAGAGATCCAGTTAAAAGATAGGTAGTCCCTATGCAAATAAAATTGGTCTCCTTATACAATCCTATGATAGATTTTTATAATTTTGTTTGATTTCACATTTATCTTTAATCTCCCTCTAGCACACCAGACTTTTCCTCTCTGTACCTTATGATGTAAATTCTGTTATTTGATTTTCACCTGAGTTGTTTCCTTAAATAGGCAAATTTAAGGCTATTTAGCTGACAACTGCCTAGGGTTGTGAAACAGGTTATCAAGAACCTGAAAGTCTAAGATAAAAAAAAAAGGTCTTTATGAATCTATAAGATGTACTTCTATCAGCATGCCAATACATCTACGTATTTATGTGTTGTGCACACAATATTTCACTACTGAAAATATATAAAAGAGCTAATTAATTGGCTTAAAAAAACAAAAGTGCTTACATCAGATACTAAAGAAAACAAGACTAGTCAAATGCTTTTTCAGGTTCACAGGACTTAAGTAAAATCTTTAATAAATAAGCTGGATTTAAAATTATTGGTAAAATAATATTAGAAATGTCTTAAGAATTTGCCAGCAATACATTTTCGTTTGCATTTACTTATCAAGCAATTTTATACTTATCCCAGCCAGATACTATAAGGTGTCAAAATTTGGTATAGAGGTTACAAAACTAAAAAACCAGCCCAAGACAGAATTATCTTTGCTGGTGTAATCTTTAATAAATAATACATTGATATTGGTTTAATAAAAAAGCTACATCTTGAATTTAGTAAGATTATCATACTTTTTTTTTTTTTTTTGAGACAGAGTTTCACTCTTGTTGCCCAGGCTGGAGTGCAATGGCATGATCTTGGCTCACCACAACCTCCACCTCCCATGTTCAAGTGATTCTCCTGCCTCAGCCTCCCAAGTAGCTGGTATTACAGGCATGCGCCACCATGCCTGGCTAATTTTGTAGTTTTAGTAGAGATGGGGTTTCTCCATGTTAGTCAGGCTGGTCTCAAACTCCCGACCTCAGGTGATCCACCTGCCTCGGCCTCCGAAAGTGCTGGGATTACAGGCCGCCCATGCCCGGCCAGATTAACATAACTTCTAATCCTGTGGTGTTAGGCAGTCTAGTCCACAGACAGTAAGAGGTTTCCTTTGGGAAGACGGTTACCATTTTTATTTCAAAGCTAAACTATAAACTAAGTTCCTAGCAAAGTTAGTTCGGCTCATACCCAGGAATGAACAAGGACAGCTTGGAGTTTAGAAGCAAGATGGAGTCACTTAGGGCAAATCTTTTTCACTGTCTCAGTTATAATTTTGCAATGGCGGTTTCATAACTTTAAATGATGACTATCGCAGTTTTCATAAATAATCTAGGTAAATGATTAAAATAAAATAATTAGATAAATGTAATAGGATATAGATAAACTAGTCATAATTTAGAATCTAAAGTTATATTAAATTATAGATATTTCATTATTTTGGTATTTTCCAATAATAATATATTGTAGGAAAACATTCTTTCTAAAAAAAAGTGTCCCTTTTAAAAAGGTGAACAATTTTTGTCTAATTCAAAGCTTACTTAAAGGTCATGTATAAAACAAGGTAAAAGGAACTGGGAAATAAGAGACGTGTAAACAAAATTATAGAAAGAAAGAGGTATTTTTTGGTAAGAAAGCTTAAAGAGAAATAATTTTTAAAATTGTTGTTTTTTTTTTTGAGATGAAGTCTCGCTCTGTCTCCCAGGCTAGAGTGAAGTGGCACAATCTTGGCTTGCTCCAACCTTCTTCTCGCAGGGTTCAAGTGATTCTCCTGCCTCAGCCTCCTGAGTAGCTGGAATTATAGGTGCCTGCCACCATGCCCGGCTAATTTTTGTATTTAAAGTAGAGATGGGGTTTTGCCATGTTGGCCAGGCTGGTCTCGAACTCCTGACCTGAGGTGACCTACTAGCCTTGACCTCCCAAAGTGCTGGGATTACAGGCATGAGCCACTATGCCCAAATGAGAAATAATTTTGTATGAAAAATAATCTTGTATGGTAAATTTAGACCAAGAATAAAATGAGTGGTTGTATAAGAAAGAAAGATGTTCAGAACAAACCAAAAAGTCCAAGCATGTCACGAATGGTCTGTGTAAGTCATAATAAAAGGATTTATCTAAAAAAACCAAAAACTTTTATATGATCAAGTCGTCTATAATTAAAGGAAAATTATAATGGGTTTTTCTAGACATTGGGTGTGATGTAATGAAACGTACACACTAAAGAATTCATTACAACAATAAAATTTCCTTAAGGGATTGATTACCTCTTAATAAATTATAAAGATTTTAATTTTTTTAACCCAAGGTTCAACTTTTATTGCATCACGCTGTTTTCAGTTTTCTTTCCCCTTTTAAAAGGTGCAAAATTATAACACTCTCCTTCAACTCATTTTCAGCTCATATATGTTTTTTTTTCCCCTCAAGTTCTGTTTGTTGTGGCCTGATGCTAACAATATTTTCTTAAAGATCTAAAGGAAATCTTTTCTTCCAACATAATTTTCTGTACACTGCAGAAGATCTTTTCTTTTGCCTTTTGGTAACTAGCCTAACAAATTTTACATTTTATCAAAATAATTCCTATGCTATTACTATTAAGTTTTGGTTTGCTTAGGAAAAAACTGAGATTAAAATTTTTCAATTGATTATTACATCCATAAATTAACCATTAATGTCAAAGACACATTGATGCAAGACCAGAATATGTGCCACTGTGTCAGATTAACAAGGTTTTCTTGAAGCATTAACTCCATAGTAAAGGTTATAAAAGGCTTGTTGAAGTTATATCTTACAATCAAGATTAAAATGTTATAGAGTGTTTATACAATATTGAAAAACAAATTTAACTGGCTTCGTGCTGTTCTTTTTTTATTTTTTGAGACAAAGTCTGTCACCCAGGCTGGAGCACAGTGGTGTGATCTTAGCTCACTGCAACCTTTGCCTCCTGGGTTTAAGTGATTCTCCTGCCACAGCCTCCCATGTAGCTGGGATTACAGGAACCCACCACCATGCGTGGCTAATTCTGTTTCTTTGTTTGTTTGTTTTGTTATTTTGAGACAGAGTCTGGCTCTGTCACCAGGCTGGAGTGCAATGGCCCGATCTCGGCTCACTGCAACCTCCGCCTCCCAGGTTCAAGTGATTCTCCTGCCTCAGCCTCCCAAGTAGCTGGGACTACAGGCACATGCCAACAGGCCCAGCTAATTTTTTGTATTTTTTAGTAGAGACGGGGTTTCACCATGTTAGCCAGGATGGTCTCGATCTGACCTTGTGATCCACCTGCCTCAGCCTCCCAAAGTGCTGGGATTAAATTTTTTGTATTTTTAGTAGAGATGGGGTTTCAGTATATGGGTCAGGCTGGTCTCGAATTCCTGACCTCCAGTAATCCACCCCTCCCCTTGGCCTCCCAAAGTGCTGGGATTACAAGTGTGAGCCACTGCACCCAGCCTGTGCTGTTTTTGTCAGGGCTTATTGTTTGGAAAACTAAATATCCTCTCTCAAAGAATGAAGGTTTTCACCTTTTCTTTGAAATCCCTGAATTATCACTTTGGTTAAATGAATAACTTATTTAACAATGACCTGTGATCCTATTTTGTGATATCAAGTGTTTTAAACCTTTGATATTTGACAAACTTTCCAAAATCAAATTATAAATTATGTCTTTTTCTGATTTAATTAATCCTTTAAGGTATTATTAATAGGTTCCCTGAAGTCCAAAAATGACATATTTGGCTTATCTGGTATAAAAATTATACAGGAATCATTGTCACATATAATATAGTGTTTGGTTTTCTTTGGGCTACGTTTATATAAATATGTTATTGGTATGTGTTCCAAAATTATGGGAAACTCCTATAATTATAACTTAGTGTACATAGTGAGAAACATCTAGTGATATAACTTAAGTGTACCTTATCAGTAATAATTATAATTCCTATGTTAAATTATTGTGTGCCACAGAGGTAACAAATGTCCTTGTCAATTGTGTCTTTGACTATGGCTGCTCTAAAACTGTTTGTCATCCACAGACAATTGTTGTCTTGTTTTGGCCCTCTTTAGAAGGTGGTTTTATAATCAGCTATAGAACTCTTAACAGGTGTTCTTAAATGCAGGTTTCTGATAACTTTGGAAGTTGTGACACTAGAATAGAGGAAAAAAGAAACTTTCAGGACTCTCATGGAGAGCTGAAATGTTCATGAGTATCAAGCAGAACAGGAGTTAATTGCATAAACTGAACTGATAGAAGACTAAAGTAATCTTTTTGACTTTTGCTTTAAATGTTGCTGATTCTTTGTTTTTTTTTCAGAGTCAAGGAAACTTTTCTTTTGAGCTATTGACAGCTTTTAACAATTTAGTATACTCCTATGACTATAATTTGGAGCATATTTGTTTCTCTCTACCTGATTTCTCCAGAACTTGGGAATTATTTTTGAATATGCTTAACTGATGGCAATATCGTAATTTGCATAAGTATAGTAAGAATCTGTTTTCATTTTGCAACAGGACACAAACAGAGAAACTGGTTATTTTACCAAGGCTCTGACTGGAATGGTGTGCTTTCCTTTAGGGAATCAAACTTGACTTATGGAGCCAATAAAGCCCCTTGGGGAAACTGGCCTCATACCTTCCCTGTACAGGGTTCCTGACCTGTGGTAAGTAAAGAATGTCACTTTCTGACAGGCCCAGGAGCCCCAAGTTTACTTTGGAACCTCAAGAGCAGAGGATCATCCAACTTATAGGTATTTAATGGCACAAATCCATGGCTGGGCTTGGCTTTAAATAAAGGTCTTAGCCGGGTGCAGTAACTCATGCCTGTAATCCCAGCACTTTGGGAGGCTGAGGTGGGTGGATTATTTGAGGTCAGGAGTTCGAGACCAGCCTGGCCAACATGGTGAAATCCTGACTCTACTAAAAACACAAAAATTAGCCGGGCGTTGTGGCGTGCACCTATAATCCCAGCTACTTGGGAGGCTGAGGCAGGAGAATAGCTTGAACCTGGAAGGCAGAAGTTGCAGTGACCCAAGATTGTGCCACCGAACTCTAGCTTGGGGGACAGAGTGAGACTCCATCTCAAAAAAGAAATTATAAAAAATTTAAAAAGATCTTATCTGAGATTCCTTCTATAGAACAAAGTTCCATCAAAGCCAATTTAAAAGTGTATTTGAAAAATAATTATTCTTGCTGCATTCTATACAAATAATTAGGCCAAGTATAATAAAGCACATCAGTCCTACCATGACTTTAGTAAAAATGGGAAACTGGAGAAAGAAAAATTATGTTTTGAAAACTGTAGTATACCTGTTGTTAGATTCTAGACTTGCCTAATGTTTTTCCATTTTCATTATTTTTGTACCATTTGGACAGAATTCTAATTTTTTTTTAGCTACACGTCTTCAAAATAAGGTTTTCAATTTTTCTTCTTTTTTTCCCCATTTTTTCTAGTTTGAAGTCATGGAAAACTAAGCTGTGCTTTCTGATATTTTTGAGACAGAGTCATGCTCTGTCACCCAGGCTGGAGTGCAGTAGCACCATCCCAGCTCACTGCAACCTTTGCCTCCTGGGTTAAAGCAATTTTCCTGTCTTAGCCTCCTG
This sequence comes from Homo sapiens, assembly GCF_000001405.40. Taxonomy (NCBI): domain Eukaryota; kingdom Metazoa; phylum Chordata; class Mammalia; order Primates; family Hominidae; genus Homo; species Homo sapiens. Next base: position 77,584,423 of record NC_000011.10, read on the forward strand.
AGCAGCTGGAATTACAGGCACCTGCCACCACGCCCAGCTAATTTTTGTATTTTAGTAGAGACCAAGTTTCACCATGTTGGCCAGGCTGGTCTCAAACTCCTGACCTCAAGTGATCCACCCACCTCGGCCTCCCCAAACGCTGGGATTATAAGGGTGAGCCGCCATGTCCAGAATAAGTTGTGCTTTCTTTTTTATTTATTTATTTTTATTTTTTTCAGACAGAGTCTTGCTCTGTCATGCAGACTGGAGTGCAGTGGGGCAATCTCAGCTCACTGCAACCTCCGCCTCCTAGATTGAAGCAATTCTCCTGCCTCAGCCTCCCGAGTATCTGGGATTACAGGTGCGCACCACCATGCCCGGCTAGCTGTGCTTTCTTAAAGCACTGCAAACTGAAGCCAGACAACTTAAACTTCAGAAGAAAATAACAGCAACCTATTTACATACATAAGCCACTTTCATACTTGCCTACTGATGTATGGACTTCAGAGTAATCCAGCCTATAATGATTTTTCAGGATTGTTCTTTTGTTTGTTGTTTTTCTCCCTTGCTCCCCGTTTTCTTTTCATAGGACATGAGACTTCACAACCCTCTAAAAATGAACTTTCCTAATAACTCAGGACCTACTTGTTTAGGAATAAACCATCCTAGCCATGACAGATCAGATGAAACCTGAGACCACAAACTCATTTTCTTCTAAAATGCTTTTTCCAAAAGATTTTTAAAAAGAAAAGTGGGAAATGTGAAAGGAAAATATCTTATGCCCCCAAAAATCAATACGCTAAAGGGAAAAGTCAAGCTGGAAACTGCTTAGGGCAAATCTGCCTCCCATTCTATTCAAAGTCACCCCTCTGCTCACTGAGATAAAAACATATCTGACTGCCTCTTTTGAGGAGGCTAATCAGAAACTTAAAACAATGCAACCATTTTTTTCTTACGTACCTATGACCTGGAAGCCCCCTTCCTGCTTCAAGATGTCATGCCTTTCCAGACTGAACCAACGTTCTTCTTACATATATTGATTGATGTCTCATGACTTCCTAAAATGTATAAAACCAAATTGTGCTGTGACCACCTCAGGTAAATGTCATCAGGACCTTCTGAGGCTGTGTCATAGGCACGCATCCTCAACCTTGGCGAAATAAACTTTCTAAATTAACTGAGACATGTCTCAGATTTTTGGAGTACACATCTGATAAAACACAATGAGAAAAATATGGCATCACTTCTGTGATATTCCTGCTAAAGATGCATACCCTGTAAGGCTGCATTGAGCCGCGATCACGCCCCTGTACTCCAGCCTGGGCAACACAGTGAGACTCTGTCTCAAAAAAAGAAAAAAAAAAAGACACTTAACCTGAAACTAGTATCTAGGAAACATTAGGCAAACCCAAATTCAAGGAGATTTTACAAAATAACTGATCTGTAACCTCAAAATTGTCCAGGTGATGAAAGTCAAGGAAGAGCTGAGGAACTTTTCTAGATTGAAGGAAACTCATGAGACATGACACTAAATGCAATGTGCAATTCTGAATTGGATCCTTTTGCTAAGAAGTACAATGTTGCGACAACTGGCAAAACTTGAATGGGATCTGAGGAGTAGATGGTAGTAACAATGTTAATTTCCTGATTTTGATAGTCTTATTATGGCTATGTAGGACACAGATGTTTAAGAAAATACACCCTAAAATGTTCTGAGTAATTGGGCATAATATTAACAATTAATTTTCAAATGGTTCAGGAAAAAAAAATTTTGTACTATACTTGCAACTTTTCTGAAAGCCTGAGATTATTTCAAAATAAAATACTTTTAAAATGCAATTACTTAAATTCTTCCCATGTTTCTTCCCACGTAAACGTCAAGCCAAAGGACATGGCTTCAGAAGCTCTTTTTTTTTTTTTTTGAGATGGAGTCTCACCATGTTGCCCAGGCTGGAGTTTAGTGGTATAATCTTGGCTCGCTGCAACCTCCACCTCCCGGGTTCAAGCTATTCTCTTGCCTCAGCCTCCTGAGTAGCTGGGACTACAGGCATGTGCCAACACGCCTGGCTAATTTTTGTATTTTTAGTAGAGACAGGGTTTCACCATGTTGGCCAGGCTGGTCTCAAACTCCTGACCTCAGGTGATCCACCCACCTCGGCCTCCCAAAGTGCTGGGATTACAGGCGTGAGCCACCGCGCCTGGTGCAGAAGCTCTTAAATGCTTTATCTCCTCGCAGATGTTAACGAAATGCAATTCTGAATTTTGGCAGGGGTTTTTTTTTTTCTTCATTTCGCTTTGTCTTGTCTGAAGCTTCAGGGCAAAATCCATGATTATTGAACTATCGTCTATTTTACCTCCATTTTTATATATTAAACCTTATTAAGCACTACTATGTGCTGGGCCATGTACTAAATCTTTTTCAGGCATTATTTCTTTTAACCTTGATCTCTTGCTACTTCCCCCTTCATACTCCAGCCTAGAGCACGGGGACTCCTCTAGGCTTTCTCTGTTTGCAAAATGCAGTGCCTCTGCCTCTCTTCTTTCTCCCTCTTCTCTTTACCCCTTAACTCCTATTTATTCTTCAGGTTTCAGCTAGGATGACACTTCCTCCAAGGAGCCTTTCCTTAAGTCTGAGTGGGGGCCCCTCCCTGTGCCCAGGCCTTTCTTCTTTTACCATTGTACTTTTACACTATATTTTAATTTTGTTTTCTCTTCTGTTCCCTCTTCTATGCTATTCAAGAGCAAGGACTGTTTTTACTGCTGTTTTACCAAAGCTAACAGAGGTCTTCGTCCATGATGTCACTCTCAAGAGACTTTAATTGGTGATTTCTTGTTTCTGAAAATAGGAAGGTTGATTTGATGCAAAATATCCAATCAGTAGTAATTAATTATGTTAATTTTGCCCTTGTTCTTTAATTTAAAAAATGTCCAAAGTCCTTTTAATGACAATATGTATTACCACGATACTAAAATTTCTTACCAAAGTCCAAAACACTGGTTTTCTACATGACTCTTCCGGGTAAAAGTGAATTATCAGCAGAGCAGTAAATAAAATACATTCACATTAATCCTCAAGTGACTTCAAGTCTAGGGGAGCACTGAAAGGGTTACATTCATAGGATTGATTTAAAGGCAACTTCTTTAAACAGCAGTGACTTAAAAGTAATTCTAATTGCCGGGCGCGGTGGCTCACGCCTGTAATCCCAGCACTTTGGGAGGCCGAGGCGGGCAGATCACAAGGTCAGGAGATCAAGATCATCCTGGCTAACACAGTGAAACGCCATCTCTGCTAAAAAATACAAAAAAAAAAAAAAAAAAAAAAAAAAAAAAAAAAAAAAAGCCAGGTGTGGTGGCAGGCGCCTGTAGTCCCAGCTACTCGGGAGGCTGAGGCAGGAGAATGGCGTGAACCCGGGAGCAGAAGTTGCAGTGAGCTGAGATCACGCCATTACACTCCAGTCTGGGAGACAGAGCGAGACTCTGTCTTAAAAAAATAATAATAATAAATAATTCTAATTTAAATTCTTTCTGGCCAGGCAATCAACACAGGAAAGAGAAAAGGTCTTGATTTTCTACTAGTTTGTGTCTTGTGAAAGAATTTTTTTTTTTTTTAGACGAAGTCTCACTCTGTTGCTCAAACTGGAGTGCAGTGGCACTGTCTTGGCTCACTGCAACCTCCACCTCCCGGGTTCAAGGGATTCTCTTGCCTCAGCCTCCCGAGTAGCTGGGACTACATGTGCGCACCACCATGCCCAGCTAATTTTTGTATTTCTAGTAGAGACGGGGTTTCACTATGTTGGCCAGGCTGGTCTTGAACTCCTGACCTCGTTATCCGCCTGCCTCGGACTCCCAAAGTGCTGCACCTACAATGGGCCACCCCAGGGGACAAGCTGTTGGGACTGGAATGCGGTGGCAAGAGCCGTGCACTCTGGCTGCTGAAACCTGCTGTTTCCACTGTAAGCTACCACTTAGTGAATATTTTCTACGTATTGGGAACTGTACTAAGTGGCTTTCATGTTTTGTTTTTTGTTTGTTTGACTGGTTTGTTGTTGTTGTTGTTGTTGTTGTTGTTGTTTTTGAGACGGAGTTTCGCTCTTGTTGCCCAGGCTGGAGTACAATGGCGCGATCTAGGCTCACCACAACCTCTGCCTCCCGGGTTCAAGCGATTCTCCTGCATCATCCTCCCGAGTAGCTGGGATGACAGGCATGCGCCACCATGCCCGGCTAATTTTGTATTTTTAGTAGAGACGGGGGTTTCTCATGTTGGTCAGGCTAGTCTCGAACTCCCGACCTCCGGTGATCCGCCCGCCTCGGCCTCCCAAAGTGCTGGGATTATAGGCGTGAGCCACCGCGCCCAGCCGCGCCCGGTTTTTGTTGTTGTTTTTGTTTCTAAAAACAGCGTCTCGCTCTGTGGCCCAGGCAGGGGTGCAGTGGCGCGATCTCAGCTCACTGCAGCCTGGAACTCCTGGGGTCAAGCGGTCTTCCCACCTAAGCCTCTCCGTGCTGGGACTCCGGACGCGCTCCACCTCACGCAGCCGTATTCCTGCTTTCAAAGCAGATGGAAGAGGTGCGCCAGGACCCCCAGTTCTTGGAAACAGACCTCTCCAGTTACCTGTTGTTTCCTCTTCACGAAGAGTGCATGTAACAGTAAGACACAACTGTTTCATATTATACGTAAAGAGTTCATGCCAAAGGTTATAGACAGTCACATGCTAAAACTAGGCTACACTTTGAAGAATCACCGCTCAAGTTCTGGAAAAAAGAGGTGACTGTTGAACAACACTGTGAGGGTAATCGATGCCACTGAAATATACACTTAAATTGATTAAAGTGGCGAATTTTATCTGGCATATATTACCACCATTTTTAGAAATGTTTTTTGGCAGGTGAAGAAAAGCAAGGCTCCAGGAGGCCCTGCGCACCGGTCTACGCCCACTAACTCACCCGCCCCCTGCGCCGCGTCTCCCCTCTCAATTTCAGTCGCCCATTGATAAAAACGAGGTGGCTATGTGAGATGGCCTTCAGCGGTCTTTCCAGCTCCACGGTTTTACAGTGTGGAGCGGGGAAAGAAAAACTCTAAGGTCCTCGCTGCAAAGCAACCATCAGAGCTCCGCCGCGCCGTGCCGCTCCTCTCCGCCCCGTGGTCCGGGTGTCACCGCCCGCAGGGGCGCAAGGGCCGCAGCACGCGTGCGCAGTGGGCACCAAGAGCGCTGCGTCGACCGCGCCGCGCCGGCCCTCCGCCGCCGCGCCCGCCTACAAGGCCCTGAGGGAGACTGCGGAGGGTGAGTGCGCGGTGGGCTCGGCTGACCGTTGGCCCTGCGGCCGGCGCCCTAGGCTACCTCCCTTCGCCTCCCCGCGCCTCCCCGCGCCTCCCCGCCTCCCCGCCTCCCCGCCTCCTCGGCTCTGGTTCCAACACCCCAGCGCCAAGCCGGGGAGGCGGGGAGGACTTCTTAAGTGTGCCGCTCGGGAGCCTCCCGCTCGTCCCGCCCCGAGGGGCGTGAGGAGGGGAGGGGCTGCGGACTTCGGACTCGGGCCTGGAGACCGCCTCCTACCCAGAGCCGGAGCCCGCAACCCGCTCAGGCGGCGACGGAGCCATGTCGCCGCTGCTGGGGCTCCGGTCCGAGCTGCAGGACACCTGCACCTCGCTGGGACTGATGCTGTCGGTGGTGCTGCTCATGGGGCTGGCCCGCGTAGTCGCCCGGCAGCAGCTGCACAGGCCGGTGGCCCACGCCTTCGTCCTGGAGTTTCTAGCCACCTTCCAGCTCTGCTGCTGCACCCACGAGCTGCAACTGCTGAGCGAACAGCACCCCGCGCACCCCACCTGGACGCTGACGCTCGTCTACTTCTTCTCGCTTGTGCATGGCCTGACTCTGGTGGGCACGTCCAGCAACCCGTGCGGCGTGATGATGCAGATGATGCTGGGGGGCATGTCCCCCGAGACGGGTGCGGTGAGGCTATTGGCTCAGCTGGTTAGTGCCCTGTGCAGCAGGTACTGCACAAGCGCCTTGTGGAGCTTGGGTCTGACCCAGTATCACGTCAGCGAGAGGAGCTTCGCTTGCAAGAATCCCATCCGAGTCGACTTGCTCAAAGCGGTCATCACAGAGGCCGTCTGCTCCTTTCTCTTCCACAGCGCTCTGCTGCACTTCCAGGAAGTCCGAACCAAGCTTCGTATCCACCTGCTGGCTGCACTCATCACCTTTTTGGTCTATGCAGGTTTGTCATTCTCACCAAATACTTGGCACTTCCAGAGCCTCTATGACATGAGGCTGTAAGTTCTTTACTAAAATACATTTGAAACCGTCTATCCCGCTATGATGTAAATGCTGGTATCCCCGTTATTCTAACCATTTTGCAGCCCGTTCTTAACCAGTAGGGCCGACACGTAGAGCCTTCATGCAGTGCTGCTTTGAACACCCAGAGAAAGGAGCCACCTCTGTGCTGAAACTGAGATACTGTGAGATATTGCCAAGGGTTCAGATATCCTACAAAGGGATTGTTTTAATGGTAGAAAGGAAAGATAACTTATTAACTGCCTCTTTCTTCATGCCAAGGTGGTATAGATCGTTTCGGATACTCTTACTGAAAAATGATCCTGGCTTTACAAAGTTCCTTTCGATTTAAAGCACAAGGCACATGATTGGTTAGTATAAGAGCGGAGGGTAGAAATTTTGTAGTTCCATTTTAGTCCTATAAATGATTTAAAGTCATTTCTTATTTCCTTAATAATTCATTTTGAGTTATGAAATTTCTTATTTCCTTAATAATTCATTTTGAGTTATACATGAACTTTTAAGTGACCTATTAAGAAAAATGTTTAAATGATAACTTGCTTCAAATTAAAGATGCTTTTTAAAATATAACTCTTGAGAAATCTGTTGATTTCTTTTAAACCATTTGTTTACTTTGACAGATCTCAGATGCAGTGGGCAATCTAGTCCTAAGTGGGAGGAGGAAATCCAAAACACAAGTATTTAATGATGAAATGTGTCATTTTAAATGATTACAACAGAATATCTTTATTGGGACTACATCTAAATTATAAAAGACTGTGGAGGCAGAAATAACAACAAAGGAAATTTGTGGTAATAATCTTCTGCCCATTAAAAGTGAAACAATGACTAGAAGCAAACTTCAAGATAAGGACTCCTAAACACGTACTTGACCTTCTAGGGTAAAAATGAAAGCCTTCAGCCGGGCGCGGTGGCTCACGCCTGTAATCCCAGCACTTTGGGAGACCGAGGTGGGTGGATCACCTGAGGTCAGGAGTTTGAGACCAGCCTCGCCAACATGGTGAAACCCCGTCTCTACTAAAAATACAAAAAAAATTTAGCCAGGCATGGTGGTGGGCGCCTGTAATCTCAGCTACTCGGGAATCTGAGGCGGGAGAATTGCTGGAACCCGGGAGGCGGAGGTTGCAGTGAGCTGAGATCGCGCCATTTTACTCCAGCCCAGGCGACAACAGTGAGACTCTGTCTCAAAAAAAAGAAAGAAAGCAAGCCTTCCCAATCAATTTCCCCTTCTTTAGGTCTAGTACCACTTTTTAAGTAGACATAAATGGAAATAAGTGGTATAGAAGAGTGAAGGGGGCCGGGCACGGTGGCTCACACCTGTCATCCCAACACTTTGGGAGGCCAAGGCAGGTGGATCGCTTGAGCCCAGGCGTTCGAGACTAGCCTGGGCAACATAAGAGAAATCCCATCTCTCCAAAAAATACAAAAATTAGCCGGGCGTGCTGGTGCGCACTTGTAGTCCCAACTACTTGGGAGGCTAAGGTGGGAGGATCACCCAAGTCCAGGAGGTTGAGATTGTGGTGAGCTGTGATAGTGCCACTGCACTCCAGCCTGGGTTATAGAGACCCTGTCTGTCTCAAAAGAAAAAAAAAAAGAAAAAGAGAAAAAGAGTGACAAGTACAGGCATATTTGAGGGATTGGTGGGTAGTTGCTTATTTATTGAAGTTTTAGATTTTAGCTAAAGCAGAAACATCCCCTGTATATGAACAGAATTGTCACTGCAAAAAGAGTTATGCTATGGTTTAGCTCTTTATTTCTACAATTAAAAGCAGTAAAAACTTAAAAAAGAATTTTTACATCAATAGAACATTAACTACAGTTGGATTTTTCAATACCTATGTTCCTCTTCCCTCTCTTGATTAACCTGAAGTTGATATTCTTTCTGTCTACTTTTAATACATATTTATGATTCCATAGATAATACTGTATATATTAGCCATTCCCTATTTTATCAGTGACAAAAAATTTGAGAGAAGAGACACAGATAATACTTGGAGTTATAGATCCAGTCATAGATATAAGGAAAGTTATTAGAAGTATCTATAAAATATCAACAGATCAAAAACACTGCCCTTTTTTTCTTGAAATGAGGGTACTAATTGATGGGGGAGAGGGAGAGTATAAAGGGAACACTAGAGCAGTGTTTCTCTCTGTATTAAAATCACCTGGGGAGCTCTTTAAACGTCCTTGTTCTGGGCCCACAGATTAAAATCCAATTGCTCTGGCAAGGGGCCTAGGCAGCGGTGTATTGTAAAGCTTCACAGGTGATCCCATTATGAAACCAAGGTAAAGAAGCACTGCTTTAGGAGTCTAGACCTGCACTGTGCAATTCAGTAGCCACTAGCTGCATGTGGCTGTTTACACTTAAATTAACTGAAATTAGATTCAGAGTAGCCACATTTCAAGTGGTCAGTTGTCAAATTGTGCTGTAGCTAGTGGGTACAGGATTGGACAGTGCTAGAGTCTGTTTGCATGGGTAGAACAAAATAGACAATTGTTGATTACTATTAGTTACAGAAATTTATAATGCAGTATGATCTTCCCTTTGTTTGTTTTCTGCCAATATAAGGGAGATAAGAATATTCAGTTGTCAGCTGTTATAGGCCAAGCATTTTGCAAGGAAATTTATGAGAGTTATCTTAATTAATTCTTACAACAACCCATCGGCCGGGCGCGGTGGCTCACGCCTGTAATCCCAGCACTTTGGGAGGCCGAGGCGGGCAGATCACGAGGTCAGGTGATCGAGACTATCCTGGCTAACACGGTGAAACCCCGTCTCTACTAAAAAATACAAAAAAATTAGCCAGGCATGGTGGCGGGTGCCTGTAGTCCCAGCTACTGGGGAGGCTGAGGCAGGAGAATGGCATGAACCCGGGAGGCAGAGCTTGCAGTGAGCCGAGATCGAGTCATTGCACTCCAGCCTGGGAGACAGAGCGAGAGAGCGAGACTCCGTCTCAAAAAAAAACAAAAACAAAAAAAAACAACCCATCGATGAATATATTCTTCCCATTTTAAGTAAAGTAAGTGAGGCCCAGAAAAGTGAAATGACTTATCTAAGCTTACATAACTAGACTGTGTTAGAACTATGGTTCCAACTGGCACTAAAGCTCATACGGATTCATTATCAGCATTTCCACAGTGTGCTCCTCAAAAGTTAACAAAACTATACACAATTGAATATATTCAGCCATAAAAAGGAATGAAGTTATGATGTATACTACAACATGAATGAACCTCAAAAACAATATGCCAAGCAAAATAAGCCAGACACAAAAAGACAAATACTGTATGGCTCTACATATACAAAATATCTAGATTAGGCAACTTCATAGAGACAGAAAGTAGAATAGAGTTACCAGGGACTGTGGGGAGGAGGGAGGAATGGGGACTTATTGTTTAATGGGTACAAAGTTTCTGTTTATGTTATGAAAACCTTTGGAAATGGTGCTGCTGGTGAAACAGCATGGTGAATGTAACACCAATGACTTATACACTTAAAAATGGCTAAAATGGCATACTTTATGGTATATATATATTTCACCATAATTTATACAATTTTTAAGTTACAAAATGATGTTGTTGCCAAATAAATTTGGCAGACACTGGATTAAACAGGTTTTCTAATTTTAAGACTTCATAGAGCCTTTACTATGCTTCTAAGTATTGTGAAACTCCAAGAGGAGGATTTGGAGCACAGTTTTTCAAACTTACGAGATCCTCTTGTCTAGGAGTGTGTAGCAGAAGAGAACATACTTTGGGAAATGCTGCACTAAGTCCCATCTCTCCCTTTTATTTTCTATGGCTATAAGTCATAACTTTGGAACAGAGTTGTTACAAATAGGACTGTCTTGGGACAGTTGGCTAAGTCAGGCATCATTACAAGTTATTATGATATGTCTTTTTTAAGCTTCTAGGATACTACAAGTACAGATTTGACAAAGGTGCACCTTGGGAGATTTCTTTAATCACTTGCATTTTGAGGGCACTGAGAAGTCACCAATACAGGGTACATCAAAATAACTTATGTATTTTAGGATTACAGAACATAAGCATCCAGCAACATAGCCACAGGCTCCTAAGGATAGCCAGTGACCAAGTGTCTGTGTATTTATTGATTTAGCACCCCAAATTTTGATGGCACATGGAGCCCCAGTTATGTCATTGCCATTTATCGTGTATTAACTGGCTCCCCTAATCGTGTAAAAAAAAAAAAAGCTGTGCGATTTATTAACATATTAGAGCTATAAACTGTTAATCAGATTTCAAGCAAATCTTCCTTACTTTGGGTTCTGGAAGAATTTAGTTCAATGAACAGTTTGAGAGAGAGCTGCATTCATTTTTTATGCATAATTAGATATTGAAAAACACCTGGGCCGGGTGTGGTGGCTCACGCCTGTAATCTCAGCACTTTGGGAGGCCGAAGTGGGTGGATCACCTGAGGTCAGGAGTTTGAGACCAGCCTGACCAACATGGAGAAACCCCACCTCTACTAAAAATACAAAATTAGCTGGGCATGCTTGCGCATGCCTGTAATCCCAGCTACTCAGGAGGCAGAGACAGGAGAATCGCTTGAACCTGGGAGGCAGAGGTTGCAGTGAGCTGAGGTCGTGCCATTGCACTCCAGCCTGGGCAACAAGAGCAAAACTCCATCTCAAAAAAAGAAAAAAAGAAAGAAAAACATCTGTTATTTTACACGTCAGTTGTCTTTATTACCACATACTGCTCATTTCTTTCATAGAATTTTAAATTATATTGTTTTCTGACACAATGCCTGTTTTCCTCTACCAGATGACAAGCTTTGAGTCTGTAGACCACATTTGTTTTATTTGTCATAACATATATCAAGATCTTAGCATAGGACCTGGTACAAAGTAAATGTATTTTTAGAATAAGTGAACGAACTAGCAAATAGTCTGTTTACTCTAAAAAACTGTACAGGAAGAAATAATATGGCCGGGCAGGATGGCTCACGCCTGTAATCCCAGCACTTTGGGAGGCAGAGGCAGGCGGATCACCTGAGGTCGGGAGTTCGAGACCAGCCTGACCAACATGGAGAAACCCTGTCTCTACTAAAAATACAAAATTAGCTGGGTATGGTGGTGGGCACCTGTAATCCCAGCTACTTGGGAGGCTGAGGCAGGAGAATCGCTTGAACCCGGGAGGTGGAGGTGGGAGGATCCCCTGAGCCCTGGAGGCGGAGGTTGCTGTGAGCCAAGATCATGCCACTGCACTTCAGCCTGAGCAACAGAGCAAGACTCAGTGTCAAAAAAAAAAGAGAGAAGGGAACATATGTTCTTTTTAAATAGGAGCTATTATCAATTTACAAATGAAAAACACCTTCAAAGGTCCAAAATTTATTTTGTTATGCCAGTATAATATAGTGGTTAAGGCCAGGTGTAGTGGTTCATGCCTATAATCCCAGCACTTTGGGAGACGGAGGCGGGCGGATCACCTGAGTTCAGGAGTTCAAGACCAGCCTGTTGATTCATAATCTGAATCAACATGACCACCCACAGCCTATTCATTATCGTCACTACTCTACTATTCTTTAACCAATTCAACGCCAACATGGTAAAGCCCCATCTCTCCTAAAAATACAAAAATGAGCCTGGCATGGTGGCGGGCGCCTGTAATCCCAGCTGCTTGGGAGGCTGAGGCAGTAGAATTGCTTGAACCTGGGAGGCGGAGGTTGCAGCGAGCTGATATCACACCAGTGCACTCCAGCCTGGGCAACAGAGCGAGACTATGTCTCAATTAAAAAAAAAAAATATATATATATATGTAAATATATATGTGTAAATATATGTGTAAATATATATGTGTAAATATATATGTAAATATATATGTAAATATATATATATATATATATATATATGTATGTAATGGTTAAGGCCAGGTATGGTGGCTCATGTCTGTAATCCCAGGACCGGGACGTCAAGACAGGAGGACTGCATGAGGCCAGCAGTTTGAGACCAGTCTGGGCAACATAGCAAGACCCTGTCTCTACAAAAAAATTTTAAAATTAGCCAGGTATGGTGGTGCACGCCTGTAGTCTTAGCTACTTAAGAGGCTGAGACAGTAAGACTGCTTGAGCCCTGAAGTTTGAGGCTGTATTGAGCCATGATTTCATCACTGCATTCCAGCCTGGGTGAAAGAGTGAGATCTTGTTTCAATTTAAAAAAAAAAAGACTGTGCCCTTAGGCTGAATACTTATTTTGGGCCTCACTTTCCTCATCTCTAAAATGAAGAAATTTCATAAGACTAGTATGAGGAATAATAATTCAAGTTTGTAGCATAGTACCTGCCATACACGAAGTACTTGGGAAATAATTATTATTTATTATTATTATTTCCCTCTATATTTCTAACAGGCTTCCAGTATAATTTGATCATTTTTGCATATAATTTGATCAGTTTTATTGCTCACAACTCCTTTTGGGATAAATTCAGGAAAATGTAAGTTGTAACTTTTATAACGAAATTTGTCCATTGAAAATAAGTAAAGATTTTGGTACAAATCCCTAGGTGTTCCCCACAACATCTGAGAACAGTCTAATGTCATTCTTCCAGGTTTGTAAGAATAACCACTAATTTGAAAACAGGCCAGGCGCAGTGGCTCATGTCTGTAATCCCAGCACTTTGGGAGGCCAAGGTGGGCGGATCGCTTGAGGCCAGGAGTTCGAGACCAGCCTGGCCAAAATGGCGAAACCCAGTCTCTACTTAAAATACAAAAATTAGCTGGGCATGGTGGCTCGCGCCTGTAGTCTCAGCTACTCAGGAAGCTGAGGCATGAGAATCGCTTGAACCCAGGAGGTGGAGGTTGCAGTGAGCTGAGATTGCACCACTGCACTCCAGCCTGGATGACAGAGTGAGAATCTCTCAAGAAAAGAAAACAGCTAGCTAGCTAGCTTAGTTAGTAACATTAGCATATCAGCAGAATACAAACCAGAAATGAAAAGTGGAGTTTGGAGATGCAAACTTTGAAATTATTTGCCCAGTAATGTCCGGGAGTAGAGATTGAATTTGGGGAAAACAAGCAGGCTTGTCATTAGAGAGGTATTTTCTTTTTTTCTTTTTTCTTTTGAGATGGCGTCTCGCTCTGTCACCCAGGCTGGAGTGCAGTGGCGCGATCTCGGCTCACTGCAACCTCCGACCCCCAGGTTCAAGCGATTCTCCTGCCTCAGCCTCCCGAGTAGCTGGGATCATAGGCGCGCTGTAATTTTTGTACTTTTAGTAGAGATGGGGTTTCACCATCTTGGCCAGGCTGGTCTTGAACTCCTGACCTTGTGATCCACCCACCTTGGCCTCCCAAAGTGCTGGGATTACAGGCGTGAGCCACCACGTCTGGCCTAGAGAGGTATTTTCAACTCCTGACAATGATATTTTATCAGAGCTCATCAGGGTATGATAACACTCCTTTTGCTTTGCTTACGTGCTCATTAAAATGGGTTCTCTGGAGAGGGAAGACAAATATTCCAGTTACTAGAAAGCTAGCTTCCACTCTAAATGAATAAATAGACCTTCCAGCTTCTACATGGGTGTTATGTGATATTTAACTAGTATTCTTCTGTCACAGAGAATTTTATTCCCTTTAGGAATATTGAGAAACTTTAGTGCCTAAAATTGCCAGATTTGAGACTTAGCCTCTGGCTGTGGTAATTTCACCAAATCCATGCTGTCCTCTGACTCTTGGCAGTGGACTAGCTGGATCTCCCGGTTATACCTCTTCTTCAACATGCATGATTGTCATCTCCCCTTCAAATGTCAATAAATAGTAACTTGTTTTTTGAAGCCATCTTTTGATAGTTCCATGCCTGATGATTCTTTAAAAAATAATTCATTTTTAATTACACAATACGTGATATGTTCTCTATGTAAAAAATTCAAAGACTAAAGTGCCTTTTGACTGCCATCCTCCATGCCTCCATGCCTGTTTCCTTTCCTTCCCTGTCTACTCTTCCTTCCACGGTAATCCTTGTCTCTGATGTTTGTGTTACAACCTTCCAAACTGGTTGTTTTTGTTGTTGTTTTTTGGGTTTTTCTTGAGATGGAGTCTTGCTCTGTCGCCCAGGCTGGAGCACAGTGGTGCAATCTTGGCTCACTGCACCCTCTGTCTCGCAGGTTCAAATGATTATCCTGCCTCAGCCTCCTGAGTAGCTGGGATTAAAGGTGTCTGCCACCACACCTGGCTAATTATTTTTTTTTTGTTTGAGATGGAGTTTCACTCTTGTTGCCCAGACTGGAGTGCAATGGCACGATCTAGGCTCACTGCAACCTCTGCCTCCCAGGTTCAAGCGATTCTCCTGCCTCAGCCTCCCGAGTAGCTGGGATTACAGGCATGCAGCACCACGCCTGGTTAATTTTGTATTTTTAGTAGAGACAGGGTTTCTCCATGTTGGTCAGGCTGGTCTTGAACTCCCAGCCTCAGGTGATGTGCCCGCCTCAGCCTCCCAAAGTGCTGGGATTACAGGCGTGAGCCACCATGCCTGGCCACACCTGGCTAATTTTTTTTTTCTTTTTGCCCCCGGAGTAGCTGGGATTATAGGCACCTGCCACCACAGCCGGCTAATTTTTCTTTATTAATTATTTTTTTAATTATACTTTAAGATCTAGGGTACATGTGCACAACGTGCAGGTTTGTTACATAGGTATACATGTGCCATGTTGGTTTGCTGCACCCATTAACTCATGATTTACATTAGGTATTTCTCCTAATACTATCCCTCCCCCAGCCCCCCACCCCATGACAGGCCCCACACCTGGCTACTTTTTGTATTTTTAGTAGGGGTTTCACCATGTTGCCCAGGCTGGTCTTGAACTGCTGACCTCAAATGATCCACCAGCCTCGGCCTCCCAAAGTGCTGGGATTATAGGCGTGAGGCACCATGCCCAGCCCCAAACTGTGTTTTTATTTTTATTTTTTTGAGACAGGGCTTCACTCTGTCACCCAGGCTGGAGCGCAGTGGTGCAATCAAAACCTCCGCCTCCCCGGCTCACAAGATCCTCCCACCTCAGCCTCCCGAGTAGCTGGGACCACAAGTACATGCCACCATACCCAGGCAATTTTTGTATTTTTTGTAGAGATGGGGGTTTTGCTATGTTGCCCAGGCTAGTCTTGAACTCCTGGACTCAACCAATCCGCCCATCTCAGCCTCCCAAAGTGCTGGGATTACAGGAATGAGCCATCAAACCCAGGCCCAAACTCTTTTCATGTGCATTTACTATACATATAGATAAAACCCTACAGGAATGATATATTATTACTGTTATTTACTTATTTATTTATTTTGAGACTGAGACTTGCTCTGTTGCCCAGGCTGGAGTACAGTGGCGTGATCTTGGCTCACTGCAACCTCTGCCTCCTGGGTACAAGCAGTTCTCCTGCCTGAGCCTTCCGAGTAGCTGGGACTACAGGTGCACGCCACCATGCCCAGCTATTTTTTTTTTTTTTTTGTATTTTAGTAGAGGTGGGGTTTTACCATGTTGCCCAGGCTGGTTGCGAACTCCTGAGCTCAGGCGATACACCCACCTCGCCCTCCTAAAGTGCTGGGATTACAGGTGTGAGCCACTGCGCCCAGCCAGGAATGACATATTATTATATATATTATTGTATATGCGTATACTTGTGTTAACATTAAAAAGTATCATACCTTACTCAGCAGGCTTTATTCCTGATAGCCAAGAGCCGGAAACAACTATCTGGATGTCCTTCAAGGGGCAAGTAGTTAAACAAATAGTTGGGGTAGTTGTGGAATGCAGAGAAGTGTTTGGAGATATATATTGGAGGAAGAAAGGGCAAGACACAGTCACAGGTCATTTATGACATGGAAGATACAGGATGAGGAAACAATTTGCTTTTTTTGGTGGTAGTTGTTCAACGATACATCTTGTATATCTACCTATGTTAGTAAAGAGATTTCTCTCATTATTTCAAAACACTGCATGATATTCCAAAGTAATAGTAAATTTGTTTAGGGCTGTTTTCCTATGAATGGACATTTAGGTTTTTCCTAGTTCTTTGCTACAATAACCAATCTTGTAGGGCCGGGTGCGGTGGCTCACGCCTGTAATCCCAGCACTTTGGGAGGCCGAGGCGGGCGGATCACGAGGTCAGGAGATCGAGACCATCCCGGCTAAAACGGTGAAACCCCGTCTCTACTAAAAATACAAAAAATTAGCCGGGCGTGGTGGCGGGCGCCTGTAGTCCCAGCTACTCGGGAGGCTGAGGCAGGAGAATGGTGTGAACCCGGGAGGTGGAGCTTGCAGTGAGCCGAGATCATGCCACTGCACTCCAGCCTGGGCGACAGAGCGAGACTCCGTCTCAAAAAAAAAAAAAAAAAATCTTGTATATGTCTTCTCATACACAAATACCAGTGTTTCTCTAGGACAGTAATTCTGAACTTAGGGACAGTTTTCCCCCCAGGGGACATTTTTGGTTGTTACGATGTGGGGAGAGGGAATAGGCCACTGCCATCTGAGTAGAGGCCAGGGATGCTGCTAAGCATGCTGCGGTGCACAGGACAGCTCACAACAAAGAATTATCCAGTAAGACATTAAAGCCAATGCCATGTTTTTAGTTTTTGTTAACACAGAACCCACACCTGACATGGATTTCTGTATCAGTTAACTATTGCTGTGTAACACACCATTCAAAACTTTTTTTTTTTTTTTTTTTTTTGAGACAGGATCTCACTCTGTCACCCAGGCTGGAGAGCGGTGGCACAATCTCGACTCACTGCAGCCTCAACCTCTGCAGGCTCAGTTTATTCTCCTGCCTTAGCCTCCCAAGTAGCTGGGACCACAGGCATGTGGCACCACAACCAGCTAATTTTTGTATTTCTTATAGAAACGGGGTTTTGCTATGTTGCCTGAGCTCATTACAAACTCCTGGGCTCAAGTGATCCACCCGCTTCAGCCTTCCAAGGTGTTAGGATTACAGGCATGAGCCACCATGCCTGGCCCCAAAACTGAGAATAACTTATTTTTCATGATTCTGTGGGTTATAGATGGGCAGTTCCTCTGAGATCTCTCATATAGCTGCATTCAGCTGACCAGTGGTGAGGCTGGAAAGCCCAAGGTAGCCTCACTCATATGTCTGGCAGTTGTCAGCTGTCATCTAAGATGCCTCAGTTCTCTTCCGTGTGGCCTTTCATCCTCCAGCAACCTAGACCAGCAAACTTACATGGTCAGGGCATTCTTCCAAGAGAGCAAAAAGTGGAAGCTGATGGGTTTATTGAGATGTGAACCTAGAATTCACACAGCATCACTCCTGTTACATTCAGAATTCCCATAGCCCTACTCTGCTGCATTCTATCAACACAAGTTGCAAAGCCAGCTCATTTTTAAGAGAGGGAAAGTAGACAACGTCTTGCTGGGAGAAGCAGCTACCACTAAGTCACACTGATCAGAACTGCTGTGTGAGGATGAGAAGATTAGGAAGTGAAGTCGTTTGAGTTTTAGGATGGCATAAGACTGATCAGTGGTGTTCATCTTAGATCTAGTGGAAAATCTTCAGTATACCATGGCCTTGAATACTGAAGTAAACTAAGTGAGGGTAATGATTCAGTCCATTTTTATCAATACATGCCTAAAAGTCACAGGTCATTTATATCATCATAGGTCATATTACATTATATTGTAAATGTCTGTGTGAGTCTTTATCTTTCTGCCCATGGTATCTAGTACACAGGAACTCAATAAGTTTTTGTGTAATCAAACTGAAATGACTAGCTGCCAACCAGACAATTCTGTTCACCCTTAGCAGTGGCAGGTTTAACATTCCAGGATTTGACTGTTCAAGAATGATTCCAAAGGTCTATGATATCATTTATAATTGCTGAGTCATGAATGTGAATCATGCTGTGAGGCTGGTACACTAGAAAAAACTCTTAGCTATTGAGTGAGCTTAGTTCATTGCTAAATATCTTCATCTCAACACAGCTTCATTGTTCTCGGCCTATTCAAGTGTGAAATCTCAGTAGTGAAATCTTATGAAAGGGCCACTTAATTTCCATGAAAACAGGCTACAATGGTGCATGTCAATAATAAAACTTCTGAAGATCTCAGGATCTATCTCTGTGGCTAAGTAAAAGAGGCAGAGTTGTGTGCCTAAGCTTCCACTTGGAAAAACTGCTGAAAATGTCACTGTCTGAGGGATGCTCTTAGGCTGGACTTTGAAAAGCGAAGACACAGCTCTGTGGAGTACTGCTGGACAGGCATCCAGCCTCCTCTTCCATTCCGCACTTGTGTGGCCAGACTATAGACTCCTAGCCCCATGCCAGAGAAATACCCTGGGTGCAGAGCTGGAACACAAATCCTAAAAAGTAGCCAACAGTTATAATTTGTGCTTATCTCTCATGACTACTCACAGTCCCTTCTTAAGGGCTCTGTTGACAAGTAAAAATAGAACCAATGATAAAGCTTTGGTCTATTGGTCCATTTTACCTTTTCAATACAAAGTTATGCTTGTACTCAAGAGGATCTTGGGTCATTGTATCTATTTAACTGTATTTTCATTTTACTTTTATTATTATTCATTCATTTAAATTGACAAATGTTCAGGGCAGCCAAATCTATTTTATAAAACGGTAGGAATAATAATAGAGCACATTAACTTTCAGTGTCCATTTTATAGTCTATAGGAAAAGCACTGGGTTCAAACTTTAATGTCCTCTGTCTTTTTTTTTATAGTAAGTGGCATATTATGATTTATGATTATAGTCTAAAATATGCCAGGTGATTCTGCAAAGGAAGATCACAGACTAAGAATACCTAAAATAAAAGTCACATTTAGTAACCATTTATTTCCAGTTACAAGGAAATGGAAGATAAATCATTTGAAATCACTCTGCTTAAAATCTGTTACAGGAGGAAGTCTAACAGGAGCTGTATTTAATCCAGCTTTGGCACTTTCGCTACATTTCATGTGTTTTGATGAAGCATTCCCTCAGTTTTTTATAGTATACTGGCTGGCTCCTTCTTTAGGTAAGCGTATTTTTATTTAATATGTCTGAAAGATTAGGGTATTTTAAAATATGATATGTGTATATCATTGTAACATGTCAATTTCCAAAGCCACAGCAGGCACAAAACAGAAAATGAAAAAGGTAGCTAACATGCCTGAAATAATACTTTGTGTAGTATCCTTTAAAACTGTTAAAGGTAGTCAGTTTCAGATATGCTATCACTTTAAGAAACCTTAGATCTGAGCACCAAAAAAGCAACGAGTGCTTACTTCCCTTCAAAAATAATCTTTTTTTTTTTTGCTAAAGAAATTTGTTTTTTCACATTTGTGAGCTCCAGATAAAGTATCATTTAGTTCATTTGACTCATTTTGCAGAACAGCATCTCATGAAACAATGAATACCTGTATTAAGTATAGTTTAAAAATTATCCACATTACATTCCTGTTATTTTTATTGTTTTTGTTTTGTTTTTTTTCGAGACAGGGTCTCTCTTTGTCACCCAGGCTTGAGGGCAGCGGCATGATCATAGCCATAGCTCACTGTGCTTGAACTCCTGGGCACAAGCAATCCTCCTGCCTTAGCCTCCTGAGTAGCTGGGATGACAGGCATGTGCCACCACACCCGGCTAATTTTTGTATATTTTGTAGAGATGAGGTCTCGCTATGTTGCTCAGGCTACATTCCAGTTACTTCTATTTAGATCAGATATATAAACTCTTTATAAAGATGGGTCAAATAACACACAAAATTATACAATATACAAAAAATTATTATGCATTTCTTTTGCATTACGTATATAAAGTTATCAGCATTTATTGATTTTGTTTAGTCATCTGTTTTAAGCCTGATTATAACTCATAACTGTAAGTGAATATGAAGATGCTTGGCCCTCCATTAATTCACTCTTCTTTTTATCCAGTTAGCATATTGTTCCTTGTTAGTCATTTTCTTTAAAACACACACACACATACACAGAAGGTAACACAGAAGGGAAGTGCCATAACAGGTTTGAATAGTCAATCACACTTTACTCTTCCTGTTTACCTTCCATTCCTCTATCTCACATTAATGTTATTGTTATGCTCAATATCATATTGTTATGCTCAATATTGTTATGCTCAATAATATCTATAGGCCTAAACATGAAGAATATCAGAGAAAAACTGGTTTTAAATGCTAGTAATATAACTTTTGGTCAGTTCTACAGAGTGCTAGTATTTTCCGATAACTTCTTTAAAGAAAAATTTTCTCTGTTTTTAGGCCGGGCGCAGTGGCTCACGCCTGTAATCCCAGTACTTTGGGAGGCCGAGGCAGGCAGATCATGAGGTCAGGGGATTGAGACCATCCTGGCTAACATGGTGAAACCCCGTCTCTACTAAAAATACAAAAAATTAGCTGGTCGTGGTGGCGGGCACCTGTAGTCCCAGCTACTTGGGAGGCTGAGGCAAGAGAATGGTGGGAACCTAGGAGGCGGAGCTTGCAGTGAGCTGAGATCGCACCACTGCACTCCAGCTTGGGCGACAGAGCGAGACTCCATCTCAAAAAATCCGTTTTTAAATTTTAAAGTTAAAAAGGTCACTAATGTAAAGAAGTTAAGAAGTTAACAAACAAGGTCACTAGTTGGGCAGGCCTACAGGTAGTTTTTATATGAAAAAATTCCCCCAGTATGTCTGGAGACTAACATATATTAACATGATTTATTTGTTAGCGTGCTCCAACTACTATTGTAACAGTAGGCTAAGGCAAAGGTCCCCAAACCCCAGGCTGCAGACCAGTATAGTCCGTGGCCTGTTAGTAACCAGGCCGCACAGCAGGAGGTGAGTGGCAATCAAGCTTACAAAGCTCCGTCTCCTGTCAGATCAGCGGTGGCATTAGATTCTCATAGGAACGTGAACCTTACTGTGAACTCAGCATGTGAGCAATCTAGGTTACACACTCCTTATGAGAATCTAACTAATGCCTGATGATCCAAGGTGGAACAGTTCCATCCCAAAACCATGCCCCCAGTCCATGGAAAAACTGTCTTCCAGGAAACCGGTCCCTGGTGCTAAAAAGGTTGAGGATCTCTGTGTTAAGGAATTATTTCATCCATTACTTGAAAGAACATTAAAAAGTAGCCAGGTAGGCTGGGTGCGGTGGCTCATGCCTGTAATCCCAGCACTTTGGGAGGCCGAGGTGCGTGGATCACCTCAAGTCAGGAGTTTGAGACCAGCCTGGCCAACTCTACTAAAAATACAAAAATTAGCTGGGTGTGATGATGGGTGCCTGTAATCCCAGCTACTCAGGAGGCTGAGGCAGGAGATTCACCTGAACTCAGGAGGTGGAGGTTGCAGTGAGCCGAGATCGCACTACTGCACTCTAGCCTGGGCGACAGAGCGAGTCTCAAAAAAAAAAAAAAAAAAAAAAAAAAAGCACAGTGGCACATGCCTGTAGTCCCAGCTACTTGGGAGGCTGAGATAGAACTGCTTGAGGCCAGGAGTTCAAGGCCACCTTGGGCAACATAGCAAAACCACATCTAAAAAATAAATTTTTTTAAAAAGGGTCTTTATGGAAGAATTTTAAAAAGGAATCTGAAGTAATGACAATCTCTGTAAAAGGACCTTGATTTTTTCTTAGAACACATTTTCCAGCCAAAGCAGCACTTAATGACTTCCTGGAAGAACATACTAGAAGAAAAGCCTCACGATAGATAAAAAAGGAATGCTAAATCTTCTCCCTTTACAGAGCAGAAAGTGTGATAGGTTGGGGAAAGTGACTATATTCTCTTCATGTTAGTGTGGTACAAACAGGAAGATAACACATTATATGTAGCCAAAACATTTTAAAGAACCACTTACCCCCTAATAATCCGAACATTCCCCCTAACCCCGCCAAAAAAAAGCCGAAATCTCTTACAAATAGAAGTGGAATCAAACTTTTTTTGGTCTGGCTGTGTCACCCAGGCTGGAGTGCAGTGGTGCAATCTTGGCTGCAACCTCTGCCTCGCAGGCGCAAGCGATCCTCCTGTCCCAGCCTCCCAGGTAGCTGGGACTACTGGCGTATGCCCCCACACCCAGCTAAGTTTTGTATTTTTTATAGAAATGGGGTTTCTATAAAACCACACCCAGCTAAGTTTTGTATTTTTTATAGAAACGGGGTTTCTATGTTGCTCAGGCTGGTCTCGAACTCCTGGGCTCAGGTGATCTGCCCGCCTTGGCCTGACAAAGTGCTGAGATTATAGGTGTGAGCCACCATACTTGGCTGAGATCAAACATTTTCGAATTCATATGATACTTTTTATATTTAGCTTGTTGAAAATATGTATTCCAAGATTCTCAGTTGGTCTAAGGACCCCTACCTTTTAAAATAGACCCAACATAAAATATTTACTGTAGTTTTGGTTTGAAGAGGCATGTTTCTATATTTCTTTCTGAGGTTTATGAATGAGAATAAAGGCATCCTTCAGTATATGTAGATAAAAGACATGTATGTGAATAAATGATGATTTTTAGAATACTGCATTCCAGCCAGCCATTGAATTTTGTCATATATTGAAGTTACCTTCCCACTGGAAAAAAAATTGGCTCCAAATGAAATAAAGACATAAAGCGACACATTATATAACTCTGAAAAGAATGGGAAAAAATAAATTATAAATTAAAAGAATCATTCAAAGAGTTAAGAGATGAGGAGTCCAAAATAAAAATAAAAACAAAAACCCCAAAACAAACACCACTCAACTACCAAAGCTACATTAATTAGGCAGTGCCAGGGTGCCAGGGGAGTGAGACAGAGGAAAGAGTAATCCCAAGGTATCCACCTTCTTTCCTTCTTGACCAAGCAGGAAGCAAACTATTCTTTGGAGTCATAGTCCATATTCTTTCTTGTTTCTCATCACAGCAGAGATAATTATAATTCCTCTAATGGCCCCTGCCATCTTACCAAATTAAAAATTTAGAAATGTGACTATAAGGATGTATATGTGGCCTGGTGTAGTAGTACATGCATGTAGTCTCAGCTACTCGGCAGGCTGAGGTAGGAGAATCACTTGAGCCCAGGAAGTCGAGGCTGCAGTGAGCCGAGATCGTACCACTGCACTCCAGCTTGAGTGATGGGAGTGTGACCCTGTCTCAAAAAAAAAAAAAAAAAGTATATAGAATTCTCTAGTTTATACATTTCATACAATGAAAAGTAGAAAATTCTATTTGCTTCTATGAAACTGCAATTCTATTTTTGGAAAAAGTTTTAAATGTCTTATTTTCTAGTTCTGACTTTATAAAAAATGACAAAAAAATCTGTGGGTCAGTTAACATAGAGGTTGTTTCTGATTTTTTTTTTTTTCATTTAAAGCCTTTGGTTGCCAACAGACTAATCTCTCACAAATATGTTAAGGTATCTAAGTGGTTGCCAAACCTTAAGGTTTTTTGTTGTTGCAAACAAGAGAACATAATTTCAAATGTGCATGTGACAAAACTTGTTTTCAATCTGAATTTAAACTGATCTAGGGCTTTAAGCCTGAATACATTCAGTTTAAGATGAAAAATTAACCACTGCAGATTTACTTTTCAGGATAGTGACTTGAGCCCTTGGCTCACTCTCCTTAGTCCCTATTTCACATTGAAAAATTAACCAAAAGCTACATGCCAGATTTCTCTGTTGTAATTCTCAGAAATGAAGATTACCAATATGTGAATTTTCAAAACATTTTGGGCCGGGTGCAGCAACTTACGCCTGTAATCCTAGCACTTTGGGAGGCCAAGGGGGGTGGATCATGAGTTCGAGACCAGACTGGCCAACATGGTGAAACCCCATCTCTACTAAAAATAAAAAAATTAGCCGAGCATGGTGGCGGGCGCCTGTAATCCCATCTACTCAGGAGGCTGAGGCAGGAGAATCGCTTGAACCTGGCAGGGAGAGGTTGCAGTGAGCCAAGATCACACCACTTCACTCCAGCCTGGGCGAAAGAGCAAAACTCTGTCTCAAAAACAAACAAATAAACAACAATTTTGTATTATATTTCAGATTTAAACTTCCACCATCGACTGAAATTTTGTTTAGATATTTTATTTGCTTGACACATCTCTAAAACCAGTTAATGGTCAGTTAAATAAGGTTGAGATAAAAATGAAAAAACTGTTAATAGTTGAGATTAATGAAAAAAGAGAGACTGGAGAAAGTAACCTAACATTGTTTTTATTTGAACATTCTAAGTGAAAACTCCGAGTGCTTTCAGTTGCTTTATTCTCTAGGTATGTCCCTGGGGCACGGAGGAAAAGGAGAGTGTTACCATTTTAAAGAGGAGAAAATGAAGACCCAAGTCTAGAACTAAAGAGCCAGAACTAAAACTACATCTTTGGATTTAGTTTATCCTTTGAATTCATTGTTTAGATCCTATTGGTTTTACCAAATGCATACTGTGTTTAAGGATTCACAGTTGAAGAAAAAATAATCTGAGAATAATAGATTTAAATCTGATATTAGATTTAAATCTGAGAATATTAGATTTAAATATCTAACATGTTTCACGTAGAATTGATGTAGCCAATTCTTTAAGCATGGCTTTCCAAACATCTAGGTATATAATTGTAATTTTAAAATATACCCACCTAGTGATTATGAACCTCCTTAAAGATTGTTTTTTTATTTTACTGTATTTTGTCTTTCAGGTATATTGTTGATGATTTTGATGTTCAGCTTTTTCCTTCCATGGCTGCATAACAACCATACAATTAATAAAAAGGAATAACTGTTCCAAAGACTCAGACTAACATACAGGACAGTCCAGCTGGATGTGATAAAGATTTTATCACCTCATATGGAAAACACCGGCTGCACTGGATTCATCAGTGTTAACTTCCTTTGAGGAAGCTGCCTTATAGTTTTCATCACTGGGACTTTAAAAAAAAATTACTGTGAAAATGAGGTATTCTGTACTTCTCAGTTAAGACTTGTTCTTTGAGTGATGTATTAAATGCTGCTAGAAAAGCCTCATTACATTAAATATAAATCAATCTTAAATGATAATTGTTAACTTTGATGAAAAACGAGTACAGGATGAGAAGGGAAGTAAAGGTGATAGTAAGATCAACGAATTTGTGTATCAAGTGTCACCCAAATGAACAGAATTTTTAACTATAAAAGTACAAGGCGTCAACTTACAGAACTGGGGAGAGGATACTTTCAGCCACCACCTCACAAAATGATACCATCAAGCAGTGTCATCTTTCAACAGGAAAGTTGCTTTTAGAAGTAGAATATATATTCACTCACATGCAAGCGATTTCCTACATTTTAAGTACATTAAAATCTAATACCTAAAATAGTTTCTCTAAATAGACAATCTCACTAGCTCCAGCCAAGTGGTTATTCTTTAATAGAATATAATAAAACAAAACACCCATACAAAGTCAGGATTTAAGCTTTTCACATTCTCCTTTGAACCAACAGCTAGCTACCTTATGAAGTAGGGAGGGCATGTATTTTTAATCTCCATTTTACAGATAAGGAAACTAAGCCTAGATGGGTTTGCTGCCCTGGCTTAGATCACATAGAGCCAAATACCATCTCTAGTCTTCAACTTCAATCCAAAAATTCTTCTCGGTCACGATTATGACTAAAGGGAAATCAAGGGTTCATAGAAACATTAAATACTTTATAATAACGTTAAAACTTGTTTAGAAATTAACTAGTATTTTTTGAGGTTTAAAGAACCTTCCAGTTTTACTATATTAGAAGGCTTCTTTTATTGTATGCGGTCTAATTTTTATTAAAAGTTCAGGCCATGAAAGGTTAAGTATGTATCCCTTCAAAGGAAATTCCATTATCAGAGTTAGAATTGAAAGTAAAGGCTGGGCACGGTAGCTCACGCCTGTAATCCCAACACTTTGGGAGGCCGAGACAGGCGGATCACGAGGTCAAGAGATTGAGACCATCCTGGCCAAGATGGTGAAACCTCACCTCTACTAAAAATATAAAAATTAGCCAGGCATGGTGGCGTGCACCTGTAGTCGCAGTTGCCAGGTAATTTAAGTGCTGCTTGGTGACCAGCTTGTAGACAGTCACTCTATTTATACCTGCAGACTGAACAGGTGCAGCCTTTTGCCAAGTCTACCCAACAAGGCAGCCAGCTTTGTATTTTAAAAAGCAGAGTTCGGCCGGGCACAGTGGCTCACGCCTGTAATCCCAGCACTTTGGGAGGCTGAGGTGGGTGGATCACAAGGTCAGCGATTCAAGACTAGCCTGGCCAAGATGGTGAAACCCTGTCTCCACTAAAGGTAGAAAAATTAGTCAGGCATGTTGGTGAGCGCCTGTAGTCCCAGCTACTCAGGAGGCTGAGGCAGGAGAATCGCTTGAACCTGGGAGGCGGAGGTTGCAGTGAGCCGAGATCGTGCCACTGCACTCCAGCCTGGGCAACAAGAGTGAAACTCCATCTTAAAAAAAAAAAAAAAAAGAGTTCACAAATGTGACTAAATGGCTAAATGCAGTCTCTGACTTATTTTATTTGGCCTCACAGTAGTTTTTTTAAAAAGTCGAAATTAAGTAAAATCCATAGTTCTAGCTGCTCTTAGAAAAACTCCAAAGACCTTGCAATACTAGGCCTGAATTCTGCCATACAACACAAAATAATGGTTGTTCCCTTTAAAATGGTCCCGTCTTGCAAACATGAAGCTAAGTTTCACTTACTGTTTCATGGCTGTTTTTCTTATAGGAATATGCCTTTTTACATCTCTAGCATGAGGACTTCTGTGGGTTAAGAAAAATGAGTATTAATTTGTGAAAATGCCTAGCCCTCTGAACTTCCACTGTCAGACTTTGGAGTTTGTGAGTTCTGATGACACTGCTACCTCTATAGCCCTCTCAAGTAGTGGCTCTTTTCTCTCCCACACCTAGTATACCACTGTGCCTGGAGGCAGAGTAGATTTCCTTGTCCTCAATGTCCTCAATGGATGCTTGTCCTCATGGGATGCTGCTCATCCATTCTCCTCTGCTTCTTCCATTAAAAACATGTCATCAGTTACCTGGGTACTTGTTGCAGTCTTCTAGTATACAGTCCCCTCAATTTCCCTTTGTTCCTTTCAGATCTTAGTTCCTGTCTCACTCTCTACCATCACCACAGTTATACTTCTTGGTGACAGATACAAAGATGATCCTTCCAGCTGCACGGCCTTGGAGTTCACTGGATCTCTCCTTTGAAAATTTTGTCTTCTACTTTGCCTCAGCTGCAATTTTGGTGGTAACTTTGAACTTACTTACTACCAATAACTGAAATCTTCTATGAACTCAGACACCCTACTCTCTAACCACTGACCCCTTTTCAGCTCAGTCTCTCTAGGACCCCATCTCCAGTGATCCTTTGACCCCCATGTGGAACTTCTGTCCACTGATAACACCACTTTTTCACATCTCTCACCCCTCTCAAGTACCCTCTTCTCCTTAAGCAGCTTACTTGGCCAGTCATCATCACATGCATACACCCTTAACTCCCTTGCTCCTCTATCTCATACTCACAGAGCTTAGCCTCAACTTGATTAAATCCAACTGTTTGCTTATTCCATGCCTGCACTTGTGCAATAGAATAGCAGCTTTTTTTTTTTTTTTTAAAGATTTGGGGTTGTAGTAGACAGCTGTACATTTTTTGCAATCCAGCATCTAAGCATCCTTCTTACCTGGGGTACTGTGAGCATCTGCACAGCGGCAGCGTCCTTCCACTGTAGAAGCTGAAAGGCCCAGATACTCCTTCTGCCCTTGGCAATGAAGACACACAGTGCCAACCAGAAGTTTGCATCTTAAGTGTGGTGACTCACAGACACAGGGACAATCAAGAAATCAGTCTAACAGCAGCGGAGGAATCATAACATCTTATGTAGATTTCATCTTTTTATGAGCCTGGCTTATTTCAACTTTCCTGTCCATTTAGTGAGCTACCAGATAGCTTTCTAATAAAAATTTTCTGCTTAGGCCAGGCACGGTGCCTCACGCCTGTAATCCCAGCACTTTGAGAGGCCAAGGCGGGTGGATCACCTGAGGTCAGGAGTTCAAGACCAGTCTGACCAACATGGAGAAACCCTGTCTCTACTAAAAATACAAAATTAGCAGGATGTGGTGGTGCATGCCTGTAATCCCAGCTGCTCAGGAGGCTGACGCAGGAGAATTGCTTGAACCCGGGAGGCGGAGGTTGTGGTGAGCCAAGATCACGCCACTGCACTCCAGCCTGGGCAACAAGAGGAAAATTCCGTCTCAAAAAAAAAAAAAAAAAAAAAAATCTGCTTAGTCAGACTTGGATTTACAATCATAATTTGGGCTGATGCAGGGTCATAATTTTATGAACATAAACTGCTACACTGTCCTCATTTGTACTGTTTAGAGGCTTAGACTGCTATATTTTGTGGGAATATATGTTTACCTTTTTTCATAATTCTGTCAGCTATTTACTGCTGCTACTGATAGAACTACCTTTTTCTCCTTGTCAAACCCATTGTGTGCCTAGAAACTAGATATTCAAGTACATCAGACCTGTTTGTAGAGCAAGAGTAGAGATTTGCAGTGAAAGCCTGAGGTCCTGAGAAATAAGTATAGATTTCATGATGTCTAATTGCTCAGTGGATTTTTAAACTTCAAGCTAATCAGATGTATTCTAAACAGTGAGTTGATAAATTTGTAGCTGCTGCTTTCTGTTATGAAAAGGATTACTACTATTAGTAAAAACTATCATCTATTGAGCTATATTCTAGGCACTGTTGTTCTAAGTGCTTTACATGTACTAGTGATTCATGTAATCTCCAAAATAATCCATTTTTTTCATTTGAAATTATGAAGTTCCCCTAGATACTGATTTTACTTATGTAAACATGAGCAGAGTGAGATGTTAGTGAAAATATGTTCCAGCTCCTTCATAAAGGGATGGCAACAATTCTGTGAGGATCCCCATGAGAGACAATGCTTAGAATTCAGTTATTGGTCACAAAAGATGAGTCCCAGATATGGATTCATCCATTCTATACTTTTAAAACAGGATGTGCATGATAATCAGGTATGTAATAGTGAACCCATCTGAAATCCTGCAGATAAATTCTAAGTATCTATTATTTCTGAGCAGTAAGTAATCATACCTGCCTTCTTCTAAAAGTAAAGGACTATACAGATTGAATATCCCTTAAGCAAAATTATTGGGATCAAATGTATTTCAGATTTTGGAATGTTTTTAAAATTTTGGAATAATTCGCATTATACTGGTTAAGCATCCCTAATCCAAAAGTCTGAAATCCAAAATGCCCCAATGAGCAGTTCCTTTGAGCATCATGTTAGCACTCAAAAAAGTTTCAGATTTTGGGGAATTTCAGATTTCAGATTAGGAATACTCAACCTGTATATTATGATCATCTGCACATAATCTCTCACCTTTACCAATATTGAGGAAGCTCCTAACAGAACCTCAAAAATACATAACCACATAACCTTTTTTGATTTTTGAGATGGAGTTTTGCTCTTGTTGCCCAGGCTGGAATGCAACGGTGTGACCTCAGCTCACTGCAACATCTGCCTCCTAGGTTCAAGGGAGTCTCCTGCCTCAGCCTCCCAAGTAGCTGGGATTAGAGGTGCCCCACCACCACGCCCAGCTAATTTTTTGTATTTTTGTAGAGACAGGGTTTGACCATGTTGGCCAGGCTAGTCTGGAACTCCTGACCTCAGGTGATCGACCCACCTCAGCCTCCCAAAGTGCTGAGATTATAGGCATGAGCCACCGTGCCCAGCCCCTATAAAGATTTAAACAAGCTTATGGCCTCAGCTCACTGCAACCTCTGCCTCCTGGGTTCAAGTGATTCTTGTGCCTCAGCCTCCTGAGTAGCTGGGATTACAGGTGCCCACCACCATGGCTGGCTAATTTTTGTATTTTCAGTAGAGATGGGTTTTCACCGTATTGGCCAGGCTGGTCTCAAACTCCTGACCTCAAGTGATCTGCCCACCTGAGCCTCCCAAAGTGCTGGGATTACAGGTGTGAGCCACCACGTCCGGCTGGGACCATATCTTAATGAATACATTTTTTAAATGAAGAACCTAGAACAGAGAACCATTAACCCTAGCTTTTAGGAACATTTAGATGACTTACATTTTGGAGGGGAAATGTCTATGTACCTTTAAAGTGTCTCTACATCAGGAACACACAAAGAAAACAATTCCAGCAACCCTAAAATTAGGCTCAAATGAAATCAATAAATATTGTCTGGCTGATCATTATAAATTTTATCTTTTAAAAGCCTGACCTGCTCTTTTTTCTCAGCTTCTATTTTCTCAATGCTACGGTTCTAACTATCTAGTGAATGTTACAGCTCAATCTTTGAAAGTCACTTAGTCTAATGAGGAAATAAGCCCAGAGAGGTGCCCACATGCTTTGGTCTCCTGCCTTTTTGCATATTGCATTGACCACAGCAACACCAACAAGAAACCAAGTACACTCTGAATCTTCTCGACATTTTGCTATCAGAGCAATTTATGTTCATGGAAAGTCACAATTATAAATTTGTTCCTTTTAAAAGGAACTCAAATGGAATTTCTAATATTAGCCTGTGAGAATGTCCTGACTGATTACTGAAGAATGGACAAACTTCTAGGATAGAATTATGGGTGTTGCTCAGATGGGTAGCAGAGAAACTGGGGAAGCTCTTGTACTGGCCATTGAAATGTTAACACTGAAACCCTGCAGCAGTGGGGAGAGTGTGCATGCTTTCTGCTGCTGGTAGGTGGTAAGGCTGTATGATGTTTTAAAGCACAGGCTCAAAAATCACAATTCACTATCTACATGACCTTAAGCAAGTTATTTTACCTCTCTCTATAACTCAGTTTCCTCAACTATAAAGTGGGATAAAAGCGTATCTCATAAGATAATTAAGAATATTATAATACATAATAAAGAACTCAGGACAGTGGCTAGTACAGAGGTCTCAGTAAATTTTAGTTTCCATTTCAAGTGGCTGTTTTACTTGCCTATTGTTAACAGACTCAGAAATTCTGAGAGTCTGGTTAGAAAAAGGAAAATTCGTTTTTTTTCAGTCTACCTTGCAAGATAAGGGAAACCAAGTGACAGTGCTGAAATGAACACTGGGCTGAGTGGTACCAAACATCAGTTTAGTCACTAATTAGCCATGTGATCCTGTTAAGAAGGTTAGCTTGTATAACCTTATTTTTAAGGACACATAATGATTTCAAAAGTCCAAGTATAAATCAGTAATTACAAATCAGCCTTATAATACCCAGGTATCTATGAAAACTAAAAATTGAGAGTTGATAAATATAAGAAATTACTGCTGATCTAAAAGGAAGTGGCAGAAATCCCCTGAAATGTGTTAAATCTTTGCCTTACTAAATACTTGCCAGAAGCTATAACTATATTTTCTTATTAATTTCATGTTCATCTTCTCAACAAGTAAACAAAAATAAAGCCAACAAAATTCTCATATTTGCCAGCATTATTTTTTAAAAAACATTTCTCATTAATGGTTTTAGTCAAGAATGAGAGCAAAGTAATATAGAAAACCTAGGTTTATTTGTTAAGCTATTACAAAAACAAAACAATTACCATTTGAAGTACTTTGAGGACTTCATCCCAGACTCACTTGTTCTGTTACAGAAACTAACCTAAAAGGCTGGAAATTAAAGGATACAACCTAAGAGGTTATAACAGCAGACTGGTAAAACATGGCGAAAGGAGCTCTCTCTTTCCCCCGCAGTCTACCAAGCTCCTGTGCATTTTCACCACATAGATCTGCTAGCTTACAAATGATGCACACAGTCAAGGTAGGAATTATAGGCCTACTCAGAGGGTACCCAGACACAGAAAGTTTTAGGGTAAATAGTAAACTACAAATACCCTCTTGGTTAAGTTAATTCATCAAGTTAATAAAGGTCATATTATCTATCTTCTGCTGGTGACAACTTGTTGTCTCAGTATAGTCTGTCTCAAGAAAGAACTGGTTCAGGTTGGGTTTTGGAAAAGGAAAAAGACTTTCATTAACTTCACTCCAGAGTGGAAGAGGCACCAAGTTCTCTCCTACACTTAGGAGCAGAATCTGAAAAACAAAAGGTTTACAGTGTTTACAGTAGTGATAATAATAATAGCTACTACTTATTGAATGCCTAGTCACGAGTGCCAGAGGACTTAGGTACATTTTATCTTAGCCTCTGCAACAACCCTGCAAGGTAGGTATTATCCTCCCCATTTTACAGATGGGGGAAGTGAGGATTAAATAAGTTATATGCCTTGTCCAAAGGTGTACACAAGTATGTGGCAGAGTTGTGATTCCACGATTAACGTGCCGTCTCCACCCCACCTCATGCACTGAGAAGTCCTAGTTCCATTATCCTGAAATTATTAACAGTTGCATAAACTACTCTTAATTATTTATTCCTTATTCATTCTTTTAAAGCATGTACAATTTTAAATGATTAAAAATTTACACAGCCAGGTGTGGTGGCTCACACCTGTAATCCCAGCACTTTGGGAGGCCAAGGCAGGCGGATAACCTGAGGTCAGAAGTTCAAGACCAGCCTTACCAAACATGGAGAAACACTGTCTCTACTAAAATTACAAAATTAGCCAGGCGTGGTGGCACATGCCTGTAATCCCAGCTACTCGGGAGGATGAGGCAGGAGAATCACTTGAACCCGGGGGGGCGGAGGATTCGGTGAGCCGATTGCACCATTGCACTCCAGCCTGGGCAACAAGAGCGAAACTCCATCTCAAAAAAAAAAAAAAAAAAAAAAAAATTAGCCGGGTGTGGTGGTGGGCACCTGTAATCCCAGCTATTCAGGAGGCTGAGGCAGGAGAATTGCTTGAACCCGGGAGGCAGAGGTTGCAATGAACCAAGTTGCGCCACTGCACACCAGCCTAGGCAACAGAGCGAGACTCCCGTGTCAAAAAAAAAAAAATGTACAGACATTGTTCGGAATTCAGATCAATTATCCAGATGAAGAATATGTATAAACATTATACATAATGTTTATACATTATAAACAGGGTGCAGTGGCTCATGCCTGTAATCCCAGCACTTTGAGAGGCCGAGGCAGGCGGATCACGAGGTCAAAAGATCAAGACCATCCTGGCCAACATGGTGAAACCCTCTCTCTACTAAAAATACAAAAATTAGCCAGGCGTGGTGGCGCGCGTCTGTAGTTCCAGCTACTTGGGAGACTGAAGCAGGAGAATCGCTTGAACCCAGGAGACAGAGGTTGCAGTGAGCCAAGATCACACCACTGCACTCCAGCTTGGGCGACAGAGCGAGATTCCATCTCAAAAAGAAAAAAAAAAAAGAAAAGAAAAAAAACCGTTATGAATAAAATAATTCTCTGCCTCTGAGCTCTAGGATAAAATTAACAGAAAACAAAGCTCATTAAAAAGTTTGTGGCTATTTCACCATTAAAAAGAATCCTAAGAATTCTTGCCAAGGACTGCAGTAACATCCCATTTGTTTAACTGTTAGTGACATACCAAATGAGTTTCTCATGATTCTGATTAATAATAGAGTGGCTGATGTTCTCTGTATAGTCTATTCTTCAAAAGAAATATGTGAAAGCCCAAAGACCCAAAAATCTGTTTTCTAATTGCAATAAAACAGTTACTAAAACAAGTATCACTGAACTGAAAAAATTAATATGCTATAATGTGATGAGAAATAAGGAAAGAATACTGAAGTTGATATCAAAGGATTTCCCATGAAGTAGAACAGTGAAGTTACTGACAATTGGAACTGTGAGAGCTAAAAATCAAAGTTAACAGAGCTCCAGTGATGTGAACACATGATTTTAACAGAGAAGACATTGCTAATTTTAAACTGTATGGCTACCACTGACAAAAGTAAATGTGGAAATTAAAATTAAGTATTTAAGGGAAAATATAAATCATAGAACTCTAAGAGGTTATTTTCTGATAGTTCCACTGGCAGGATGTGAGAAGAAAGCACAGGTCCAGTATCACAATTCATGGTCAGTATAAGAAGCAATGTTATACAGTTTTCACAATAGCAGTAACTTGGAAGCTAACTGGAACTTTAAAAGGCTGGTTTCTGAAATGAAATAGAACAGGGGTAAAGGAATTAAAACTTGTAACTGGAGAAAAGCCAATGATTACAGAACTAGGTTCAGAACTAAAATCTGTATCAGAAGAAAAGAGAAGGAATTCTGAAATATTTATCATTGCAGGGAATAACAAAGGATCTTATAACTTAACTGGATGACTGACAGTGGTAGCAGAGTCAAGTCAAAACATATAAATCTTACCATGCTATTACTATATGCTTTAGTAAAATAAAAGGAGGCTAGCGAGAGCATCTCAAAGACTGGAGGATAGCCAGTATTCAAGAAAACAATGCTATAAGGTAGGAGGAAGTTGTAGTGGGGAGACAGGGACAACAATTTAACAACAGCTTATAAAGGACTACTACAATTACTGGTTCTAGCTCTGTATGATATGAACATGACCTTCAGTTATTATCTAACATATAGTTGAAATACTTAGGCTGGCAAAGGACAATATATTTCTCAGAATAATGGAGTAGCAAATAAATTGTCAGGAACAATCTGAGGTTTAAAAGAAGAAAAATTTTTTTAAAGAAGGAAAAAGAAATAGGCCAGATACAGTGGCTCACAGCTGTAATCCCAGTACTTTCGGATGCCGAGGAGGGAGAATCATTTGAGGCCAGGAGTTAGAGACCAGCCTGGGCAACATGTGAGACCTTGTCTCTACGTAAAATTTTAAAATAAGCTGGGTGTGGTAAGCATGTGCCTATA
This sequence comes from Homo sapiens, assembly GCF_000001405.40. Classification (NCBI taxonomy): domain Eukaryota; kingdom Metazoa; phylum Chordata; class Mammalia; order Primates; family Hominidae; genus Homo; species Homo sapiens. The sequence goes on from NC_000011.10 coordinate 77,619,412, forward strand.
GTCCCAGCTATTTGGGAGGGTGAGGCAGGTGGATTGCTTGAGTTCAAGGCTGTAGTGAGCTAGGATCATGCCACTGCACTCTAGCCTGGGTGACAGAGTAAGACCCTGTCTCAAGAAAGAATTTTAAAAAGTAGAAAGTAATCATTTCATATGATTTTCATGATCAGCGACAAGGGAGAAAATGAACTACTCACCTTAAACTTGCATAAATCATTTTCAGTGATCAACATCTGCATCCTCAAACTGTCCAGCAACTGTTGGTGTGGTATCCACCTCCATCCCATCTAAACAAAAAAATTAATTACTGAGCAATCCCTATGAACACTTCAGACAGGTAGATTCAACTTATAACTTCTACCAGAAGGAAGCTAGTGCCCTCTGCTGGTAAGAATTGCTTTTTCCTCTTTTTGGAAAAGTCTGAAGGGACAAACTGAGAAAGAAAATGCTACCTGGGGATTTAGGCCACATCAAAATCAGTCTGCGACACTAACTGTGTAAATTCTCACCCTCAATACTAAAATAACTCTATGTAGGAACTTTCAAATGCAGTATCAATTGTTCACCCTTTACAGATCTAAGTATTTACTGTTAGGCTTTTTAAGGTATACAGCCCTATCCTCACAAAGTGAAAAGACAAAAATCAGTACAGCAAGCTTTTTGCTTATTTCCCTGTTTTTGTCATCTCATTAAATAAAAGGTGGGGAGGGAACAAGAGAAAAAAAACAAGAGCCCTGATATGGTTTGGCTGTGTCCCTACCCAAATTTCATCTTGAATTCCCACGTGTTGTGGGAGGGATCTGGTGGGAGGTAACTGAATTATGGGGGCAGGTCTTTCCCGTGCTGTTCTCATAATAATGAGTAAGTTTCACTAGATCTGATGGTTATATAAGGGGGAGTTTTCCTGCAAAAGCTCTTTTTGCTTGCTGCCTTCCATGTAAGATGTGATTTGCTCCTCGTCTTCCACCACGATTGTGAGGTTTCCCCAGCCATATGGAACTGTAAGTCCAATGAAACCTCTTTCTTTTGCTAATTGCCCAGTCTTGAGTATGTCTTTATCAGCAGTGTGAAAACAGACTAATACAAGCCCCACGGAAAGAGTTGTCTTGGCCAGGCACAGTGGCTCACGCCTGTAATCCCAGCACTTTGGGAGGCCAAGGTGGGTGGATCACCTGAGGTCAGGAGTTTGAGACCAGCCTGGCCAACATGGCAAAACCCCATGGCGAAATCTCTAACAAAAATACAAAAAAATTACCCGGGCATGGTGGCAGGCGCTTATAATCCCAGCTACTCGGGAGGCTGAGGCAGGAGAATGGCTTGAACCAGGAAGGTGGAGGCCAAGGCAGGCAGATCACCTGAGGTCAGGAGTTAGAGACCAGCCTGGCCAACATGGTGAAACCCCGCCTCTACTAAAAATACAAAAATTAGCCAGGCATGGTGGCACATGCCTGTAATCCCAACTACTCAGGAGGCTGAGGCAGAAGAATCTCTTAAACCCAGGAGGTGGAGGTTGAAGTAAGCCAAGATCATGCCACTGCACTCCAGCCTGGGCAACAGAGTGAGACTCCGTCTTAAATAAATAAATAAATAAATAAGACAGAATCATGGCCGGGTGCAGTGGCTCACGCCTGTAATCCCAATACTTTGGGAGGCTGAGGCGGGCGGATCACCTGAGGTCAGGAGTTCGAGACCAGCCTGGCCAACATGGTGAAACCCCGTCTCTACAAAAATACAAAAATTAGCTGGGCACGATAGTAGTGGGTAATCCCTGCTACTCAGGAGGCTGAGGTGGGAGAATCACTTGAACCTGGGAGGCAGAGGTTGCAGTAAGCCGAGGTCACGTTATTGTACTCCGGCCTGGACGACAGAGCAAGACTCTGTCTCAAACACACACACACACACACACACACACACACACAATCAGTGTATATACACACACAAAAGGACACAAGACTGAAAGGATATGCAACAGAAAATTAATAGTAAATGCATCTCAGAATTATATTTATTTTTTTCTACCTCTTCTTTGCCTGTGCATACTTTAAGCCAACATGGTGGAACCTTGTCTCTACTAAAAATACAAAAATTAGCTGGGAGCGGTGGCAGGCGCCAGTACCCCAGCTATTCAGGAGGCTGAGGCAGGAGAATCGCTTGAACCCAGGAGGCGGAGGTTGTAGTGAGCCAAGATCGTGCCATTGCACTCCAGCCTCGGCAACAAGAGCGAAACTCCATCTTAAGAAAAAAAGAAGGGTGTGATAGTTAAATTTATGCATCAACTTGGCTAGGCAATGGTGTCCAGATAGTTGGTCAAACATTATTCTAGATGTTTCTGTGGAGGTTATTTTTTAGATGAGATTAGCCTTGTAAACTGGTGAAAATTGGGTGAAGGAGATTACCCTGCATAGTGTGGTGGGTCTCATTTAATCAGCTGGAGGCCTCAATAGGAAAAAGACTCACCTCCCCTGAGCAAGAAGAAATTCTGCCAGCAGAACTTCTGAGGCAGCAGAATGCAACATAAACTCTTCTCTGGGTCTCCAGTCTGCCGGCTTACCATGCAGATTTTGGACTTGCCAGCCTTCAGTCACGTGGGCCAATTTCTTAAAATCTCTCTCTTGCTTTGGTGGGTGTGTGTATACCTGAAGAGATGCCTGAATTGACAGCCCTCAGAGATAACCTATCGTGGACTTCTAGCCTCCAAAACTATGAGACAATAAAATTCTATTGTTTGAGCCACCCAGCCTGTATGACACTTTGTTATAATAGCCCTAGCAAACTAATACACAGATGCAACAGTAAATTAATAGTGGATATCTCTCAGTTAGAATTACACTTGTTTCTTTTTCACTTCTACTTTCTTGCGCACATTAAAAAAATTTTTTTGACTATGAACAAAGACTTTTTTGGTAATGAGGAAAAAAAATCACTAAAAACAAATGACATAAGCATTCCTATACTATGTAATTCTGTATCTGCTTCCTATACTATAGAGAGTCAATTCTTTCTCTTAGTTATTAAAAGAACTTCTATTGACTATCCATAACTTATTGCCCAAGTGCTCATCTGACTGTTCACACTGCAAAAGGACACTCACCTTCATAATCTCTTATTGAATCTTCTGTCCTGACCCCAGCCATATTATACTGGCTGCTCACAGACTGAGAAAGCATTCCTTCTAATCTCTCCAGTGTGGCTTGGCCTTCTGCTGTTAGATGGGATAATCCTTCTTCATAGGTGTAAAATGTAGGGATGTCCCCCTGTCCTTGTTCTAAACAAACAGAAAACTTTAAAGTTTAAATACAACAATTAGAAAAAACAAAATGGAATCAATAATATATCTGCCGCCAGCCTGGCCAACATGGTGAAACCCTATCTCTACTAAAAATACAAAAATTAGCCAGGCGTGGTGGCACGCGCCTGTTGTCCCAGCTACTCAGGAGGCTGAGGCAGGAGAATCGCTTGAACCACAGAGGTGGAGGTTGCAGTGAACCGAGATCACGCCATTGTACTCCAGCCTGGGCAACCGAGCAAGACCTTGTCTTGGAAAAAAAAAAAAAAAAAAGAATCTGCTGAAGATAATATACTGTCCAAATAGGCTTCCAGGAAGATACTTTTGAACATTTATTTATACACACATATAGGCTACTGCTGAAGACAGAAATACAAAGAAGATGTACCTACTCTCTAGGGTTATTAAAAGAGATAACAAGCCAGTAAACAGCAATTCCCAAAGAATCCCAAGTCCAGGGACTAGAAAAAAAAAGTGTGTTCCTAAGGTCAGAGAGTCCTACATTATCCTGAGGTGGGAATTTTACAAGTGAGCACAAATTAATTTGGTATTAATTTGTAAAATGAAGATGTTTTCTGATTAAAAAACATGCTCCTTTCTTAAAAAAAATCAGGGCCAGGTGCAGTGGCTGACGTTTGTAATCCCAGCACTTTGAGAGGCCGAGCTGGGAGGACTGCTTGAGCCCAGGAGTTCAAGATCAGCCTGGACAACATAGTAAGACTTCATCTCTCCAAAAAAATGTTTTTTTTAATTAGCCGGGCACGTGGTGTGCACCTGTAGTCTCAGCTAATCGGGAGACTGGGGTGGGACAGCTTTGGTCCAGTAGTTCAAGGCTGCAGTGGGTGGAGAATGGTACCACTGTATTCCAGCCTGGGCAACAGAGTTAGACCCTGTTTAAAAAAAAAAAAAAAATTAGAAATTCTGGAACATACAAAAAGGATGAAAAATTTTAAATCACTCAAAAATCTCAGAAAGATAAGGATATATTTGGATATATTTAGGTATGTGATGGCGGATCCCAGAAATGTGTTTATCTCAGGCCAGGAAGTGGGTACATATGAAGGAAAGGGCTTTGGATACCCAGATTGGTGTACATAAGACCAGTAGGGAAAAGAAAAGAGAACAGCAGGTACTTCAAGCTATAAAGACTCTTATCACGCTAGTGACTGCATTCTGGTCTGGGGGAGGCAATCGGAAAGGGCTCTTAAATAAATGAAGTATGGTTCTGAGAAAAAGAAATGACCTTGGCAGTGAGCTGTTTGAAGGAACATGTTAAATAAAGATGCAGGCCAGGCCCGGTGGCTCATGCCTGTAACCCAGCATTCTGGGAGGCCAAGGCCAGAGGATTGCTTGGGCCCAGGAGTTGGAGACCAGCTTGGGCAATATGGCAAAGCCCAGTCTTTATAAAAAATACACAAAAATTAGCCAGGCATGGTGGCGCAAGCCTGTAGTCCCAGGTACTCAAGAGGCTGAGCTGGGAGAATCATTTGAGTCCAGCAGGCAGAGGTTGCAGTGAGCAGAAATCACACCACTGCACACCAGCCTGGGCATCAGAGTGAGACCCTGTTGCAAAATAATAATAGTAATAATAAAACAATATAAATGATCCAGGTTCTCAAGGTGTAGAGAGAGAAGCTTGTTCTCTGGGGGCAGCTGCCTCAGCTTAAAAGACTTTCCTGACCATCCACTTCCCTATCTACCATTTTCTTTCCTCCCATATGCTCTACTTACCCATTCTTCCCCATAACAATCTCTATTTCTTACACTCAAAAATTTGTCTGTTGCAAAGGGCTTTGGCATAAAGTGTTCTACCGTGTCATTCTATTTTAATAATAATCTTACCAGCCAGGCACAGTGGCTCACACCTGTAATCCCAGCACTTTGGGAGGCCGAGGCAGGCGGATCACCTGAGGTCGGGAGTTCAAGACCAGCCTGACCAACATGGAGAAACCCCATCTCTACTAAAAATACAAAATTAGCCTGGCGTGGTGGCGCATGCCTGTAATCCCAGCTACTTGGAAGGCTGAGGCAGGAGAATCGCTTGAACCTAGGAGGCAGAGGTTGCAGTGAGCCGAGACCACGCCATTGCACTCCAGCCTGGGCAACAAAAGCGAAAACTCCATCTCAAAAATAATAATAATAATTTTACCATACTGCATACTTTACAGTCATATAAAGAACTATAATCCTCTACCCTTAATACAAATAAATGCTTAAAATGAAACACTAAACAAACAAAAAACCCACTTTAAAATCCATTTCACTAACCATGTGCTTCCACATCATATTCTTCTCCATCGTAGTCATCTGAATCCTCATCCTCAGGATCTGGATGCAAGGCCTGGCATTCGCACATTGCAGTGAACATTGCCTCCACTGAACAAGGAAATTAAACTGTAACCAATCTTTTTTTGTAATAAAAGTAACCATCAGTGCAAATAAATTTAATGGGTACACAAAACGCCACAGTATTTACAAAATCTGCCAAATTGTAAGATCAATCTTGAAAGCGGTTGAAGCAAAAGACAAGTCATAAAATAATAAGAGTTCATTATGAGAGATCATTGCAATCTCTTCATGGCTCGTGGGATTTTCCAAGAAAAAAGGGTCAGAGTCCTGGTAAGACTGCTGGCATCAGGGTGAAGGGTGAAGACTGCTCTCAGCTGATAGGGCTCTTTCCAGCCATCCTGAGATCTTCCACTTTAAAACTGCCATAACTCCTCTGCCATCCAGCAGGTGAGATTAAGTCAACAGCACCAATCAGTAAAACTAACCAGAGTCCACTCACAAAATATACCCAGATGACAGAGTGTCTACAATATTCTCACTACATTCACAACCTTTGATATTAATAGGTATTTGGTCCTTAATGATATTACCAATGCTAAAATAAAGAAAAAGCAATAGAATGGAGGTAATGGTGGTAAAGGTGAGAGGTGTGTGTGTGTGTGTATGTGTGTGTGTGTCAATTGGGAATGCTTGGTATGTAAAAGGGGAAGAATCAATACTGTAGAACACTCACACGCTGATTTATCACTAGGCACAAATCTAAATTCAGTAATAGGTTCAACATCATCATCACTGTCTTCCTCTTCTTCATCAGCAACAGGTTCTTTTGATTCTTCTAGAAAATAAAATACCCTTTTAATGTCATTATTTGACTTTAAAAAAATGAAGCATATTGAAAATCTGAATATTGCAATTCAATTTTAATTTCCAATTATGGTTGACAAATTTATTTCCAATTATGGTTGAAAAATTCTGATTATACAGTGAGCATCCTAGAAAAGCCTTGCCTCGATCTCCTGACCTCGAGATCCACGCACCTTGGCCTCCCAAAGTGCTCCCTCCGCGCCTCACCGGGAATGAATTTTTAAGGTTATTTTTAAGGTAATCTAATCTCATCAACAATGAGCTAAGGGTCAACTTTTTTTTCTGAGACTGGGACTTGTTTTGTTGCCCAGACTGGACACCCTTGCCCTCTCAGGCCCAAGCGATCCTCCCACCTCAGCCTACTAAGCAGCTGGGACTACAGGCACTTGCCACCACACCCTGCTAATTTTTGTTTTTTTGAGATGGGGTCTTACGATGTTGCCCAGGCTGGTCTGAAACTCCTGGGCTCAAGTGATCCTCCTGTCTTGGCCATTCAAAATGCTGGGATTGTGGCTGGGCACGGTGGCTCACGCCTGTAATCCCAGCACTTTGGGAGGCCGAGGTGGGCGGATCACGAGGTCAGGAGTTTGAGTCCAGCCTGGCCAATATGGTGAAACCCCGTCTCTACTAAAAATACAAAAATTAGCAAGGCGTGGTGGCAGGCGCCTATAATCCCAGCTACTCAGGAGGTTGAGGCAGGAGAATCATTTGAACCTGGGAGGTGGAGGTTGCAGTGAGCCAAGATCACAGCATCGCACTCCAGCCTAGGTGACAGGGTGAGACTCCATCACAAAAAAAAAAAATGCTGGGGTTACAGATGTGAGCCACTATGCCCGGTCCTGATGGTCATTTTTTTTTTTTTGAGACGGAGTCTTGCTCTGTCGCCCAGGCTGGACTGCAGTGGTGCCATCTCGGCTCACTGCAAGCTCTGCCTCTTGGGTTCACCCCATTCTCCTGCCTCAGCCTCCTGAGTAGCTGGGACTACAGGCGCCCGCCACCACACCTGGCTAATTTTTTTGTATTTTTTTTAGTAAAGACGGGGTTTCACCGTGTTAGCCAGAATGGTCTTGATCTCCTGACCTCGTGATCCGCCCGCCTCAGCCTCCCAAAGTGCTGGGATTACAGGTGTGAGCCACCGCGCCCAGCCCTGATGGTCATTTTTAAAGAGACTTACAGAGGTATGCCAAAGAGAAAAAAAAAAAACTTAGAGCTTAGAGAATCAGAATGCAAGGAACAAAGGCTGGGAAAATATGATTCAAGCACATGTAATTTATGAGAGGAGTTTAAGATAAAAAGAACTAAAGGGCCAAGCGAGGTGGCTAACGCCTGTAATCCCAGCCCTTTGGGAGGCTGAGGTGGGTGGATCATGAGGTCAGGAGATGGAGAGCATCCTGGCCAACACAGTGAAACCCCAACTCTACTAAAATACAAAAAAAAAAAAATTAGCGGGGCGTGGTGGCGGGAGCCTGTAGTCCCAGCTACTCGGGAGGCTGAGGCAGAAGAATCGCTTGAACCCAGGAGGCAGAGGTTGCAGTGAGTCAAGATCGCATCACTGCACTCCAGCCTGGCGACAGAGCAAGACTCCATCTCAAAAAAAAAGAAAAAAAAAAAAGGAACTGGAGAATTAGTGAAATAAATGTGACCCAGAAAGATACTAATTTCTAGTAAGATAGGAAATCCTGCATATCTTACTAAGAAAGGATTAATCATAATCACATCAATTACAACCAATCATATAGATTCTGTATGATTATAGAGCACATATTTAAAACACACACCCTAAAACCTACTGAACTGCTTTTTCCTAGTTTAGGACTCAGAGCATTTGCATTTTAAACAAGCTTCCCATGTATTTCTAATGTGTATCCATTAGTCTTGAGTTTGGGAACAAGAGACTAATATACTCCCTTAACTTTTTGGATGAAATTCAGGCTCAGAGAAATGCAAATGACTTGCCTAGCAAGTTAATGACAGAGTTCTTACTTTTTTTTCTTTTCTTCGACCGTTTTGCTCTGTTGCCCAGGCTGGAGTGCAGTGGCGCGATCTCAGCTCACTGCAACCTCCACCTCCCGGGTTCAAGTGATTCTCATGTCTCAGCCTCCCGAGTAGCTGGGATTACAGGCACCCGCCACCACGCCCAGCTAATTTTTGTATTTTTAGTAGAGACAGGGTTTCACCATGTTGGCCAGGATGGTCTCGATCTCTTGACCTTGTGATCTGCCCCCCTTGGCCTCCCAAAGTGTTGGGATTACAGGTTTGAGCCACTGTGCCCGGCCTAATGACAGAGTTTTCTTATTCAATGTGCTTTTGCCCTTAGGCTAGTATTTATTAAATGCTATTTCCTAAGCCTTTCTCTTGGCATGTACCTTTCCCACCTCCAATGGCCGTCACTATTTGGGGCCATTTCACACCAGCATCTGGAGTTGACTGACAAGAGCAAGGTTTCGCATTTCTGCAAATGAATGAATGCTTTAAACTAAACATGACACATAATATTCTTGGTTATAAAATCATAGTTGCATTTACTTAGATGGAGAGTAAATTTTGTGCCAAATGCCTTATTAGGAAGTCTTACTACACTACTACACCCCAAGGTTAACAGCCTTTTACTTTTCCTCATCCTCTTTTTCAAACTTCACTAGATTTTTAAATGTCTTTGAACCTTTTCCAATGGCAAGAATTTGAAATCTTATAACAAAAATATTTTCAGATAGCTGAATCAGTCATTACCACTTAATGAGGCAGGTCTTGCCAAAAGTCCTAAGAATTACTAAATAGTTTCACACCTGAATATAAATGATCATATTATATCTGGAACCATATTAAAATCTAAATTTGAAAGAGCAATAGCCTTGTAGGTAACTTCATAGGATTGTCTCTTACACACTACTTCAAAGAAAAGCAACCCGTTATTTTAAACATGAGCATCTTCACTAGACTTTTACAAGTCTTTGCAATTATCCCAAAGCAAAACTTGAGAATCTTTATATCCTACAGTTTCTCAACCTTGGCACTACTGACATTTGGATGGAATAATTCTTTGTTGTGGGGGACCATCTGTGCATAGCAGAATATTTAGTATAATAATAGCATCCTTGGCATCTAACTGCTAGACACCAATAATACCCTTCCTCTTTCAACCAAAATGTCACTGCCAAATGTGGGGGAATGGTGAGGTTGGTGGAGGCCCATGGAAAATATATCCCCCCTACAACCACTGAGACCCACTACTGAAACAAAACAAAACAGTTCTATCTTAAATTATGAGAAGCACAGGGTATACTGATCCAAGCCCCTAAGGGTGCCTTTTAAAAAGAGAAAGGCAGAATAAACAGTGAAACTTTAGAGGAAAAGCTAGAAATACATATCCATAATAAATGAAGAATTCTAAGTGTAAATATAGAGAAATATATACAGACACACATGAACATCCATTGTGAAAACTTCAAGTGTCCAAGTTGCTGTGCTGAAATTTTGCTTAATAAACTACTACCCAAAATGAGTCAATGGCCTCAATGTTACATTGATTATTATCAAAGACTCTTTTTTTTCTTTTTTTTTTTTTAGACGGAGTCTCACTTTGTCGCCCAGGCTGGAGTGCAGTGGCATGATCTCGGCTCACTACAAGCTCCACCTCCCAGGTTCACACCATTCTCCTGCCTCAGTCTCCTGAGTAGCTGGGACTACAGGCGCCCACCACCACGCCTGGCTAATTTTTTGTATTTTTTAGTAGAGACGGGTTTTCACCGTATTAGCCAGGATGGTCTCGATCTCCTGACCTTGTGATCCGCCCGCCTCGGCCTCCCAGAGTGCTGGGATTACAGGCGTGAGCCACCGTGCCCGGCCTCAAAGACTCTTTTTTAAAATATAATTTGCTATCAAAGGAGGCATTAGATTAAATTACACCATACATACCTTCAAATTTGGCATTCACCATAACATACAAATGCTCTCCTAGACAGTCACTTCGGTCCCTGGATAATGCATGTAAACTAATGGTGGGGTATTCCAGTGAGAATCCTAATCCAGAGCCATCTAACCAAGACAGGCGGCTGAAAAACATGTTTTAAGTAGATTATTTTTAGAAAGTAAATCCTCATGTAAGACCACAAAGTATATAAAAGTTCAGCTTGGACACCTTTATGCATATAAATAAATTCAAGTTTACTTTTTTAGAAACGTTCATAAAATAAGAAAATTCAGTAGTGGAAACTGAGTTTTCTTTAAGATCAATTCTGTTACGGTCTCTTTCCCTCTAGCTATAAATTCAAACAGACTTGAAATTCCATTTTCCTCAGTCACATGTATGTTTCTATGACTTTCATGCTTACTCTTTTTTGGTATGTCTTCAAATACCCTCTTTGCTTTTGCAAATCCTCCCCTCTTCCATGAGGCCTCCCTTCAACTACACCAGTCCATAAAGATCTCTTCCTTTTCTGATTTGCAAATTTTAGCACTTAACTCTGTGGTAATGAGTCTTATATGTGCCCTTATGGAATGTGAACTATCGGACAGCAGAACTTGTCACATTCCTTTATTAACATCCTTCAAAACCGTTAACAAAGAGCTCAGGAGTTAAGTATGCAATAAATCCTTGGTAATCATGCATTTCTCCATGAATCCTACACTAAAAGACATATATATGAAATGGCTGTAATCACACTCACCGCAAGTCAGGAAATAATTATTACCCTGAGAGACAGATTCCCTGAAGCCTTTCATTTATTCAACGTCTTTAAGAGAAAGCCACAGAAAAGCTAGATCTAGTTTTCCCTCAAATGTGGTCAAATGCAAATATTTTATTGGTGTAACAAAGGAAACACATCACCAAAATCAGTATTTTGAGCTTTCAGTAGAGGCTAGCTAATTTTCTGATAATACTTCATCCATCTGGAGCTGTACCACTTAGCAGAAAAAAAGTAAAAAATCCTGAAGAAGTCAAAAAAAAAATGTTAATGCAATATAGTGGTTGCCTAGGGCTAGAAGGAAATAGGGAATGTCTGCTACTGGGTACCAGGTTCTTTTTGGGGTGAAGAAAATATTCTAAAATGGTGGTGATAATTGCACAATTCTGTAAACAGACTAAAAACTAGTGAATTGTATGTTTAAATGGTTAAACTGTATGCTATATGAATTATTTTTAAAAGTTAATGAAGTAAGACCCCTGTATCATTCTATATTCTATACAATTTTAACAAGCCTGGCTGTCTAATTTCTAACCAAGCAAAAACAAAAGTAAAACAGGAGAACCTAGGACTGCCTTGGGCAGGAACAATGACAGTGTGACAGTCTGAGATCACTCATGTTCAGTGGAAGGGGAGGATGAACTTTCCACCTCAGTTCCCCTAAATGAAATCAATGTCTAACCACATGACCCTCAGTTACCGAAAGCATTACCAAAAACAAAGGCAGATTATTAGATTGTGGTGATAACTGTACAACTCTGTAAATATACTAAAACTTACGTAATTGTATACTTTTTTTTTTTTTTTTAGACAGAGTCTCGGTCTGTCGCCCAGGCTGGAGTGCAGTGGCGGATCTCGGCTCGCTGCAAGCTCCGCCTCTCGGGTTCACGCCATTCTCTTGCCTCAGCCTCCCCAGTAGCTGGGACTACAGGCGCCCGCCACCACACCCGGCTAATTTTTTGTATTTTTAGAGACGGGGTTTCACCGTGTTAGCCAGGATGGTCTGGATCTCCTGACCTCGTGATCCACCCGCCTCGGCCTCCCAAAGTGCTGGGATTATAGGCATGAGCCACCACACCCTGCCCCTAATTGTATACTTTCAAAAGGCAAAAGTAAGAATATATGCACTGTCATGTGGAAAGATTTCTATCCAACATTCTTATTAAAAAAAAAAAAGTAAAGGAAAACTAGGAAGCTTATAAGTGATAAATCTTTGTTTTTTTGAGATGAAGTCTCACTCTGTCACCCAGGCTGGAGTGCAGTAGCATGATCTTGGCTCACTGCAATCTCCACCTCCAGGGTTCAGGCGATTCTCCTGCCTCAGCCTCCCAAGTAGCTGGGATTACAAGCGTGTGACACCACGCCTCGCTAATTTTTGTATTTTTAATAGAGATGGGGTTTTGCCATGACGGCCAGGCTGGTCTCAAACTCCCGACCTCAGGTGATCTGCCACCTCGGCCTCCCAAAGTGCCAGTATTACAGGCGTGAGCCACTGCGCCTGGCCTAAAAGTGATAAATCTTAAAGAGCTAAAAGTGATAAAACCTCTACAAATTGTTTTCCAGAACAACTCATTCCTACTGGTTCCAAAGAAACATTGTATTATGTAATGAGGTTATGTGCTGTATGCATCTTTCCTGCCCACTGCTTTCCTTTTAATGTGGAGAGGAAATAATGCCCAAGTATCACGAGTCCCCTACAAAAGCTGTATTATTTTAAAGCAAATAAACTGCCCTTTTCTGATCTCAAAAATTTTCTGGCGTTATCACAATTCAGAAAGAAACATTCCAAATTTGGGTGTCCAAAATAATTTCAAATATCCAGAGCCATAAAACTTGAATGACTCAATGACGACATGGAAAAACTGAAACCTAAACATAGAATGAGTGCCTATCAAATTATGGCCTTCACTTTTAAAAGCCATCATAATACCTCTGTAATTCCTTACTAGTGCAGAGAGAATACAAATGCTCCTCTGCACAGCATTTGCTATGGAACTCTCATAATCTTTTACATGAACTGGGATTATGCATTCTATAGGACAGAAGCCAAGTTCCACACTTAAAAACACTTATTCTAATCGTTAAATTCTTTTTTTTTTAAATAAAAAAAGAAAAGAAACCCTAGGTTTCTGTATTTTACTTTTTCAGATTTACAAATGCAAATCATATATTAATATTCACAGATATTTTTAAATGGGAAAACAACTTACTTTCAACAACTTATTTTTTCCAACAGCATGTTACTATGTTAAAAAAGATTTGACATTATAAGCCGAGCGTGGTGGCTCAGGCCTATAATTTTGGGAGCATTTTGGGAGGCCGAGGTGGATGGATCACCTGAGGTCAGGAGTTCCAGACCAGACTACCAACATGGCGAAACCCTGTCTCTATTAAAAATACGAAAATTAGCTGGGTGTGGTGGCAGGCACCTGTAATCCCAGCTACTTGGGAGGCTGAGGCAGGAGAATTGGTTGAATCCAGGAGGCGGAGGTTGCAGTGAACCAAGATCACGCTACCACACTCAAGCCTGGGCAACGGGGAGACTCCATCTCAAAAAAAAAAAAAAAAAAAAAGAGATTTGACAGTACATTCATTTAATCTGGCAATTTTAATTTGAACAAATACCTATTAACAACAAATTAAATCCTATTGCACATGAATTATTTGTTGCACCACCACCAGATTTTCTAATTCTAGCAGAGGCCACGATGAAATAGGCCAGACATGCTGCCATTAAAGTTTGCTGGGATGATTGTAATAAATCTACTGAAAGTATTCAAGTTCTAACTTTCAAAGTGATGTAGAGAAACATAAAAGATTTCACTGTATCATCTAAAAATATAACTGTTTTGTCTGATCATTAAATTCTGATTTGCATTTACTCTTTGTATATATTCTAGAAGAAATCCTTCTAAAACATTTAATTAATCATACCCAGTTCCAAAGAAACCGTGAGTCAAAAGGGAAAGACAAGAAGAATTAGACACAGAGTAAACATGTAGAGAACATGTTTTGCTGAATTCAAATGCTTTTGCACAAGTATGGTGAGTGTCCTTTATTCCCAGCACGGGATGAAAAACAGGACAGGAAGCTAAGAGAGGTCTTGAATTTGGGTTAACTTAATTATTTGGTTTAAGATTAATTTTGGAATGAGATACAAAAAAAAAATTTTAAGTTTAAATTACCTAATTTTAATTTGATTACCTATTTTACCTGTTTTAAACTGTCTATTTTATATTATTCATGCCTCTGTATCTTCCTTATTTGGATAAAAATTCAACTTCCTGGCCGGGTGCAGTGGCTAACACCTATAATCCCAGCATCTTGGGAGGCCGAGGCAGATGGATCATCTAAGTTCGGGAGTTTGAGACAAGTCTGACCAACATGGAGAAATCCCATCTCTGCTAAAAATACAAAATTAGCCAGGCATGGTGGTGCATGCCTGTTAATCCCAGCTACTCGGGAGGGTGAGGCAAAAGAATAGCTTGAACTCAGGAGGCGGAGGTTGCGGTGAGCCAAGATTGCGCCATTGCATTCCAGCCTGGGCAACAAGAGTGAAACTTCATCTCAAAAAAAAAAAAAAATTCAACTTCCTATAAAAAACTAAGCTCTGAAATAAGCCGGAGATTCTAAATCTTTCAACACAAATCTGAGAGACTAAACCAAGTCCAGCCAAACCTAATCTGTTGCTGTCCCTCTCTGCCTCAAACTAAATAGTTTCACCAAAGCCTAAAGGCTATAAGCCAAATTTATGAACATGACTCTCTCCTTCTCCAGCTTTATCATCTCTGGGCATTCTCCCTCACTCCCTCAGATGAAGAACGGCTGGACTGTATATATATGTACACAGTATGTGTGTGTATTTATACCCTTTTTTTGTATTTATGTTTCACACACAAAAAAATTATTTTGGCCGGGCACGGTGGCTCATGCCTGTAATCCCAGCACTTTGGGAGGCCAAGGTGGGTGGATCATGAGGTCAGGAATTTGAGACCAGCCTGGCCAACATGGTGAAACCCCGTCTCTACTAAAAATACAAAAATTAGCTGGGCGTGGTGGAGCACGTCTGTAGTCCCAGCTACTCAGGAGGCTGAGGCAGGAGAATCGCTTAAACCCGGGAGGCGGAGCTTGCAGTGAGCCAAGGTCGCGCCACTGCACTCCAGCCTGGGCGACAGAACAAGACTCTGTCTCAAAAAAAAAAAAAAAAAAAAAATCTTAAAGAAGAAACATAAGAGATTTGTTTGTGAAAAGCTGAAACAAATAATGTTTAATTTTTTTCAGAGACAAGGTTTCACTCTGTCACCCAGGCTGGAATGCAGTAGTGTGATCACAGCTCACCGCAGCCTCAACTGCCCAGGCTCAAGTAATCCTCCCACCTCAGCTCCCCATAGTAACTGCCACTACAGGCACGTGCAACCACGACCGGCTAATTTTTGCAGTTTTTGTATTCTTTGCAGAGATGGGGTTTTGTCATGTTGTCCAGGCTGGTCAAGAACTCCTGGACTCAAGGGATCTGCTCACCTTGGCCTTCCGAAGTGCTGCGATTACAGGCGTAAGCCACCTTGCCCAGGCTAAGAATTTTTTAAAAGCTGATAAGAACTTAAAAAGAGTTATACTTCCTTAGTATGAGAATTGTATTGTGGTTATACAAGATAATGTCCCTGTTCTTCTGAACAGGAAGTGGAAAACGTCGACAATTCTCAAATGGCTCAGAAAAAAAAGAAAAACAGAGACATAAACATGGCAAAATGTTAACTAATAAATCTTTGTGAAGGGTGTATGGGTAGTAATAACACAACTTTTCTTTAGGTTTGAAATTTTTCTTTTTTTTTTTTTTTTGAGACAGTCTCACTCTGTCACCCAGGCTGGAATGCAATGGCATGATCTCGGCTTACTACAACCTCCGCCTCTCGGGTTCAAGCGATTCTCCTGCCTCAGCCTCCCAAGTAGCTGGGATTACAGGTGCACGCCACCACACCCGGATAATTTTTGTATTTTAGTAGAGACAGGGTTTCACATTGTTGGCCAGGCTGGTCTTGAACTCCTGTCATCAGGTGATCCACCCGCCTCAGCCTCCCAAAGTGCTGGTATTACAGGCGTGAGCCACCACACTGGATCTTAGGTTTGAAATTCTTCTAAATGCAAAAATCAATACAGGACTGTCCCTCAAAAGGAGTTATAATACTGAAAGAAGCGTCAACATACAGAAATGTCATGAATAAAAAAGGAATGCCTGGGAACTAGGAATGTATCTGTGCTCCATCTTCCACCACTTCAAAGAAACTGCTTTCCCCAATTATCAAAGATCTCCTTGTCAATACTCAATATATGCTCTTCACATTTTGTTTTGACTGCTCCTTCCTCCTTTCTCAAGTTTCTTCTTTCATGACCCACCCGTCGGCGTATCCCTAGGGTTCTACACTTGGTCCTCTTCTCTTCTGAGATATCTAATCCATTTCCATGAGTATACACTAACACTTTAACGACCTCCAAACATCTCTCTTTAATACCACTTTCCCAAGATACACATTCTTTTTTTATTTTTATTTTTTTTTTGAGACAGGGTCTCACTCTGTCATGCAGGCTGGAGTGCAGGGGCACAATCACGGCTCACCGCAGCCTCGACCTCCTGGGCTCAGGTGATCCTCCCACCTCAGTTTCCTGAGTAGCTAGGACTACAGGCCGCCACCATGCCTGGCTAATTTTTGTATTTTTTGTAGAGACTGGGTTTCGCCATGCTGCCCAGGCTGATCTCAAACTCCTGGGCTCAAGCGATCTGCCTGCCTCAGCCTCCCAAAGTGCTGGGATTACAGGTGTGAGCCACCGCGCCCGGCCCAACACGGTCATATGTACAACTACTCCACACATGTCCTGACCAAACTCATTATCTGCCTCTCACCTCAATCTTGCTTTTCCTCCCATCCATATGTCCTATCTCAGTTTCTGGCCTGAAGCCTAAACCTTGTTCAATGTCTAAATTTCCCTTTAAAGCAGAGGTTCTTTACAGTTTTTGTGCTCTGGATTCTGTAGTAGGCAGAATTTTGGCCCCACGACCTTCACTTTCTGGTGTCATGCGGGTGAATATGTTATATTACACAGCAAAAGGGACTTCACAAACGTAATTAAGGTTACCAGTCGACAGTAACATAGGGAGATTATCCTGGATTTTACAGGTGGTTCCAAAGTAATCACATGAGCTCTTAAAAGTAGAGAATTTTCTCTGGCTGTAGACAAGTGATGGAGCAAAAGGGGAAGCAACACATATCTGAAGGGCAGGAAAGATTCGATGTGTCATTACAGGCTTCAAAATAAAGAAAACTGCATGTCAAGGAAACAGGGACCTCTGTTCTACAACCACAATATTTACGGTAGATCTATCTGACTGTCAAAATACCAAAGTGCTCCACGTGGCCAAATAAAAGGGCAATTCCTTCCAGGACCCCAAAACGGGAGTCTGGTCCCTCTGCATATGACCCCTGTCTGTGTCGAGTTAAGGGTGTTCCTCTCCTTACTATACCTACAGAAGAAAATCTTTATTGTGTAACCAAACTTTAAAAGTCCTCCACAGTCGGCTCTGAAACTACGTATCCCAGAGAGGGGAACATCTCCTGCATCTGTTCATCCGGAAAGACAGGCACACTTCAGACCCTTAAAACCAGACCGTGCGTTAAGGGCAACGCACGCGCCAGACCTCCAGTAAATAGGCGAGTTAAAAAAAAAAAAAAAAGAAAATAAAAGAAAGAAAGAAAGAAAAGAAGAAGAAAGAAAGAGAGAAAGAGACAGAGAAAGAGAAAGAGGAAAAAAAGAAAAAAAAAAAAAAAAAGCACAATCCATAAGGGGAAATTCCGGCCGGAGAAAACAGAGAATGGAAGACTCCGGAGGAGTACTAGAAAAATCGAGCCTTCCACCCGCTACAGGTATCCCTGAGGCGTCGGGCACGAGACCCCGCTCCCAGCAGGCCTCCAGGCCGCCCCTTGCCCGGCTCCTTCGCACCGCCTGCTCCAGCAAGGAGGAGGGCGGCGCGCAGGAGGCCAGCGCTGGGGACCAGGAACCCTACCTCTCAGCGATGTAAAGGGTACCAGTGCCGAGGCCCTTCCCGTTCAGCACAGCCTCAGTGTCTGGCTGCTGCCGCAGGAGCCCCTCCGCTGGCCCAGGCGGCGGGAAACTTTTGAGGAAGCTCATAGCAGCAGAGTGCGGCAACACAGGCCCTGAGGGAGTTGGAGCACAGCAATGCGTGCACCACACCGCCCGCCCTGGAAGAGGCAGTCACCCCGGAAGAACAACTTAGTCTGCCCCGGAATCTGAACGCCGTCGACCATAGAGATGAGACATTCTAGGAAAAGCGGCGGAGGTCGGCTAAGAACGTGTGGAGTTTGACCGCGCAACACCCTTCCCCTTCTTCCTCGCCATTTCTGAGGCTTTGGGCTTCAATAACTGAGGGTTCTGTGGGAAGTCCCTCAGGATTGTCACAGTGAAACCACCACTGCAAAATTATAACTGAGACACTGAAAGCGATCTGACCTACCCAAATCCATGTTGTTTCTAACCTCCAAACTGTCCTTGTTCATTGCTGGATATAGGCTGAACTAACTTTGGGAGGAACTTAGTTTACAGTTTGAAGTTTAAAACAAAGATGATGACAGCCTTTTCCCAAAACAAACTTCCTTCTTGCCTGGGGACTGGACTGCCTTTGTAGGACTAACAAATCAGCCACAAGATTAGAAATTATGGTTTAGATTAGAAATTACAGCTGCAAGCTACAAGATTCTGACCCTCCCTAAACTGCACCTAAGATCGGTGCTTGAGATATGTTGCAGACCCTGCACTTGATGGATCAGCTGGCACCACCAGATGGATAAACTGGCTATGTGATCTTGTGCCCCCTCCCCACCAACCCAGGAACTGACTCAGCGCAAGAGGACAGCTTCAACTCCCTGTGACTTCATCTCCCACCCAACCAATCAGCACTCTTGACTCACTGGCCTTCCCCAACCTGCCAAATTATCCTTAAAAACTTGGATCCCTGGCTGGGCGCGGTGGCTCACGCCTGTAATCCCAGCACTTTGGGAGGCCGAGGCGGGCGGATCACGAGGTCAGGAGATCAAGACCATTCTGGCTAACATGGTGAAACCCCGTCTCTACTAAAAATACAAAAAAATTAGCCGGGTGTGGTGGCAGGCGCCTGTGGTCCCAGCTACTGGGGAGGCTGAGGCAGGAGAATGGCGTGAACCCGGGAGGCAGAGCTTGCAGTGAGCCGAGATAGCGCCACTGCACTCCAGCCTGGGCGACAGAGCGAGACCCCGTCTCAAAAAAAAAAAAAAAACAACAAAAAACAAAAAACAAAAAAACTTTGATCCCTGAATGCTCTGGGAAACTGATTTGAGTAAAAATAAAACTCTAGGCCGGGTGCAGTGGCTCATGCTTGTAATCCCAGCACTTTGGGAGGCCGAGGCGGGCAGATCACGAGGACAGGAGATCGAGACCAGCCTGGCTAACACGGTGAAACCCCGTCTCGACTAAAAATACAAAAACAAAATTAGCCGGGCGTGGTGGCAGGTGCCTGTAGTCCCAGCTACTCGGGAGGTTGAAGCGGGAGAATGGCGTGAACCCGAGAGGCGGAGCTTGCAGTGAGCCGAGGTCGCGCCTTGGCACTCCAGCCTGGGCGACAGAGAGAGACTCCGTCTCAAAACAACAACAACAAACTCTAGTCTCCTGCACAGCAGCTCTGCGTGAATTACTGTTTTTCTGTTACAATTTCCATCTTGATAAATCAGCTCTGTCTAGGCAACAGGCAAGGTGAACCCATTGGGCCATTACAGCAGCAACCCTGTTACAACCCTGTAACCCAGTTACATACAACCCTGTTGTAACTGCCCAATGGGATCACCGTGCCTGCTGCTTAGACAGAGCCTATTTATCAAGACAGGGGAATTGCAATAGAGAAAGAGTAATACACCGGTGGCAATGGCTCACGCCTGTAATCCCAGCATTTTGGAGGCCGAGGCGGACGGATCACCTGACGTCGGGAATTCGAGACCAGCCTGACCAACATGGAGAAACCCCGTCTCTACTAAAAATGCACAATTAGCCTGGCGTGGTGGCGCATGCCTGTAATCCTAGCTACTCGGGAGGCTGAGGCAGGAGAATTGCTTGAACCCGGGAGGCGGAGGTTGCGGTGAGCCGAGATCACGCCATTGCACTCCAGCCTGGGCAACAAGAGCGAAACACTGTCTCAAAAAAAAAAAAAAAAAAAAAAAAAAACAAAGAGAGAAAGACTAATACATGGAGTCCCTTGCCAAAGGATGCATAGGACATAGAGACCACTCATCTGGAGCTCAGAAGTCTCCCAACTCGGTTATGATGTTCTGATCTGGCCACCCCGTCCCCATCTCCTGGGACTGTTCACATCTCAGGTATACACAACCAAGTAGCATACATCAATCTAGGTCCTTATACTGCCCTAGTGCACAAGCCACGTCCCCACGTGTCAGGTGGGCAGATAAGTATAAAGGGTTAATAAGGGCAGGGTGAAGAGCTAGCTACATCAGTAAGGAGCTGGGGCACTGACTGGAAAGGAATTAATCCACCAAAATTGCAATTGATGTTTTGTTTCTTCGTTAGGCACTAAAGAGTATAGTAGTAATAGGAAGAAAGACTTCCAAAATCGTCATAATGGTAGCTAAAGTTAACGAGTGTTCTGTGCCAGGCTCTCTTCCAGGCACTTTACCTGCACTTTGCTTGCATCATCTCTTCATTTACTCTTTGCAAGTTTGTGAAGTTACTATTATTGACCCACTTTACAGATGAGAGACCTGAGGCATTAAACTCAAGAGCAATAATTTGGCCATGAGAGAACAAGTGAAATTCAAGTAAATCCCCTTGTAAACTCAGTATGGTAATACCTTTGCAGTAGGACTGCTGAGGCTGGAGGACAGGATGTGTGGGGTAGTTTTGTTTCTATCTTCTCAACAGTTAGGCTGGCATTAAATTTTTAACGTGTTTGAGATCAGCCTGGGCAACATAGTGAGACCCCCATCTCTACCAAAAAATAAATAAATAAATTAGCCCAGCATGGTGGCATGTGCCTGTGATCCCAGCTACTTGGGAGGCTGAGGTGAGAGGATCATTTGAGCCTCAGAAGTGGAGGCTACAGTGAGCCATGATTGTGCCACTGCACTCTAGCCTGGGTGGCAGAGCAAGACTCCATCTCAAAAAAATTTTTTTTTCCTTTAACGTAGACTAGTTTGTTGGTAGTGTTAAAGTGAATTAAATATGGGTTGAGGAGGGCTCTGTACTTCTATATTTGAGTCCTTGTGGATGCACTGTAACCTAAGTTAATAGGGAGATAACTTTGAAAACCTAACTTAGGAGTATTCACCTGTAACAATAGTTGAGCCTTGGCCAATCCCAGCAGCCATACTTCAACAACTCATACACTGTTGAGTGTTCAAACTGTGTTCAAATAAGGCAGATGCCAACCTGTAACCAACCCAGCTGTTTCTGTACCTCACTTCCAATTCTTGTACATCACTTCTCTTGTTTTTTGTCTAT
Source organism: Homo sapiens (assembly GCF_000001405.40). NCBI lineage: Eukaryota > Metazoa > Chordata > Mammalia > Primates > Hominidae > Homo > Homo sapiens. The sequence goes on from NC_000011.10 coordinate 77,641,084, forward strand.
AAATTTGTTGTGACCATGAGGCATCCCTGGAATCTCTCTGAATCTGCTGTGATTCTGGGGGCTGCTTGATTTGCAAATTATTCATTGCTCAATTAAACTCCTTGAAATTTAATTCTGCTGAAGTTTTTCTTTTAACAGATGGTGTCAGAAGTGGGATCTGAAGTAGAGGTTGTAACGATCCCCAGGAGTGCTGAGTGAACAAGCAAGTTACCTGCAGAATCCACTGTGTCCTTTGATCTGTCACAGCAGCTGGGGTTCCTGGTAAGTTCTCTCTCAGATTTCAGAGCTCCACAGATTAGTGTTTTGAGCTCTCTGAGTTCCTTTTTTTTTTTTTTCTGAGACAGAGTTTTGCTCTTGTTGCCCAGGCTGAGTGCAATGGCGAGATCTTGGCTCACTGTGACCTCCGCCTCCTGGGTTCAAGCAATTCTCCTGCCCCCTCCTGAGTAGCTGGGATTACAGGCATGCACCACCACACCCAGCTAATTTTTTATATTTTTAGTAGAGATGGGGTTTCTCCATGTTGGCCAGGCTGGTCTGGAGCTCCTGACCTTCAAGTGATCCACCCACCTCAGCCTCCCAAAGTGCTGGGATTACAGGCATAAGCCACCACACCCGGCCAGCTCTCTGAGTTTCTTTGAGCAAATTTCTTTTCCAAACTAGGTTTAGAAGTTGCGACAGAAACTAGACTGGGTCCAGGATCAAATTTGATCTGGTAATTAACTGGCTTGAATCCAGTTAGAGGCCTTTTATATCTGACTAGGCCAGAAAGAAACTGGTAGTACGTGGTGGTATTGTTGGGGTTGTAAAATTTGGCTTTTGAAAATTCACAGGGATTTTTCTGTTCCTCCCCTTTATTTCATTTTTTTTGCTTGCTTAGGTAGGAAAAAATCATTGGCTAAGCTGATCAAGGGAAACTGAAAGTGAAGCCAATATCTTAGGTAAAAATAGATCCTTAATTTCTGGAGGACTGAGTTTCTTCCAGCTTATACCTGCATAAGTGTTAGGCCTGGGAAGCAGCAGAGCCTTACAGAAATGGCAAAATTTTACTAAACATAACTTACAGTGGAAAGTTTCAACTGAACAACAATGCACTGAAGTGCATTTAAAAATGAGGGCTCCCAAATTAGTCTCATCTAGGGATGCCTATTAATATGCAGAAGCTTCTAAAAAGATTTAAAGATGACAGGGCCCATCCAGGGGCAAGTTTGAGTCTTGCCCGTTTGATATTGGGTGCTAAGTGGAGTGGCTAATGTCTATGTTTTGTCACATGTATTTTGCTCTGGCCAATGTGGAAAAAGATAAATTCTCTTTGTGTTGCAACTTGGCCCCCAGGGCTATAGTGCAGTGAGCCAGGTTACTAGAACAACTCAGGGAAAAGGCAACCAGCAAAAGTGAAAGGATTTCTTACCAATCAGATGTCTGTCCTCTCTCTGTGCAAACCAGTTGAATGAATGATAACAATCACTGTTTATATCCTCTGTAAAGTTTTTCTTAATGCAACAAAGGATTTTAAGGCTCTTGTTAAACAGTAGCGAATCTGGTGGGCTTTGTGTGTCTTTCTGTATGCGTCTGTCATAAAGAGAAGTACCTTAGGATAAAACAAAAGGACCCCATAAGCCCGCTGTTCAAACCACCCCAGCAAACTAGTCAGTTCCAAACTTTGCTACAAGTCTCTTAAGAAAAAACAAAAAAACAAAAAACAAACCAACAAAAAAAAACAGAAAAACTGGATGAGGTCTCCATCTTGTTTCATGTCCTTAGGAGCCTGACCTTGTAACCATGTGAGAGTACTTTCTCTTGGTCTCCATTTTCCAGGAAACAGGAATTTGGGGGTTCATGTCATAGTTAGCTCCAAAAATCATTTTCAGGAGTTAAAAGTGTTTGCAAGCTCAAAATTAACTACCTTAGACTCCTTCTGGGAAGGGCAACAGAAAGAGCTCGGTGCTGTAGCTCAGCAGCTAAGGCTTTGCCATTTTACAGTGGTGGCCTGAGTTCAATTCCTGGCTCAGGATATGAGTACTTTCTGGGTGATATTTGTGTGACTTTTTTTTGTTCCTTTTTTTTTTTTTTTTGAGACGGAGTCTTGCTCTGTTGCCCAGGCTGGAGTACAGTGGTGTGATCTCGGCTCACCGCAGACTCCGCCTCCTGGGTTCAAGAGATTCTCCTGACAGACACCCGAGTAGCTGGGATTACAGGCGCCCACCACCATGCCTGGCTAAGTTTTTTGTATTTTTAGTAGAGAGGGTTTCACCATGTTGGCCAGGCTGGTCTCGATCTCCTGACCTCGCGATCTGCCCACCTCAGCCTCCCAAAGTGCTGGGATTATAGGCATGAGCCACCACACCTGGCCTGTGTGACCTTAATCATTTGTTAATTCTCTTCCCCTCCATGAACAACTTCAGGGTTCCCTTCTTGAATTTTCCTTTCTCTAAACACCTGGGAGGTTACCTTTTGTAAAGTTCAAAGTCCAGAAATTTTGGCCACTTGGCATGGCTAAAGTCAGGTAATAAGAGATCTAAGAGGATTTTAAAAAGAGCACTATGGTTAAAAGTCAGCTTAATTAAAAGTGGATATCTGCCAGGAGCAGTGGCTGGCAGCTATAATCTCAGCACTTTGGGAGGCTGAAGCAGGAAGATTGCATTAGCCCAGGAGTTTGAGACCAGCCTGGGCAACATGGTGAAACCCCGTCTCTACAAAAAAATACAAAAATCAGCCAGGCGTGGTGTTGTGGGCCTGTGGTCCCTGCTACTCGGGAGATTGAGGCAAGAAAATCACTTGAATCTGGGAGGTGGAGGCTACAGTGAGCTGAGACTGCACCACTGCACTCCAGCCTGGGAGAAAGAGTGAGCCTCCATCTCAAAAAAGAAGTGGATATCCAATAGGTATATTTAAAAGGCCTTTATGCTTTTTTTTTTATCTTGGATCTTGTTGTTCTAGAAAAAAGTTTTTTCTTTTCAGTCAACTGAATTATTTTTCTCCATTTTTTCTTGCCACTCAATGCATGCATGAGAGGCTCTAAGATAGCTTCTAATAGCCTGAGACTCCTTGGGAAAAACAGAGGAGGTGCCACACAATCCGTTTTGGGAAAAACCTCTGTTTTCTTCATGGAACCCCAGGAATTGAAAGTAGATAGATCCTTCTCAAAATCTTTGTTTTTGTTTTTTTCTCTCCTTCCTTCCTTCCTTCCTTCCCTCCATCCCTCCTTCCTTCCTTCCCTCCCTCCTTCCTTCCTTCCTTTTCTCTCTCCCTCCCTCCCTCCCTCCTTCCTTGCTTCCTTCCTTCCTTTCCTTTTCTTTCTTTTTTTTTGAGACAGAGTCTCACTCTGTCCCCCAGGCTGGAGTGCAGTGGGGCAATCTCGGCTCACTGCAGCCTCCGCCTCTAGGTTCAAGATTCTCCTGCCTCAGCCTCCTGAGTAGCTGGGACTACAGAGGTGTGCCACCACACATGGCTAATTTTTGTGTTTTTAGTAGAGATGAGGTTTCATCATACTGCCAGATTGGTCTCGAATTCCTGACCTCAAGTGATCTGCCTGCCTTGGCCCCCTAAAGTGCTGGGATTATAGGTATGAGCCACCACACTGGCCAGGGATCAGTTTTTAAGGATAATTTGGTGGGTATGGGGTGCCGGTGAGTCGGGAGTGCTGATTGGTCAGAGATGAAATCACAGGGAGTCCAAGCTGTCTTCTTGTGCTGAGTCAGTTCCTGGGTGGGGGCCACAGGATCAAATGAGCCAGTTTATTGAGCTGGGTGGTGCCAGCTGATCCATCAAGTGCAGGGGCTGCAAAACATCTCAGGCACAGATCTTAGGCCTTACAATAGTGATGTTATCCCCAGGAGCAATTTGGAGAGGGTCAGAATTGATCTTTTGGCTAATTTGTTAGTCCTACTTAGGCAGTCTAGTCCCCAGGCAAGATGTGGGTTTGTTTTGGGAAAGGGCTGTTATTGTCTTTGTTCTAAACTGCGGATTATAAACTAAGTGCCTCCCAAAGTCAGTTCAGCTAATGCCCAGGAATGAATAATGACAGCTTGGAGTTAGAGGCAAGATGGAGTTGGTTAAGTCAGATGTCTTTCAGTGTCTCAGTTATGATTTTGGAGTGGCAATTGTAACCTCAGCCTCTTGAGTAGCTGGGAGTACAGGTGTGTACCACTATGCCTAACAGATTAAAAAAATTTTTTTTCTAGAGATGAAGTCTCACTATGTTGCCCAGGCTGGTCTCAAACTCCTGGGCTCAGGTGATCCTTCTGCCTTGCCTCCCAAAATTCTGGGATTACAGATGTGAGCCACCATGCCTGGCTACTTTGTAAAAGAACTCCTTCTCACCCATCATCTAAGACAAATAGCATGAGTATGATTATATGCTGAGTCCTATGCATCCTCCTGTCCATCCTAAGAGTTGTCTTGATGACCCTGACACAGTACGTGTCAAAAGTGAAATTCACTAGAATGACCCTGACTCAATGATATGTGGTCCACGCATTGTTTGGGTAGAGGAAAGATGAAGGGGAATGGGGTATGATGAATCTTTGGTGCCTGGGTGGCTATGGAATCATCCATGGTATAATAAAGCAGCTGAAACTCTGTTGTGAGGGGCAGAAGTTACCTATGGAATTTTAAAATGATAGCTCCAACTCCAGGAGATTTGGCTTAGTGGAACCCCTGGCTGCTTTTGGCTCTTCAGGCTAACACAGGGTTGGGGAGGGATGCAGTCCAGATGATACCTTTTATATTTGTTCTGTCTTCCAGGTGGAAAAAATAACCTCTCTTCCAGGTGGGGGGAAAAAAGATAACATTAGAGTTCAGGGCTACAGTAAAATTTTAGACAAAACAGAGGGAGAAGAATACCCCAACTCATTCTTCAGCCTAGCTGCTGCCACTGATGCAGCAGACCCACCATGCCCACTCCTTAGATTCCAGCCAAGATCTTCTCTGGAAACTCAAATGTTAACCCTGTAAATGCTGAATTTACTACTGAGGTTTGAGTAAATTTGCAGTGAGAGCAAAAAAATGGGGAATTTAAAAAAATGGTTTCGTATTTTGTGGCTGTTATATCTGGATGTATAAACATTGACGTAAAATGTTATATGCTTCTAATTTCTTTCTTTTTGTTTGTTTGTTTGTTTGTTTGTTTGAGACAGACTTTCCCTCTTGTTGCCCAGGCTGGAGTGCAATGGCACAATCTCGGCTCACCGCAACCTCCGCCTCCCGGGTTCAAGCAATTCTCCTGCCTCAGCCTCCCGAGTAGCTGGGATTACAGACATGTGCCACCATGCCCAGCTAATTTTGTATTTTTAGTAGAGACAGGGTTTCTCCATGTTGATCAGGCTGGTCTCGAACTCCTGACCTCACATGATCCATCCGCCTCAGCCTCCCAAAGTGGTGGGACACAGAGCCACTGAGCCTGGCCTATATGCTTGTAATTTCATAAATGCTGGAGGAACCATTCCAATCATGGAAAGCTGCAAAGACAACATGTTAATGATCAACACCTGTGAAAAGAAGGGAATGAAAATAAAAATTAAAGAGAGAAAAAGGAAAACGCATTAGTGAAATGACTTAATTAACTCATTTTGTGGTCAAAACCTTGCTTTTTTGTGGACACATTAGAATATAAGTTCATTGAGTACTGGAAACAGAACAATTCTCCATAACTTCTTCTTCTTCTTCTTCTTCTTCTTCTTCTTCTTCTTCTTCTTCTTATTATTATTATTATTATTATTATTAGAGACAGTCTCACTCTGTTGCCCAGGCTGGAGTGCAATGGCGTGATCTCGGCTCACTGCAATCTCTGCCTCCCGGGTTCAAGCGATTCTCCTACCTCAGCCTCCCAAGTAGCCGGGATTACAGGCGCCCATCACTACACCTGGCTAATTTTTTTTGTATTTTTAGTAGAGACGGGGTTTCACCATGTTAGTCAAGCTGGTCTTGAACTCCTGACCTCAGGTGATCCGCCTGCCTTGGCCTCCCAAAGTGCTGGGATTACATGCATGAGCCACCATGCCTGGCCCATAACTATTTATACTACAATTTTTGCTTATTAGAGCTTCAGGAAAATGGGAGGCAACATGAAAAGGCAATCTCCAGAGAGATATATTTTTGGAGTTTCAAAAGCAGTTTTTATTTTGGTAATAAGCTTTTGTGAAATCAGACACTTGACCCTTAAGAGACAGATGATTTTCTGGCCTGATACGCGATTTTTTTTTTCTTTTTTTTTTTTTGAGACAGAGTTTTAGTCTTGTTGCCCAGGCTGGAGTGCAATGGTGCCATCTCAGCTCACTGCAACCTCTGCCTCCCGAGTTCAAGCGATTCTCCTGCCTCAGCCTGCCGAGTAGCTGGGATTACAGACAAGCGCCACCACGCCCGGCTAATTTTATATTTTTAGTAGAGATGGGGTTTCACCATGTTGGCCAGGCTGGTCTCAAACTCCCGACCTCAGATGATCCGCCCGCCTCGGCCTCCCAAAGTGCTGGGATTACAGGCATGAGCCACCGCGCCTGGCCGATGTGTGATTTTTAAGTGGGTCATTTTGGACTATAAGACTAATAAGACAAAAAGGGTCAGTGGAATCCTGCTTGTCACTTAGATTTGGAACACAGTTTTGTGGTCCTGAAGCATATTGACTTTGCTGGTGCTGAAGAAGCTACTGGCTTTTATGTTATCCTGAATTCACAGACCCTAATTGCCTGGAACTCACACTACATAAAACTAGATACTGTCTGTTATGGGCCTGTTTCAGTCTCAACATGAGCTGTGCAGAACTGAAAGCAGACATATGCTCAAAAACAGCTCTTCCACTCATGGACCACTGCAGATTTAGGACAGTCCTTTGTGGGGCCATAAATTGTGAAAACATCAGGGAAACTGGCTGGTCCATCTGGGTCACTTGCAGATACCTACAAGAAAGTGTTTATTCTCCGATGAGATTGTGTGAAATTAAATTACTCATCATCTCTATATTTTGGATGCAGAGACTGATTGCATTCCTAATGTGTGATCCCTGCCAAAAGCTGCAACTTAGGGGAGGGCACATCACAAACAGTATGAGCCCTCTGACAGATTAGACTCAACCCTTTCTCAGGAATGCCTCACTACTGTTGACTCGTGCTTGAATTTCCTAATTATTTGCAGTTTCAACAATGGATTGATGATACCCTAACCCTACTTCTCTCATCTTTCTCCTGGTACACAAATCTAAGTGCAGCTTGATTGTAAAATGCCGCTATCTTCAGAAAAGCAAGGCTTTTCTAGGATGCTCACTGGATAAATAATCAGGATTAAAGGGCTGAGAAGTTATATAAACCCATTTTGAAAATGCATGAAAATTCAGGATGTTGTCCTGACCAACTTCTGAACATGATGTGTCTTTTTGATTAAGTGGTATAAAAATATTTTTCTGTGAAAATTCTTTTTCTATTTTTTCATTTATTATTTTTGTCTTTATTTTTATTCTTATTCTTCATTTTCTTTTTTTTTTTTCTTTATTTAGGTGTTAAGAAACTGTTCTATAATATCGGTGAAAATTCTTTTGTCCTTCTTACATACAACTCCTCCAGACAAAAGGTCCGGGTTAGAGTATGGGATGAAAAAAATGTAAGATATTGATCACTGACTAAATGGAACACACTGATTTTGTAAACGTGTAGGAAAACAGAGCCCCAGCACCTGGGGAGGCCTGGTTGAGGGCAAGGGCAAGAAGGGAATTGATGTTCTTGTTTTTCAGAGTTGTTTCTGGAAACTTTCCCCTCTTACTGAACAAAAACTTCCCGTGCTGCCTTTCCGAGCTGCTTTGAGCACCTTTTATTCAAACTGACTTCTAAGCCTATGATCACAGCTGATAGAGCTGACTTTGAGACAGCAAGAGTGGTCCCTGCTCCTCAGCTTTCCAGGCAGAACACTTACGGATGTCATCCACACTCATGAGACTGATGAATTGATGTCAAGGACAAGCAAAACTGTTTGGAACTGGCCGGGCGCAGTGGCTCACACCTGTAATCCCAGCACTTTGGGAGGCCAAGGCTAGGCGGACCACAAGGTCAGGAGATCGAGATCATCCTGGCTAACATGGTGAAACCCCATCTCTACTAAAAATACAAAAAATTAGCTGGGTGTGGTGGGGGGTGCCTGTAGTCTCAGCTACTCGGGAGGCTGAGGCAGGAGAATGGCGTGAACTTGGGAGGCGGAGCTTGCAGTGAGCTGAGATGGCGCCACTGCACTCCAGCCTGGCAGACAGTGAGACTCCCTCTCAAAAAACAAACAAACAAACAAACAAACAAACAAAAGCTGTTTGGAACTGACTGCAGTACCTCTGATATCAAGAACTGAGCTGAATTGTTTTATTTTATTTTATTTTAATTTTAAAGACAGGATCTCATTCCATCCAGACTGGAGTGCAGTGGCTCTATCATGGCTCACTGTAGCCTTGACCTCATGGGCTCAAGCAATCCTCCCACCTCAACCCCAAGTAGCCGGGACCACAGGCACATGCCACCATGCCCAGCTAACTTTTGTATTTTTTGTAGAGACCAGGTTTTGCCATGTTGTCCAGGCTGGTCTCAAACTTCTGAGTTCAAGCAATCCATCTGCCTCAGCCTCCCAAAGTCCTGGAATTATAGGCATGAGCCACCAGGCCTGACCTGAGCTGAATTATTTCAGACTACAGTGGGAACCCATGGGTTAGAGGCCCCATGGTGGGAGGCCACATTGGGCACTCTGTTAACCTGTACTGCCTGACTAATGCATATTCTGTTTTGCAGTGCCCTAATTATTATAAACTCTTTTACAATAAGGTGTCTTTTGCTCTTATATAAGAGCCAAGAGGTTGGATTGTGCAAAAAAAAAAAGACTATCATAGCAAACCTGAGAATACTTATCATTAGAAAGACCTGCTTACAAGCTTAGCACTTCACTAGTGCCTGGGAACTTTGATTTTGAGACGATTCCTACTACCCTGGCTGTAGAGGGGCTCACTGTGCCTTGTGTTTGTGCAAACAACATGGCTTATGCTGAACACGTGCTTTCCTTCTGGGGTCTGACATTTCGGTATGTGCTAGGCAAAATGGTGTTTGTGTGACTGGCTCCCAGTAAAAACTTGCCCCTAGCCTCTAGTGAGCTGCACAGGTAGGTACCTTTTCACATGTGTTGTCATAATTAAGTCAGTCTCGTGTGACTCCTCTGAGAGAGGACCTTTGGAAGCATGTACTTAATTACCTCGTTTCTGCCCATGGGCCATGTCCCTTTGCTGATTATGTTTTTTATCTTTTCACTGTAATAAATGACAGCTGTCAGTCCTCCTGGTGAATCATTGATCCTGGAGTGATCTTGGAGATTCCCGACACAGTAGCCAAGTGGGATTTATCCCAGGAATGAAAGGTTGATTGAACATATGAAAATTAATGTAATACACCATATTACTAAAGGGAGAAGCCATATAACCATCTCAATGGATACAGAAAAAGCATTTGACAAAATCCAACTCCCTTTCATGATAAAAAGACTGGCAAACTAAAAAATTAGGAGAGGAAGGTAACTTCCTCAATCAGATAAAAGACATCTATGAAAACCCTCAGCTAACTTCATACTTAATTGTGAAATACTGAATGTTTTCACCTAGGATCGCGAACAACAGAAGGGTGTCCATTTTCGCTATGTTTCTTCATTGTACTGGAGGTTCTAGCCAGGCAATTAGGCGAGAAAAATAAACAAAAGGAATCCCTCTATTTCTAGTCACAGATGACATTATCTTGTATCTAGAAAATCTTAAGGGAATCCACGTCAGAAAATTTATTAGAGCTAAATAAAGTTCAGCAAGGTTACAGGTTACAAACTCAATATACAAAACTCAGGGCCAGGTGCGGTGGCTCATGCCTGTGTGAGCTGGGGCACTTCGGGAGGCTGAGGTGGATGGATCACAAGGTCAGGAGTTCGAAACCAGCCTGGCCAATATGGTGAAAACCTATCTGTACTAAAAATACAAAAAAAAAATTAGCCAGGCGTGGTGGCAGGTGCCTGTAATCCCAGCTACTCAGGAGGCTGAGGCAGGAGAATTGCTTGAATCCGGGAGGCGGAGGTTGCAATGAGCCGAGATCATGCCACTGCACTCCAGCCTGGGCGACCGAGCAAGACTCCATCTAAAACAAAAACAAAACAAAACAAAAAACCTCAGGTGTATTTTTTTTTCTTATTACACTTGTAGTAAAATACACATCATGTAAAATTTACAATCTGAACCATTTTCAGGTATACAGTTCAGTGGTGTTAAATACATTCACATTGTTTTGCAACCATTACCACCATCTATCTGGAAAACTCTTTTCATTTTACTAAACTGAAAATCTATACCCATTAAACAAAAACACTTCATTACCCTCCTGCCTAAGCCCCGGGCAACCACCATTCTACTGTCTGTATGAATTTAATGATTCTAGGTACCTCACATAAGTAGTATTTGTCTTTTTGTGACTGGCTTACTTCATTTAGCATAATGTCCTCAAGGTTTATCCAAATTATAACTCATCAGAATTTTCTTCCTTTTTAAAGGAGAATAATATTCCACTGTATGTTTATACCACATTTTGATTGTATTAATCTGTTGATGGACACCTGGGTTGCTTCCAACTTTGGTTATTGTGAATAGTGCTTCTGTGAATATGGGTGTACAGATATCCCTTTGAGGCCGGGCACAGTGTCTCATGCCTGTAATCCCAGAACTTTGGGAGGCTGAGGTGAGTGGATCACTTGAGGTCAGGAGTTCGAGACCAGCCTGGCCAACATGGTGCAACCCCGTCTCTACTAAAAATACAAAAATTAGCCGGGCATGGTGGCACACTCCTGTAATCCTAGCTACTCGGGAGGCTAAGGCAGGAGAATCGCTCGAACCCAGGAGGCGGAGGACGCAGCGAGCCGAGATCACACCATTGCACTCCAGCCTGAACGACAGTGAGACTCTGTCTCAAAAAACAAACAAACAGAAAACACACACAACCAAAAAAATAGATATCCCTTTGAAAGTCTGCTTTCAGTTCTTTTCAATGTTTGCCAAGAAGCAAAATTGCTGGATCGTTTGGTAATTGTGTTTAAACATTTTTGAGAAACTGCTGTACTTCTGTATTGTTTTCCACAGCAGCTGCACCATTTTACATTCCTGCCAACAATGCTCAGGGATTCCATTTTGGGCATGTCCTCATCAACCCTTATTATTATTTTTTGTTTGTTTTTTTGACAGCAGTCAGTACGCAAGTCTTTCATCTGCTTAGTTAAGTTTATTCCTAAATAAAAATCAATTGTATTTAGGCCGGGTGCGGTGGCTCACACCTGTAATCCCAGTGCTTTGGGAGGCCGAGGTAGGTGGATCACCTGAGGTCAGGAGATCGAGACCAGCCTGACCAACATAGTGAAACCCCATCTCTACTAAAAATACAAATTAGCTGGACATGGTGGGACATGCCTGTAATCCCAACTACTTGGGAGGCTGAAGCAGGACAATCGCTTGAACCTGGGAGGCAGAGGTTGCAGTGAGCGAAGATTGCACCATTGCACTCCAGCCTAGGCAATAAGAGCAAAACTCCATCTCAAAAACAAAAAACTAAAAAACAGTTGTATTTATTTTCTGCTTAGCTTTTTTTTTTTTAGAGAGGGGTCTTGCTATGTTGCCCAGGCTGGCCTTGAACTTCTTGGTTCAAGCAGTCCTCCTGCATCAGCCCTCTGAGTAGCTGGGACTACAGTTGTATTTCTGTACACTAGCAATGAACAATACAAAAATGAAATTTGGCTGGGTACAGTGGCTCACACTTGTAATCCCAGCATTTTGGGGGGCTGAAGTGGGTGGATCATTTGAGGTCAGGCATTGACGACCAGCCTGGCCAACACAGTGAAACCCCATCTCTACTAAAAATACAAAAATTAGCCAGGCATGGTGGCACATGCCTGTAATCCCAGCTACTAGGGAGGCTGAGGCAGGAGAATCGCTTGAACCCAGGAGGCAGAGGTTGAGGTGAGCTGAGATCACGCCATTGCATTCCAGCCTGGGCAACAAGAGCGAAACTCTGTCTCAAAACAAACAGACAAACAAACAAACAAACAAACGCAATCTATATCAAAATTCCAACTGCCTTTTTTCACAGAAATTGACAAATGGAACCTAAAATTCACATGGAAATTTAAGGAGCCCAGAATAGTTAAAACAGTCTTGAATAAAAAAAAGGAGCCAAACTAAAGGACTTACATTGCCTGATTTTGTATCTTAGTAAGAAGTTACAGTGATCAACACTGTGTAGTAGTAGAATAAGGACAGATGTATAGCTCAATGGAACCAAATTGAGAATCCAGAAGTAAACCCATACATTTAGGGTCAATAGATTTTTGACAGGGATGCCAAGATAATTAAATGAAGGAAAAAATAGTATCTTTTCTTTTCTTTTTAATTTTTTGAGACAGGGTCTCACTCTGTTGCCCAGGCTGGAGTGCAGTGGTACAATCTTGGCTCACTGCAACCTCCGCCTCCCGGGTTCAAGCAATTCTCCCATCTCAGCCTCCTGAGTAGCTGGGACCTTAGGCATGCACCACCACACCCGGCTAATTGTTGTTGTTGTTGTTGTTTTCTAGAGACAGCATTTAGCCATGTTGCCCAGTCTGGTCTTGAACTCCTGAGCTCAAGCTATCTGCCTACCCTGGCCTCCTAAAGTGTTGGGATTACAAGCGTAAGCCACTGCAACTGGCCAAGAATAGTATTTTCAACAAATCGTGCTGAAACAACTGTTTAACCACATGCAAAAGAATGAATTTGGATCCTTACCTCTCATCATATACAAAAATAACTCCAAAGGGATCTAAGGCCTAAACTTAAGAGTTAAACCTCCCAGCACTTTGGGAGGCCGAGGTGGGCGGATCATCTGAGGTTGGGAGTTTGAGACCAGCCTGACCAACATGGAGAAACCCCGTCTCTATTAAAAATACAAAATTAGCTGGGCATGGCGGCGCATACCTGTAGTCCCAGCTACTCGGGAGGCTGAGGCAGGAGAATTGCTTGAACCCGGGATGCAGAGGTTGCGGTGAGCCAAGATTGTGCCATTGCACTCTAGCCTGGGCAACAAGAGTGAAACTCCATATCAGGGGGAAAAAAAAAAGAGTTAAACCAATTGGGTCAGGTGTGGTGGCTCATGCCTGTTAATCCCAGCTACTTGCAGGCTGTTGGCATGAAAACTGCTTGAACCCAAGAGGCGGAGGTTGTAGTGAGCCAGATTGTACCACTGCACTTCAGCCTGAGTGACAGAATGAGACCCTGTCTCAAAAAAAAAAAAAAAAAAAAAAAAAAAAAAAAAAGAGCTAAACCTATAAAACTCTTAGAAGAAAACATAAAATGTAAATCTTCAAGATACTGACTTAGGCAGTGTTTTCTTAGATCTCTAACATCAAGCATAGGCAACCAAAGAAAAGAAAACAGAAATTGGACACCGGCAAAGTTAAAAAACCTTTGTGTATCAAAGGACACTATCAAGAAAGTGATTTATCAGAATCATAGAAAATATTGCAAATCATATATTTGGTAAAGGTCTGGTATTCAGAATTCAGCTGGTATTTACTTATAGCTCAACAATAAAAAGACAGCTCAATTAAAAATAGGTAGAGGTTTTTGGGACATTTCCATGAAAAAAAGCAAAAAAAAAGAAAAAAGGAGGTGGGACAGAGGATTTATTTTTGTTTTTTTGTAAAGACAGGGTGTTGCTCTGTCACCCAGGCTGTAGTGCAGTGGTGCTGTCATAGCTTACTGTAACCTGAAACTCCTGGCCTCAAGCGATCCTCCCACCTTGGCCTCCCGAACTGCTGTACTGAGATTAGAGGCGTGAGCCACTGTGCCTTGCCTCTCTCTTTTTTTTTTTTTAAAGAGATGGCATCTTGCTCTGTCACCCAGGCCAGAGTGCAGTGGCATGATCATGGCTCACTGCAGCCTGCAACTCCTGGGCTCAGGTGATCCTTCTGCCTTAGCCTCCTAAACTGCTGGGACTACAGGTACATACCACCATGTTTGACTAATTTTTAAAATTTTTTTTGTATCAATGGGATCTCACTATGTTGCCCAGGCTGGTCTCAGATTCCTGGCCTCAAGCAATCTTCCTGCCTTGGCCTCCCATAGGTCTGGGATTACAGGCATAAGCCACCATTCCTGATCATAAAAATAGGCAAAGGATTTAAATGGACATTTCTACAAAGAAAATATATGAGCAGTGAGTAAGCGCATGAGAAGATGCTCAACATCATTAATCACTAGGAAATGCAAATCAAAACCACAATGAGATACCACTTCATATCCCCTAGAATAGCCATAATAAAAAGACTGTCAATAATAAATATTGTTGATGTGGAGAAATTGGAACACTTGTGCATTGCTAGTGGGAATGTAAAAAGGTGCAGGCACTGTGTAAAACAGGTTCAAATTTCTTCAAAAGTTAAACATAGAGTTATCATATGATCCAGCAATTCCACTCCTAGGTATGCACTCAAGAATGAAAAACATGCATGCACACTCAAAGCTTGTACATGAATGTTTATTATTTCTAATAGCCCTGACCATTCATAGCCTCAAAGTGGAAATTACTCAAATGTTCAAATGGATAAACAAGATGTGGCATATACATACAGTAGAATATTATTCATGCATATAAAAGAATGAAGTGGCCGGGCGCGGTGGCTCACACCTGTAATCCCAGCACTTTGGGAGGCCGAGGTGGGTGGATCACCTGAGGTCAGGAGTTCAAGACCAGCCTGGCTAACACGGTGAAACCCTATCTCTACTAAAAATACAAAAATTAGCCAGGCATGGTGGCACACGCCTGTAATCCCAGCTACTCGGGAGGCTGAGGCAGGAGAATTGCTTGAACCCGGGAGGCAGAGGTTGCAGTGAGCTGAGATCATGCCACTGCACTCCAGCCTGGGTGACAGAGCAAGACTGTAAAAAAAAAAAAAGAAGTACTAACTTATGCTATTACATGACGAACCTTGAAAACATGTTAAATAAAAGACATTAGATCCGTAAGGGCTATACAGTGTGATTCCATTTATATGAAATGTCAAGAAGAGGCACATTTGTAGAGATAGAAAGTAATAGTACTTGGCAGGGACTACGGAGGAAATAGGTAGTCACTACTAATGAGTAGGGCGTTTTTAGGGTGTTGACAACCTTGTGAATATGCTTGATGAGGCAGGAGAATAGGGTCTGGAGGCAGGGAACCTAAGGCCATTTCACATCACTTCTTAGAACCAAGTTGAAAAGAAAACTCATAACTTTCCACAGCCTAAGTAACAAAAGGACCAGAGGCTACTACTCCCTTTGCAAACCCCCCACCTTTTCTGCTGGGCAGTTGGGAAACTGGCTGCCTGAAACCAATCAGACTGTTTGCCGGCCGGTCTTCGTTTGCAACTTTCTAACTTTACCTTAGCCTCTGATTGGTTGCAAAAAGAGGAGAGTGAGCGTTGTACCCTCCACTTCAGTCTTTGATTGGTTGCTTTCCACAACCAATCAGACCGATTGAGAGCTACCACTTCATTTACATGAGGTGAGCAGGAAGTGGCCAATGGAAAACCTCTAGGGGGTACTTGGACCTGAGAAGATTCTGTATCCGGGCCCTTGAGTCGCTGCTTCTCCAGCTTCCACACTGTGGAGTGTACTTTCATTTTCAATAAATCCCTGCTTTCCTTCTTTTGTTACTTCATTCTTTCTTTGCTTTGCTGGGTGTTTTGTCCAATTCTTTGTTCAAAGCGCCAAGAACCTGGACAACTTGCAGTCAAGACCCTCTACCAGTAACACTAAAGACCTCTGAATTGTACACTTTATAATGGTGAACTTTATGGTATGTGAATTATCTCAATAAAAAACAAGAAACTTTTATAAATAAAACTTACAAGTTCTTTTGGACATCGTTATGTAAGCACATCCAGATTATTAAAAGTGGCTGTCCGCCGGGTGCGGTGGCTCACGCCTGTAATCCCAGCACTTTGGGAGGCCGAGGTAGGAGGATCGCAAGGTCAGGAGATCGAGACCATCCTGGCTAACACAATGAAACTCTGTCTCTACTAAAAATACAAAAAATTAGCTGGGCGTGGTGGTGCACGCCTGTAGTCCCAGATACTCGGGAGACTGAGGCAGGAGAATCACTTGAACCCGGGAGGTGGAGGTTGCAGTGAGCCGAGATCGAGTCACTGCACTCCAGCCTGGGCGACACAGTGAGACTCCATCTCAAAAAAAAAAAAAGATGGCTATGTCAAAAAGGGGACAGTCATCTTAAAGACGGCTTCTTAGCATTCCATCTCCCTTCTCTGATATACTTTTCCTGCTTGTGGATCCTTGTCTTTCTTTTCCTTTTTTTTTTTTTTTTGAGATGGAGTCTCGCTCTGTTGCTCAGGCTGTAGTGACCACTCATCATCATCACTTATGACCTCAAGTAATCCTCCCATCTCAGCCTCCCAAAGTGCTGGGATTACAGGCATGAGCCACTGCACCCAAGAGATCCTTGCCTTTCATCCTGGGCTCTCTGGCCCTCTCCTGGTTCTGCTCAGAGCATTGGCCAGTAAAATTCCAGCCCTACTTCTGCATTATTCTGAATCTGAAGCCAACTTTCTGATTTTCTATTAGGTTGGTGCAAAACTAATTGTTGGGCCAGACGCGGTGGCTCACGCCTGTAATCCCAGCATTTTGGAAGGCCCAGGCAGGTGGATCACCTGAGGTCAGGAGTTCCAGACCAGCCTGGCCAACATGGCGAAACCCAGTCTCTACTAAAAATACAAAGAAATCAGCTGGGCATGTTGGCACACATGCCTGTAATCCCAGCTATTCGGCAGGCTGCGGCAGGAGAACCCCTTGAACTGGGAGGCGGAGGTTGCAGTGAGCCGAGATCACACCACTGCACTCCAGCCTGGGCGACAGAGCGAGATTCTGTCTCAAAAAAAAAAAAAAAAAAAAAAAAAAAAAAAAATTGTGGTTTTTGCCTTTAAAAAAAATAGATATATGTATATTATATACAGCAGAAACTGCAATTACTTTTGCACCAACCTAATAGCATTGAGCCAGCTACCTCTCTTTGTTGTTGCTACAGAAAATCTTTTATGGTTGAAGCTAGGACAGTACAGGTTCAAATAAGGTTCTATCATCATTAATGAAGTACTTCCTCTAACTTTTTGGTTCTAAATGGTAGAGTAAGAGCTATTTGGTTATGTGAGTTCACAGTGCAATTACTGGTGTCCCACTAGCAAGCAATAATGTCAAAGAGAAAACAAAATGCACATTACATTCAACAGACAAACATGAAGCAAGTACAGGGAAAAGGGAGGAATCACATTCCTGTTTTAAGTTTCAGCTTTCTGTAACAGCTGTTCCTGATAATAAAGTATGTTGCTGAGATGGTGGTTTGTTTCCTGGAGTTTCTCTTAGGAATTTCTGACATTTCAGTAATAATTTCCAAATACACTTTAGGGTTTTCCATAGTCTATTTATTTTAAAGACTGGAAGTTAAATAAGAAGTAACTGGGAAGGGTATTGAACCAGAGACAGGATCAAACTTTCATTTTCCACAATAGGGAGAACTTTATTTAGAGAGGAGTGTGTGTCAAGTAATGGAGATCAGAGATAGAAAAGTAAGATGTGAAAGACCCAGAGGCGGTAATAAAAAGACGACCGATCAAGGACACAGGCAGACAAGGTACTGCAAAAAGAAGATACCTCCTCAGAGACAGGACTAGGGAGAAAGATAGGTGCTCAAATGTGGGTAAAGTGGCTCTGAAATGGGCAAGGAGGAGTGATAAGGAAGCCATAGGTGGCCGATATCAATACTAGTAGGTTCCCAGCTGTCTTCAGTTGGGATTTGACTGTATATGCTACATTGCAATGTCAAGTTACATCCTCTTAGAGTGTCCTTTCTCTTTGATATTCATTTAGACTTTTAGTACCCTAAAGAGCTCATGCAAACTCATTAAGAATCAAAATGACACAAGCATTAATCTCACCCAGAAGGGTCCCAACATTTAACTTCAATAGGATATTTTCGTTATTTTTTATAATTCCGCCTCTACTAAAGAATCACAGAATAGTACACCAATTCTATTTGTAAAAGAAAAGAACTGTTCTACATCTTCTGGTCTTATAATCTGAAAAAGAAATGGGCTGGCTGGGCACAGTGGCTCACGTTATTTGACTGATTCTCTTAAAGTGAAAATTTCAAATAAATTTAGCATTGTAACTAGCCATTTTCTTGCTAGCACCGACCAGCTTTTACTCCATTAGGTGAAATTCTTCAAAAGTTCTTTACCTAGTTAATATTTTCCATCAGAATCACAAATACTCTGCTAGTTTGTTGGTAAAAAAGCAAGTTCAGTGTGAATTTTACTGTATTTCAAGAGTAAATAAAAACTGTCAAATCATTTGTAGCTGAGAAGCCTACTCAGGGTTGGAAGGACCGGTTAGTCATTTGGTTTAATCCATTTTTTAAGGCGTGGATCAATGTGTGGATGTTTGGTCTCCCAAACATCCCCTATTCCTAATAATTCACTTCCAAGCTTGTTTATTATTAGAGAACTAAGCTTCCTCCATAGAATGAATGGAAAACTTTTGCCCTATGGCTTCTGTCCTCTGGTCTAGTTCTGTGCTCTTATGGGACCACACAGAACAAGTCCACAGCCTCTATAATGTGTTAGTTCTCCAGAGGCTAAATATAGAAATCAATAATAGTTTTCTAATATCTATATTTGTCTAGTTGGCAAATAGCCTTAAAAATTATTTTAGGGAAACTGATGCACTTGCAAATTTACTTTCTAGATAGCGGGAGAACAATTCATCTAGGCCTGGGTGATAAATTTTAACCGTCATGAACTGTTACAGACAATTTGTTCCATGTGCCACAAAATTTAAAATAAGCTAAGTTTGCAAACACATCATGCTAAATAATTCAAATTTAAATTTTTATTATGACAATTGACATATTAAGTGAAAGAAATGACAGAAGTATTATAATAAAACATTTTGAAAGAAAAAGTTACACAATTAGGCCAATAGCTATAAAATGGCTTTAGGCCTGGCTTATAACACCAAGAGTTCTGATCAGACTGTAGTGAGACACTGAACATTTCATTAACAAAAATACTGGCACCAGCCACAACATATTTTGGTTGTCACTTACAAGGAATATTGTATTTAAACAACTATGCACTGCAATTCTAACACACTAGGTGTTCATACACTGAAGTTAACCCCTGAAGCTTTAAGCTACCAAGAATTCCCATACTTTTAATGCACAATTTACTTTGCGTGTTATCAGAATTACATTTCCAGTTTTCTGATCTTCCCTGCCCCCCCACCCCCACACACATGCAGTACATTATGTGACAGAGAGCACTCCAGCTTCTATTTGACTAACAGCATGGTCCTGATTACCTCAAGAGTTAGTTTTATGCCAATCTTGGAGCTTCTGCTTTAAATCTCATCTCCTAGAAACCAAATAAAACATTCTGAGAACCTATTCCAGGAATATTTTTTTTAACGCATAGGAAAATAAAGCATTTCATATAAGCATGTTGGAAAATTCAAGAGGCATTCTGATCAGTCCCTGAATTCCAGCTATTACTTTAAATCAAAATTCTAAAGATACCATTTATAAATTTTTATGTGGAATTTGTATTCTTCATATGGAAACTCATGATCTGCAGGCTTCCCTTCTGAATGAGGATAGCAAAAAACTGACGCTGGCAACACATGAATATAGCTTTGATTGAAATTATGACACACTTAGATGAATTTAATTATTTTCAAGAATACACTTGTACTACAAAGGTGAGAAATTAGAATGGCAAAATTATCAGATGGGAAAAAGTACTGACATTTAAACGAAGCTGTGAATATACCATGGTAAAATGTGCCATGTAAAAGACTGTGCTAGAATCAGAAGTTCTACAAGATTTCAAAATACTTAGTGAATAAGGAAGGAACTGAAACTTGAATTTGACTTCTCTTGCTGCCACGCTTCAGCAGACAACTATTCCTGTGGAATTAAGTCCACTGAATAACCAAATAGACCAATTCTAGTTTTTTCCTTCTTTTATATGAATAGATTAAAATCAAGCCCTGCTCTACCACCATCTTAGCATAGGACATACCCTTTCAAAGTGTACACACAACCTCATGGCAGGTTTGGGCAAGCTACAACAGATACCATCTCAAGAAGCTACTTTGAAAGAGAATAGAACACCAGACTAACATTGAGAATACCCTAGTTAGGCATCACAAAAATCATGTGCTGTAAGAATATGCTGTTAACAGCCAAATCTGGGCTACTGTAGCTGTTCTGATCCTGAAAATCCATTTACTAATATAAGCTAGATGTGTGTGTGTGTGTGTGTGTGTGTGCAATTTTCATGCAGTGACCTTAAAGCTTTGGAGACAGGGCTTGTTACTCTAATTTCAAGGCTTGTCCACATAGCAGTTGACATGCACCAATTCTGCTAAAGGGCAGGAGAATGAAAAAGACATGGCACAAATTTTTAAACAATTTTAGGTTTAATTACATAATGCACCTGTAGATGATCTAGCATAAACACAATTGTAAAAAATCTACATCCTATTTTAGGGTATTTTCCCACCTCCCATCCCTTAAAAGCTGTACAGTTATTTTTTTTAAAAAAAGGTGACTCTCAAGCAAAATAAACTTTTTTTTTTTTTTTGCAACATACAAAATAAGTTAAATGATTCAGAAGGTTTTGAGCCATGAAGTTCCCCAATAACTATGTTCTGGCTGTTCATGAGCATGACGTGCAAGCTGCTGGTCTATGACCAGAACTCAATAAATACAGATCAAACAAAACCGCAAAACACTTAAATTAGATTTCTTTAGAAACTGATGAAAGTCAAGAAAATATATACTTAGGATTAACAATTCCATTCTTAACTTACATCATCCAGTGGCAAAAAGCACGAGGCAAGTATTCAGTCCTTAGCACACTTTCTAACTTGTACCGGTTTGGCCAAAAAAGGAAAAAACAAAATTCCTTTAAAAATGTTTTTTTCTCATTCAAAATATCCAAGAAATTTTATAAATTTCTACTCATCTATTGTTATGCCCTCTTATATAACTTATGTATAGGATAGTCATATTTTAAAGTTATTAAAATAAACATCTTCACTAACTGAAACCATTATGATGTGCCAGAATTGGGTTTACTGAATTTTCCAAAGTGGTATAAATATGAAAGGAAAAAAAAAATTGTGCTCAGGTGTCCAAAAGGAGGAAAAAAGGTCCACAAATTGGATCCTCTTCTAATCGACTTCCAGGAGGGTTTGCATGAATGAATACAAAAAGTGGTGAGTGTATACTCTAAAGTGGTTATATACTAAGCTCATTACATTTTGGCTTATGACTGCTTGCTTGGCAATTACTCTCTTCAACATATTACAGTTACTTAGCAATTCTTGGCACTCAAAAGATGTTAAAAGATAATTTAAGTTGGAGCAAAACATTTTGAAAACAAATTAGTGAACATATAGCAACTCAGTTTAAATACATTGATAGCAAAAGGCTTTGACCTTAAGGATTGGTATAAAAATGACACAAAAAAATCAGTTAACTTGCCACTTCCAAGGTAGGTTTACAGGCACACACTTTGGGAAAGGTAGATGATATAGGAATGGATTTTAATCTGAGAAGATTCAATAATGGATCATATTAAGCAGAAGAGGGCTAGGTAGATTACAGCAGATATGCAGCCTTGGCATTCTCTGCTTCTTCGAGAATGAGGAATATATTTTGAGAATGTCAAACATCAGGAGAAACTGTTGTCTAGATTTTCTGTAATTAAATGATGTTCATAATATTTGTATCTGTTGCAATGCAGCCATCTTATTTCTTTCAAGTTAATGATGGATTCATTTTTATTTTTTCTGATACTTATCTGAAGTGTGTGCGTGTGCACACACACACACACATATACACATGTACCATTTAACTCTGGGTCTTTGAATAGTTGTTCTATAGCTGTGAGGCATCACCTTGAATAACGGGCCTGTTCCACTGTACTGGTAAAGAGCGGAGTTCCTAGCTTTTTCTGAATATTAAACTTGTAGATTCATTAGGTTCTTTACAGTTGTGTGGTAGAATCAGCAAAGGGTTAACATCTCTTATGCCCACAAACAAGCTAAAAAAGCATTCCTTGTGACAAAGGACACCCCACCAGTCCCACTTAAAAACAGCTAACATTTCCTCATCATTTTGACTATTAAACAAGTAAATGTCCATGTTTTTCTTAATATGTGTACTTTGCTCAAATGTATATTATAGGATGGGTTTCATCAACTAAAAAGTAAAAACTGGGTACGTGTAACACCCTTTTAAAATTAATTTGTTTAAAAATTATTTTTCAAAAGCTTCATTAGCATTTAAAGTTTTTGGTTCTTGGGCAGGTCACTTTTATATATAGATTGCCAGTAGACATGAATTTATTCTAAATGAAACTACCCTTTATCCTCTGAATCTGTAACCTTGACCAATTGAAAAAAGGATGTCAAGGAAATATAACTTGATGTACATTCTTGAAAATATCTCTGCCATCATTTTGCAGTAATGTGCCAATGATGGAAAATGTTTTACACTAATTTCATCAGCACTGATGTACAAAACCAAAACGTTTTCAGTCTGCGTCCTTTTCACACATATTTCAGTTCAAAGCTTCTGCTGTGTGAAAAGCTGACTAGTTTTCAAACCTTTTCAGAAATTGCAAACTAAATATACTGAATATTAATCTACATCTCCCTTTAATACATTAGCTACAGTCTAGAGTTTGACACTGGGAGTCCAACTTGTATTTCAACAAGGGGGGTTTAAATTATTAAAGGGCTCTATTATGTAGCAGCTATTTTGAGTCTAAATCCATGGTTAGTGCTCTAAAAAAGATCCAAGACTGTCTAAACTCTACATCAATTACTGCTTTCCTATACTTTCTGCAGTTCGTAGTGACTGTATTGTCTTTGTATACAGAACATTTCGTTTTCTAAAATTTTTTAACTTCTTCAGAATACCTTCAGAGTGTATTTCAGTGATCATAAACTCTTTGAGGGACTGAATCTGAACTCCAAGCAGCAAAACCGTTTTTGCACTGCTCAAAATTTAATAATCAATAATCTATCTGCCTAATAATGTTTTATCAACCGCTTGGATTACATTCTTGGTAGATGACCTATAGTTAATTGATTTAATCAAAATATAAGGTGAGAAGGGGTACATTCACTATCAAGTTGACGAACACTTATTCAAGTTTGGTAAATATCAGGCAGCACAGCACAAGTGGTCTCCAAACCTAAATGGAATACTCAGTCTTTGAGATGGTAAGAATTACCTTAGGCTTTCTATAGTAGAAGAGTAAAAATAACTCCTTATTTCACATTAGGCATCCTGTTAAAATTATCTACCCATTTAATACTACTTCTGATCACTTGGCTTAACTGAGGAATAGAATAGGTGGAAGAAGGAGCTGGTGTGTCCAGAGGTAGAGACAGGGCACATGGGAGAGTTTCCACACAATAGTGGCTTTACCCAGCTGCAGGACTAAAACGGTAGTGAGACTGGGTGGCAGGAAAGGGCACTTGTATATTCAAACCACTTACCTTGCACTAGTAGAAATCTTTATATTGCTTGCCTGTTTTAGATGGTTTAAAAGGTTAATTCTTAGCTGACTTGCAAATAAATAAAACAAACCTAGCTGGAAAGGAGACTGTTAAGTAAATGTAGCTCCTTACACAGCCCTGCTTTACTGTCTGTGAATGTAAGCCCTTCCCTCCCTTCCAGTGGAACACTGTCTCAAAATAAAAATCACAACTTACTTGGAACCACATGCTATTGGTGCATCCTATTTTTAGGTTGCTTTCATTATTTTATTTTTTATACAGATACATACACATTGCTAGAATCAAAGCAAAAATATTAATGGGCAGGTACTACAGAACTAAAGTGAAACAAAACAAAACAACGAACAACTGAAAAACAATAGCTATAAACTTTCAAGGCCAAAAGATAAGATTTAAGGGCAATACCTGTTGAAGAAGGAAAAGGAGTATAAAGTTCCTAGAGAGGTATTTATAATGCAAATCTAATGCCAGCTTTTTAGTAATAAAAAAGAGAAGTGCTTTACTATACACTGACTAGCACATAATACTTAATTTGGAAAGAAAAATTAATGACGTTCCTTGGGCCAGCAGCAGATATGGTGTGTCCATTGCCGGCAACAGACACAACACCGGAACAGAAAAACCCAAATCCCAGGGCTAAAGTATTCACAGAAGTAATGGTTGAAGGTTTCAGGATTTAACAGGCTAGGTTTAATCACAAGTGCTACACTCTGTACAATGTTATGGCTCTGCCTGAAATTTTACAGCTATAACAGAAACTAAATAAGACAAAGTTCATATTTTAGTGTCAATTACATGTTAGGTATTTAGTTAGTTACAAACCCTTTTTTCTTGAAACAAAGGGCTTTTCTTTAAAGTGTTGAGATGTTTGAAATGGATGTCATGCCTATTAATTACATCGGCAGTTCTCATTCAACTCTATGTTGGTTGTATGACTATTAATGAATTTTAATAGAAGTCTAATGGCCAAAGGCCAAAACTACATTCAAACTCTGCTAATATATCCAGGCAGATAGGAAATTCCAACACACACACACACGCACACGCACACACACAAACACACACACACGCTAAAACTCAAACTAAAAACCTCCCAAAGGAACTGCTTTGTTTGTAGACTTCAATTTGAAGTAGATACTAAGGGCAAGAATAGACCAGTTAAAATTCACCTGAAAATCTCTTCCCAGTCTTCAAATGTGCTAAAATATCACTGTCAGCTTAGCATCTCTTCATGTATGTTATATATAGATGTATTTTTTTCAAAATGATATTTCAGATATTTAAACATCAAGTGGCCAGAAGACAAGAGTTATACTATTGGCAAAGTTTACAGTCCACCCAGGCCTTAAGAAAGACCACATTCATTTCACTAATAACTCTCCATCAGACACAATATATTTGAGGCCACCTTATTACCACTGCATAAAGCTTATTTAAAAAAATTTGTTGCTAGCACAGTCTGGTTGGCAAAGCTTCATTATACATTTTACTGTACAAATGCTTTTCAGATGATTTTATTTTTTTTTAAACAAGAAACTCTGCTATAACAAAAATTTAGGTTAATTATGATGGTACTTTCACTGTCTCTTCTTTATTAAGTGTGGTTATCTCCAATAGTAAACAAGTTCATTTCACAAAGGCTGTTACTAAATGACTTATGTATGATGTTATCTACAATTCTCAAACTGTAACAGTACAGACTTGAACTTTTAAATTGTCTGTAAATCATCATCTATGCCATGAATGTTTAAATATAATATATATTTAATATGAAAAAGCTAAAGCACAAGTGCTTTCACCCACCCCTAAATTCTGTTTTGGGCCCTCACAGATTCGGAATGCATTTTCATCCACCCTTTTTCACAAAGTCAGGAGAGCTCAGGAAATATAAAGTCAAAAATATACAAATCTTTGTTGTTATTATAATAAGATTTTTTTCCATGAATGAAATTACCAAGGACCATGAACCTGGAAAAAGAAAATCAAAAGGAATTTACAGCAATTATTTATCTTCAAAGTTCAGAACTGGTCACTTCACAGAAAGACTTCAGGATTTGTTGAAATTTTTCTTCTAAAAGTCATTCTGTAGTGGAGTTTTCTAGGAAAAATTAAACAGCTTTTAATAACTGGCCCGCTGGTGTGAGAGCTACCGTGGAATAAATTAGCACAAAAATGGAAAAAAAGTCTTATAACTGTTCACTGTTACAGACATAATCAACAAGGTCAGTCACTCTCAAAAGCTCATCTTCCTCCTCTTCTGGTGCTCCTGCCTCCTGCCCACCACTTGTCCCATTGGAGGCTAGGCTTGCACTGGCTGTGCTGTTGTCCTTGGGGGTCTGAGACTTCTCAGTAGGCTTGCCAATCAAGTTCTCAATGGCTTTGCCAGGGCTCTGTCCATTGGTTGAAGGTAAGTCCACTAAGCTATAGTCCAATGGGCTCCCCACTTTGCCTACATTTTCAAAGTCCTCTTCCTCATCACTTTCTATCCGGTAGGGCTTCTTGGTGCTCTCTTGTTCTGAGGGCAGGACCCTAGGCTGGCTGTCACGGGCAGGCTGATTTGCATCTCCATGAGCATTGTCACAACTCTCCTCCTCATCCGTCTCAATCCGGTGTAGCCGTTTGCGGGATGGTTTGCCTTCCTCTTCCTCCTCCTCCTCATCTGCTTCTGAATACTCGTCTGTGCTTCGGCCCCGCTTTCGAACTGACCGCTTTGATTCTTTAGCTAGCTCATCATCTTCAGAGTTCTTGGACAAATAGCTCTCTAGAATAAACAGCACATTTAAGCCATTGGCACGGTTAACCATAAACGAATTTAATTCTCCTTTTCCTCCCGATATTCACCCCACGTCCTGCTTTCAGAATTGCTTGTACCTAAATGTTTCCTTTCAATAATTGGCCTGATTTCTCTCTTCTCAGTCCCATAACAATGCCCAATATGATTCATGGTGTACTTTATTTATGATTTTAGACAATATTTTCTTTTTTTTTATTGAGACAGAGTCTCGCACTGTTGCCCTGGCTAGAATACAATGGTGTGATCTTGGCTCACTGCAACCTCCGCCTCCTGGGTTCAAGCGATTCTCCTGCCTCAGCCTCCCGAGTAGCTGGGATTACAGGCGCCAGCCACCACGCCTGGCTAACTTTTTGTATTTTTAGTAGAGACGGGGTTTCACTATGTTGGCCAAGCTGGTCTCGAACTCCTGACCTTGTGATCCATCTGCCTTGGCCTCCCAAAGTGCTGGGATTACAGGCATGAGCCACTGTGCCTGACCTTCTTTATTTTTTGAGATAGAGTCTCACTCTGTCTCCCAGGCTGGAGTATCATGGCGCAAACTAGGCTCACTGCAACCTCTGCCTTCCAGATTCAAGCAATTCTCCTGTCTCAGCCTCCCAAGTAGCTGGGATTACAGGTGTGTGTGCCGCCACACCCAGCTAATTTCTTTGCATTTTTAGTAGAGACGGGGTTTCACCATGTTGGCCAGACTGATCTCGAACTCCTGGCCTCAAGTGATCTGCCCATCTTGGCCTCCCAAAGTGCTGGGATTATAGGCGTAAGCCACTGTGCCCAGCCAACAGCAGATTTCTTGGGGGAAGATGTCTGATAATGCTTGAATTAAATGAAGATAGGTTAGTTCAAACTAACAAACTCCTTCCCACTAGTACACAAATTAGGTTATCATGTCAACACGCTGATAAGGAAAGATTCAAACTGGACACCCAACTCTGTACCTCTTAAACACTGTGCCAACTCTCATCTTAGTTATTAGACGCCCTTGGTAGTCTTAATTGTCTTCTCTTCTTTGTCTATATAGTTGGGCCCCCCTATCCATTAATTTAACCAACTGCAGATGGAAAATATTCAGGAAAAAAATAGATGGTAATGTCTGAACATACATAGACTTTTTTCTTGTCATTCACTAAACAATACAGTATAACAATTATATAACATTTACACTGTATCAGGTATTTTAAATATTCTAGAGATTTATTTAAAGTATACAGAGGATATGGGTAGGTTATATGCGAATATGACACCATTTTATATGAGGGACTTGTAAATCCAAGGATTTTGATATCTGCGGGGATCCTGAAATCAATCCTCCATGGATACTGAAGATGACTCTACTTCCATTTTAGAAGAACTCACCTAGTCTCACAACTTGGCATGCCATCTATGTGCTAACGGCTCTCATTTATTTTAGGCAACCACTGAATTCCAGACTAGTGTATCAAACTGCCTACTCGACATCTAGGCTTGGATATCTCTAAACAGGCATCTCAAATGATGTGTCTAAAACTGGGCTCCTAAACTTTCTCCTTAAACCTGCAGCCCTGTGGTCTCTACCAACTTAAGTTTTTGGCAATTGCTCCTCCAATTGCTCAGTCATCCTTGATTCTTTTCTTTCTCTCATCCAACCCAACAGTAAATCCTTTGGGTCTCACTTTAAAACATATCCACAATGTGACTGCTTTCATCCCTTTACTGCTACTGACCCAGTTCCACCCTCCATCATCTCTCACCTGGACTATTACAATAACTTCCCAATGGGTCTTCTAGCTTCTGCCCTGGCCCCCTTCAATCTATTCATAACACAGCTACCACAGCAAATTAAAATCTAAGTCAGATCATATCACTCTTTTGCTCAAAATGTGGGATGGTTTGCTTTCCTCTTCCTCCTCATCTGCTTCTGAATACTCATCTGTGCTTTGGCCCAAATGTTTCTCACCTTACACAAAATAAAAATCCAAAGTCTATACAATGTCCTACTCTGTGTTATCTAATATGATAAACACTAGTCACATGTGGTTATTTTAAATTTAAATTAGTTAAAATTAAATAAAAATAAAAATTCAGTTCCATGGTCACACTAGCCACATTTCAAGTGCTCAATAGCCATATGAGGTTAGTGGCTATTGTAACGATCAGCACACATATAATCAGTGCAGAAAGTTTAACTGCACAGCACTATTTATCATCAGAGGTTAGCACATTTTTTATGTAAGAGGCAGGCCCTATAGTCTCAGTCACAACAACTCAGCTTTTTGAGAAAGCAGGCAACAGACAATATGTAAACAAATTGGTATGGTAATCTTCCAGTAAAAACTGTATTACAGGGCAGGGTGCAGTGGCTTACACCTGTAATCCTAACACTGTGGGAGGCCAAGGTAGGGGGGATCACTTGAGGCCAGGAGTTTAAGGTCAGCCAGGGCAACACTGCAAGATCTCATCTCTATAAAATAAATTTAAAAATTAGCAGTGTGGTGGCTTATGCCACTTCTAGCCACTTGGGAGGCTGAGGCAGGTGGACTGCTTGAGCACAGCAGATTGAGGCTATGGTGAGCTGTGATTGTGCCACTGCACGCCAGCCAGGGTGAGACCCTGTCTCAAAAACAAAAACAAAAACCTTGCTTTTTTATTTATGTAAGCAGGTGGGCTCTCGTTTGCTGACTGGCCCCCACTGACTTCTTTGCTTCATCTCATTATGTCTGCCTTCACTCATTCTGCTCCAACAACCCTGCACTCCCTTCTGTTTGCTGAACATGACAAGCACAAACATACCTCAAGGCCTTCATATTTATTGTTCCATCTGCCTGTATCATTCTTCTTTTAGATAAGTGCATGACTCACACACAACATTTCTTTCAGGTCTTCACTCAAATGTTTTCTTAGTGAGGATTTCCTTAGTATATTATCTGAAATTCAACTACTTTCCCAACCCCCTTTTCTCCTTTATTTTTTTCCAAAGCACTCATTTCTAATATATCATATATTCTACTTATCTATCTTGTTTATTGTCACCTTCTTCCCAACTAAAATAAGAGTTTCATAAGAGCTATTTTGTTTGCTGTTATATTCCAGTGCTTGGAATAGGGCCTAGCTTAATAAATATTCATATTTAATGGCTTAACTAATGCAATTTATGTTTGTTTCTGTGACACATGAAGGTAAGTACACATTCGAAAAAGATGTTCACTTCCCTTCTTTAGCATCCCACATCCAAACATTTTTTTTCCCTTTCTCTTTTGTCTTGGGCTCAAACTTAAATTCATGTTTAATCTATGAAAGCAAAACAATCTTCAAAACAGGCCATAAAGCCGGGCGCGGTGGCTCACGCCTGTAATCCCAGCACTTTGGGAGGCCAAGGTGGGCGGATAACCTGAGGTCAGGAGTTCGAGACTAGCTTGGCCAACATGGTGAAACCCCATCTCTACTAAAAATACAAAAATTAGCCAGGCTTGGTGGCACATGCCTAAAATCCTAGCTATTGGGAGGCTGAGCCAGGAGAATCGTTTGAACTTGGGAGGCGGAGGTTGCAGTGAGCCAAGATCACACCACTGCACTCCAGCCTGGGTGACAGAGTAAGACTCTGTCACCAAAAAAAAAAAAAAAAAAAAAAAAAAAAAAAAATATATATATATATATATATATATATATATATATATATATTTATATGTATATATGTGTGTATATATATATACACTATATATATATAATTTAAGTAAAACAAAAAAGACTAAATGGATGTAAGAAATTCATATTTTAGAGCTTGTCTTGTACTACTGGTAGGGGGCACAGTTATAGCTATTAGGAAATAATGATTTCGGTTTCCAACTGAAATCATAGTCAAGGTGAAAGAGACAGTAGGCACTTTTATTTGAAACCTTTTAGCTATTAAGGACATAAGAGGTTATTTCAAAATGAGGGCCATGAATAAGGGAGTAAGAAAAAGAAGTAGAATAATCTTGATCAGATCACAATTTTCTGAGACTTTTCTAGTTTCAATGAAAATTTAAATTACAATGGAGATCTTAAAAATTAGCCTCTTATCGAGTATCTTTTATTTAAACTATGGTAGGCACAAGATTATAGGTTTTATCTCAAAGATACTACTGGTTATATGGATTTTTTTTTTTTTTTTTTGAGACACAGTCTTGCTCTGTCACCCAGGGTGGAGTGCAGTGGCACAACCTTGGCTCACTGCAATCTCCGCCTCCCAGGTTCAAGCAATTCTCCTGCCTCAACCTCCTGAGTAGCTAAGATTACAGGCGCGTATCACCACACAGGCTAATTTTTTTATTTTTAGTAGAGACAAGGTCTCACCATGTTGGACAGGCTGGTCTTGAACTCCTGGCCTCAAGTGATCTGCATGCCCTGGCCTCCCAAACTGCCGGGATTACAGGCGTGAGCCACCATGCCTGGCCTGGTTATATGAGTTTCAAAGAATGGTACAGAATCACAATCCTGAGTTCACTTTATAATGTCTATTTTGCCCTGTCCAAACTTCTATATATAGGAGACCTATGCCTTACCTTCACTCTCTGAGCTGGAAAGTCTTCGCTTGTGTACTCGCCTTATTTCTTTACCACGTCGCAAACTCTTCTGGGAACCGTCACTTTCTGAGTCTTCTTTGTAGTTAATTTGTCTTTTCTGATTTCTCCTTGACCGCCTTCGCCGAGTTTCTACAAAATCATCACTAAAATCATCACTGAAGTCACTTTCTATTTTAAAAAAAGGAAGAACAAAGTACAAAATTTAAGTCTATTTAGAAATGTAGCTTAGGTTATAAAAATGAAAAGCTACCAAGCAGAGTTCAGTCATAAATATTTTTAAGTGAACAGTAACTTTTATGAGTCTCATTTTATTTGAGAGAGTATCTCACTATCACACAGGCTGGAGTGCAGTGGCATGAACATGACTCACTACAGCCTCAACCTCCTGGGCTCAAGAGATCCTTTGGCCTCAGCTGCCCCAGTAGCTAAAGCTAGGATCACAGGCATATGCACTACCACTCCTGGCTACCTACCAAAGTGTTGAGATTACCACATGCCTGGCCTTTAAGTCTCCCTTAAAAAAAAAAAAAATGACTCAATCTGTGCAGGTTTTTAATGCCAAACCTCACAATATATACTCTTAGCGGTGAATCCTCAAGATTAGAAAATGTTTTATCCTTTTTAGTTTGTTTGTTTTTGAGACAGAGTCTCACTATGTCGCCCAGGCTGGAGTGCAGTGGCATGATCTTGGCTCACTGCAAACTCCACTTCCCGGGTTCAAGCAATTCCCCTGCCTCAGCCTTCCGAGTAGCTGGGACTACAGGTACCCGCCACCACATCTGGCTAATTTTTGTATTTTTAGTAGAGATGGGGTTTCGCCATGTTGGCCAGGCTGGTCTTGAATTCCTGGCCTCAAGTGATCCGCCTGCCTCGGCCTCCCAAAGTGCTGGGATTACAGGTGTGAGCCACCACACCCAGCCTAAATGTTTTATACTTTTTTAGAAATAGTCCTTACTGCAGTCGACCTACAGCTACCTGGTCAGGTACACAGCTGCCATGACTGCTCTTCTTGGTAGACGGCTACCACAAATCCGCCTCCTGATAATATGCTGTTCTACCTGTCACTATAGTCATAATGTATTGCAGAGGTTATGCCCTCTAACCAAAGAAAACTCATGAATCTGTTCCACATAAATACAGAACTCAAGATATATTTTTGACTCTTCTCCATAAAGAATACAAATCTGCTAAATAAAGCACACAGACCTAGTTAAACTTGCAAAGCACTGCTAAATAGCATTGTTCCTGTCATCTCTGATCAATAAGCCAGAGTGAGGCTGTGGCATTATGTCACAGCTGTTTTTCAGAATGTTAAATTCCACCGAAGTACGACATTCAAGCTTGTTATTCTTTTGTGGATTTCAAACATTTCAAAATAGCTAGCCAATAGGTTGAAGTGGTTCTCATTGGCCAAATTTGGGACAAATGGAGCCTAAATAGTGATGGGAATGTAGTATATCCACTGATCAGAATAAGAATCCACGAGTTTACACTGTCATAAATAAACAAACATATGGAGGAGAAGGGAAATGTTCTTCCTTACAGAACAACAATAAATAAATATAACAGAAATGACAGAGTTAGAATTATCCACAGGAACTAAAACTAGCAGGTGAAATATAAGGAAAAGGATATTTAAATAGTCTCAAATTCCCACAAATTACTTATTAATTATAAGGAAAAATAATAAAGAGACTCAGAAGATGCAACATTCTCTGTGCTATTCCCACTATAAATGCATAATCTGAATCTTATCACAAGGAAACAAAAGAAATCAAAACTGGGAAACATCTACAAAACAACTAGTATGTACTCTTTAAAAATATCAAGATGAGACAAAATTTGAGGATTATTCCAGATTAATGGAGACTAAAGAGATGTGAATAAACGCATAGCCCTGGAATGGATCCTGGGTTAGGAAAAGAAAAAAAAGATATAAAGAATAATATGGAGATACTTGTTAAAAATTTGAATGTGTACTGTTAATTAGGTAATAGCATTATATCAATGTTAAAATATCTGAATTTGGTAATTGCATTGTGGTGATGTAAGAAAATGTCCTTGTCCTTAGGAAATAATCACTGATAAAGGGGCATGATATTATCATCACTTATTTAGATGGTTTAGGAAAAAAGATAAATAAAACCAAAAAAAACCCACAAGGATGGCCAGAGTCTGATACTCATATCTATGGTTCTTCTCTAATAAGATGACACCTATCAATTTGCCAATTACATAAAGCATTCATTTCTTGTAGCGGTTGAGCCTCTATTTACTCACTTAATAGGGATAAGCATACTCTATAACAACATCAACTACTGTTAATCTGTAAAAACTACTCAACACTGACTGTGGTCTAAATGAGAGTTAACTTGTATTCTTCTCTCTCCAACAGCTGGGCATCTGAGGGAAATGTTCACAGTTTATTGAGAATGATTTCCAAGAAACCCTATGAAGATGAAGGTTTAGGAGTGGAAACATTTGACAACCAAGGAGTCATCACAATCCTACTAGGCATCTGATATGAAGTTAACGTATCAATCAGTATGTATTTTCTCAGATGTGCTTTCTATGAGAAAAATTTAGTCAGAAATAAGTCTTAAGAACAGAATTTTAAGAACTCTTAACTCCAGAAGTCATAAGAATTTGTTGAGCTGGCCAGCGTGCTGGCTCACGCCTGTAATCCCAGCACTTTGGGAGGCTGAGGTGGGCAGATCACCTGAGGTCGGGAGTTTGAGACCAGCCTGGCCAACATGGAGAAACTCCCTCTCTACTAAAAATACAAAATTAGCCAGGCATGGTGGCACATGCCTGTAATCCCAGCTACTTGGGAGGCTGAGGTAGGAGAATCGCTTGAACCCGGGACACAGAGGTTGCAGTGAGCCGAGATGGTGCCATTGCACTCCAGCATGAGCAACAAGAAAAACAAAAAATAATTTATTGAGCTACCATATGGTTACAGATTATTTTTACCAGAGTCTCTACTATTCTCCTCAGATTCCTCCTCTTCATCATCATCGGAATATTTTTTCTTTGGGGTCTTTCTTCGCAAACGCCTGCTCTGCCTCATTGGCCGAGAGGGGTGTCGCCTCAGTCTACGGCTACAAAAGTCAGTGTCACTGTCATCATTAGATGGCGGATCTTCTTCACTTTCATCTGGGTTTTCATCAGACACAACAAACTCATCTTGAGATCTGTCCAAGAGAAATCAGATAAAATACAATGGTATTTAGAAGAGTGAACCCATTTTTAAGAGTTCTGAGTTCAAATTCTGGTGAGCCCAGTGAATCATTAAGTATAGTGCAACATATCTGGATAATTGTATCAAATGCCCTATTTATAAAATGGGGAAAATGTTTTGCCACCTATCCTCTTAGGAGGGGTTGTAAAGATGAATTAATGTTGATTTCTGTACTGCTTTGACCTCTTGGGATGTCCCCCATGTTAAATTCGACATATTCAAAAGTGAATTCATTATTTCCCAATCTACTTCTCTCTTCTGTTCCCTGGCCTGGTATTTGGCACCATCACTCATCCGGTAACTCCAACCAGAAACGTGGTATTTATCCTAACTTTCCCCTTTTCATTTCTCATATCCAATAAATTAATAATTTCTCTAGAGTCTACCTCTTAAAAGATAATCTCTCAAACCTGATCTCTTCTGTTTTCAGCTTTTCATACTCACCTTAACTACAAAAGCAACTCCACAAATAGTTTCTCTAATATCTGGTCTCATTTCCCCTCAATCTATCCTCCAAATGAATGCCAGGATGAATCTTTCTGAAGCATAAATCTCATATTAATTTAGTGTTTAAAACCCTTCACTGGTTTTGTATAATTTTCAGGATAAAGTCAAAACACTTATGCATGACAAATAAAACACTCCCTAATCTGGCTCTTTTTATCACTTGACCACATCTCCAGTAGGGCACTCTCTACTTCATCCCCTTATTCCTGCTATCCAGAGCCAACAGGAGTTTCCCAAACATTCTATGACATTTTACGGCTTGCTGTCTTGGACATGTGACTTCTATGCTTAGAATACCTTTTTCTTATCCTGCTTTTAGTCTCATACTTGTTGATTCCAAATACTCATTCTTCAAATTTCAGATCAAGCTTTACTTCTACTTTAAGGTTTACTCTTTGGATTAAGCCAACTTTCCTCTGTAGCCTAATTTATCTTTCCCTGTATTTTAGTAGCAGTTATGCAGAATGACTTTTTTTTTTTTTTGTGGTTTATATACTTGTTTCCTCTTCTAATAATCTGAAAGGAGAAACTCTGCAGTATTGTTTCAATTCCAACTCTGCAAAGAAGCCTTTCTTGATCTTCTATACTGGATTACCAGTCCCAAGTCCAACTTCTATGAGTCATGAGAGGATAATATCTTATTTATTTTTCACATAGGACTGGAAACCCCTCATGGACCTGGCAGAAGGTGGCACAGAGGTACAGAGAAAGCTCTCAACAAATGAAAGTTTAATTGTAGTTAGTAAAATTTAAATACAATTTTGAATGTTAAACAACCATAAATCTATTTTCTGTTCTAAACTTTAAAAATGGGCCAAAATTAGTATTCTTGAATCTGCTTTAAATATCCTGAAAATAAACAGAGGTTGTCTATGTACATGAAGAAGAAAACCCTCATCACAGCATGGGCAAGCCTCTCTGCTAGCCCAGTCCTGTTCCTGCTGGTATCTAGGGATCGGGGCCTAGTAGGAGACCACACACCCATCACTGATCTTGAATTCATCCTCGCTCTCTTCTTCATCCAGGTTGCTATCACTGTCCAGATCATTTAATCGCCGGCGTTTCTTCCTTCGAGCAGCAGCTGCCCTCTGGGGTCGTTTATTTTCTTTTCTTTCTTCATCCAAAATAGTAGAGATGTCTTTCCCACGATGACCTGTGATGGTGGAGATATCTTTTCCTCGGCCAACTCCTGAATTTGGGGGAGGGAAGTTCGGGGAGAGAAAAATATGTGTTTATTAAAAGCTTCCCTTTAATTTCTAGAGACAGTCCTTATTCATGCTTAGCAGCTCTTCATTTCTTTATTTTCTTCCAACAAATATGCAGTTTTCTTATGACTTCAGCTGACAGAGGTCTCAGAGTTTTAGCATTCGTTTACCCTACTGAAGAGAAGTTTACTATGTAGGGAACCTCGTTTTTTAAATTTTTATATAATTCACACACCGCAATATTCACCCTCTTAAAGTGTACAATTCAGACATTTTTAGTATAGTCACAAAGTTGTGCAACCATCACCACTACCTAACTCCAGAACATTTTCATCACCCAAAAAAGAAACCTCATACCTATGAGCAGTCACTCAAGAATCTCTTCTTGAAAGCTGTCTTTTGGACAAGGCTTTAGAAAGAGGCCAATAGAGTTTTTAAAAACAGTGTTTGCAGGACAGAAAAAGTGAGAATTCAGCAGCAAAAATGTAAATAAAACATACATCTCTGGAAAAGCCTTAAACAATCTACTTATTAATCTTTTCCAGAGTTTTCATAATAACTAAGTAGAAACCAGAATGTTCCATATTGGAGCATTGGCTAATAGTGCTTTAATTAAATTACCTTCAAGTTCTTCTATTTTAATGCCACTTACTAAAGACTATGAAATTAAGAAACCAATTTTTAATAGGTTAACTTAAAAATTTTTGGTTTAAATTATTTTGGTTCTGATTATCCATAATTTTTGAGACTTTGTAGTCTCAAAGACAACTGAAAAGTTTCCTCAGTTTTCTATATGGAATCAGAAGTAAATTTTTTAACCTATGAAGGAACATCAATGTTTTATATCAGCTTGTAAAACAAAACTGCTTTAAAAGTAGTTAGTAAGATCTGAGTCTATACACTGACATTGTATCCACAAATTACTCTAAATCTGAGACAACTAACATCAGTACTAATCATGATACATAACGGGAAAGAGAATAAAAACATATGCTCACTGCCCTAATTTGGGCACCTGAATGAACTTCTTGGCAGAGTTCTATGAAGAAGAGAGAACGACAAACACATACCTCCTCCATCGGCTTCTTTGATGTCATCTTCAATAGCTTCATCAATTGCTTCATCAAACTCATCAAATCTAAAATATACACAATGATCACATTATAGCCTGTCCTGGCTTTTTTTTTTTTTTTTTTAATTATTTTTATTTATTTATTTTTGAGACGGAGTCTCTCTTTGTTGCCAGGCTGGAGTGCAGTGGCGCCATCTCGGCTCACTGCAACCTCTGCCTCCCGGGTTCAAGGGATTCTCCAGCCTCAGCCTCCCGAGTAGCTGGGACTACAGACGCGTGCCACCAAACCCAGCTAATTTTTGTACTTTTAGTAGAGACAGGGTTTCATCATGTTGGCCAGAATGGTCTCGATCTCGACCTCGTGATCTGCCCGCCTCAGTCTCCCAAAGTGCTGGGATTACAGGCGTGAGCCACCGCACCCAGCTGTCCTTTTATTTTTAAAGATTACCTTTAGCAGATGTCTGTTACTGTCTGATTGTTTATGTCCCCTCAAAATCCCCATGTTGAAATATTAAATCTCAAGGTGATGGTATTAGGAGGTGGGGTCTTTGGCAGAGCCCTCATGTATAAGATTAGTGCCCATATAAAAGAAGCCAGAGAGAGACCCTTTGTTTCTTCCACCATATGGGGTTACAGTGAGAA
This sequence comes from Homo sapiens, assembly GCF_000001405.40. Lineage (NCBI taxonomy): Eukaryota > Metazoa > Chordata > Mammalia > Primates > Hominidae > Homo > Homo sapiens. The sequence goes on from NC_000011.10 coordinate 77,678,730, forward strand.
GATGGCCATCTATGAAGGAGCAGGCCTTCACTAGGCATCGGGTCTACCCTAAAAACTCCCCTCATCCCTTCCGTGATTAAGAACACCCTAGAAGGTGCCATCTATGAACCAGAAAGCAGGCCCTCACCAGACAGCATACCTGCCAGTATCTTGACCTTGGACCTCCTAGTTTCTAGAACCGCAAGAAATAAATTTCTGTTGATTATAGGCTATCCAGTTTACGGTTACTTTCTGATAGCAGCCAAATTAGACTGAGGCAATGTCAGCAAAAATTTTTATAAAGGGCCAGATGGTAAATATTTTAGGCTTTTCAGACAATGCAGTCTCTGTTGTAACTACTCAACTCTGCTATTGTAGTGCAAAGCAGCTACGGACAACATGTAAGTAAATGATACAGACGTGTTTCAATAAAACTTTATGAGCATTAAAATTTGAATTATAGGTAATTTCCATATAATTTTCACAGGATATCATTTTTCTTTTGATCCTTTTCTTCAAACATTTATAAAAACCACTTTGAGGTCACGTTGTACAAAAACTAGAAGTGAGCTGAATTTGGCCCACAGGCCATAATTTGCCAACTCCTAATTATACAAATCACATGGCAAAGTAAGTAAAACAAAATTACAGTTCCATAAATACTATTAAGTCCTAATAATATGTCTGGGCACAGTGGCTTACATCTGTAATCTCAGCACTTTGGGAGGCCAAGGCAGGCAGATCACTTGAGCCCAGGAGTTCAAGACCAGCTTGGGCAACATGGTGAACCCCTGTCTCTATAAAGAATACAAAAAATTAGCTGGGTGTGTGGTGCGTGCCTGTAGTTCCAGCTACTTGGGGGGCCGAGACAAGAGGATTGCTTGAGCCCAAGAGGCAGAGGATGAAGTAAGCCGAGAATGCACCACTGCACTCCAGCCTGGGGGACAGAGCGAGACCCTGTCTCAAAAAAAAAAAAAAGAAAAGAAAAAGAGTCCCAATAATAGGGCTATATTATTACTGCTATTGAAAATTATATTATAACTGAAATTCATACACAAATGGTTAAAATTTTAGAACTAGGTAAAAGTATTTCTTGAAGCTGTTTACCTTGACTTAAAGAAAAGGATCAAGACTAAAGGATTCCTAAGATTTCTTCACATATAAAATGCCTTTTACTTCAGGGCTCAGCCAAAAGGATGAAGTAACTTGTTTAAATCTACGCTAAAAATGGTAATTACTAGCCTGTGTGGCTATTTATATTTAAATTCATTAAAATTTAAAATTCTGTTCCTCACTAGACATAATTCAAGTATTCAATAGTCACATATGGCTATGGCCACCATATCAGACATCAAAGAAATAGATTCTATTTCCATCACCAGAGTATATTATATTGAAGAGGGTGGGATTACGGGCACACAATGGATTAACAACAGCATCAAAACTAAAAGCTAGGGCTGGGTGCAGTGGCTCAGCACTCTTGGGAGGCTGAGGCAGGAGTATAACTTGAGCCCAGGAGGTTGAGACCAATCTGGGCTATATGGTGAGACCCTGTATCTACAAAAATAAAAAATTAAAAAAATTAGCCAGGTGTGGTGATGTGTGCCTGTAGTCCTAGCACTCTGGGAAGCTGAGGCAATAGGACTGCTTGTGGATAGGAGTTCGAGGCCGCAGTGAGCTGTGATCATGCCACTGCACTCCAGCCTGTGTGACAGAGTGAAATCCTGTCTCAAAAAAAGAAAAAAGACTAAAAGCTGGAGGCTGGAAGTGGCTGTATACACCCATAGTCCCAACTATTTGGGAGGCTGAGGCAGTAGGATGGCTTGAGCCCAGGAGTTGGGAGTCCAGTCTAGGCAACATAACAAGACCCCGTCTCTAAAAACTAAACATCCTGCCTTCTGAGTTAGAATATATAATTTCAAAGGACTCACAAATTTCAGATGGAGAGCTCTTCTTTTACAATGTAATTTTTACTGGCTGCATAGTATCTCACCTTACAGATGTATCATATTTAGTTAAAACAGTTTATTTCCAATTTTTCACAATTGCAATATTATGAGAAACATTCTTGTAGCTGCAGTGTGGATTTGTCTTAAGTTCTGAGAAAGTAAAACTCAGCACATCCATTCACTAGGGTAGAATAGCAGATACATATAAAGCCAGATGCCAGATGCAAAATTAACTGAAAACAGCATTTGTTCTGAGGACAGGGTGCAGCTGTAAGGTGGCATAATAACCTATTTCTTTGAGTGACTACTTTCTTACTGAGAAATTTGTTCGCTAAAATCAAAGACCATCAGAAACTTCAGGCATATGAAACTATTTCACAAAGAATGAAACATCCCACTCTTGCCTTAATGATAATCTAAGTCATTTTTAATGCAACTAAACAGCCTTGATTTATATCCCAGATGCAGAGCTTCAGATAAAAGATTTCTGAATACAACACTCCATGTATCTATAGTCCCTTGGTCTTGGTTGTCTCATCTGTCATGGTGGATTAACACAGATTATCCCTTTAAGCTCTAAAATCATATATGACTAAAATCGGAATTTAGGGTAAACTATGTATTTTCATATAAAATGTATTGTGTAATGCATTTATTTATACTCTACCTAGTTCCAAAATGACTGACATATTACAAAACAACTCAAACATGATATGTATTTCATTCATACATGCTTATGTGCAATTTCCTTCCTTCCCTCCTTCCTTACTTTCCCCTTTCCTTCCCTCTTCCCTGCCACCCTCTCTCTTACAGAGTCTCTCTATGATGCCCAGGATGGTCTTGAACTTTTGGGCTGAAACGATCCTCCTGCCTCAGTCTCCCAAAGTACTGGGATTTCAAGTGTAAGCCACCATGCCCAGCCAATTTATGTGCAATTTCATTTGTGAGAAACACTAGGTGAATGCAGAAAACTGCACCTAGCTGAAATGAGTTGCCCAGGAATCTACAAAACACACATACCTAAGACATCTACCAGTAACATCACTTCACTATGTGTTATAATAAAACTATAGCCTTTTGCATCTGATGTTATACTTTTCTGATTTCAGATAAACCTCCTTCTGCCACCACACCATAATTTACAAACTACAATTCTCTGCTTCCACAGACAAGCTTCAGGTCTTTTTCAGTATAAAACGCCATAGTTAATGCAGTATTTATGTATTTCTTACTTATTTAACATATGTCAAATGGCGCTCCCATTTTTAATAAATTCCTATCTTTTTTAATGCATCGCTAATGAAGTTTTTAATGTATGTCTCTAACCCCATATTTTCCATAATCTCTATGGTTTTTCCTGTATAATTTTGCACAGCATGGTGATTTTTTAAAAATACATGTTATGTTGCAGCAGAACTGACTTCATATTTGCACTTTCCATCTGTCAGCTTTGACTTCATACATACAGAAGAAAACTTTTTATTTTTTGAAGTATTTTTTTAAAGACTAGGATGGGCACTATTCCTGTATATATGGGATTTTACCCTTACTGATTCTACCATATTTTTATAAAGTTTTAACACTAACAATAGAAGCAAATTCCTCCATGATTACTGATGCAAGTTTATAAATAAGAAGCAAGTTCAAAGTTAAGAGTTTCATAAAATCCACTGTTTTCCTTTTCCAGTTATTCAAGTTAAAAAACTGATTTGGTGTTATCCCAGCAGATTTTAGAAGCTGTAGGCCAAAAAATGATCTAAAATAACTAAAATATAATTTATTTATTATTTGAATGAGACAGCATGATTTAGTGGAAAGAACACTAGACTGGAAGATAGGGTTTTAGAAGATAAGATTTCTAGGAATAGCTACTAACAGTGACCATGGAAAAAATCTCTCTGGTATCTTTGGTGTTAAAAGGTAAACCAGGTAATATTTACTGATTCTTTCACTAGGTACTTATGGAGCATTAACTATCTGTCAGCACTATGCTAGGTATAGGGGACACAAGTCCACGTAAAACAGACATGGTCCTTACCTTCATGCTAACAATCTAGTGATGAAGAAAAATGTTAATAAATCATCACAACCACACTCATTACAATTGTAAGTGCTTTCAGGGAAAAGAACTGGTTGCTATGAAGGCATATAATGGGGGGGATTTGATCTAGAGGAGGTTAACAAGCTAAAACTGAAAAGGAAATTGCAGGTAAACAGCATGTGCAAAGGGACTAAAAGGCGATGCAGCAAATGCAGAGAGTGTAAGGGAGAATGTGATAAGATAGAGTTGGAGAGGGAAGTAGAGATGAGACTATGCAGTGCCTTACTGGCCTTGTTAAAAGTATCAATGCTTGGCTGGGTGTGGTGGCTCATGCCTGTAATCCCAGCACTTCGGGAGGCTGAAGCGGGTGGATTACCAGGTCAAGAGGTTGAGACTATCCTGGCCAACATGGTGAAACCCCGTCTCTACTAAAAATACAAAAATTAGCTGGGCGTGGTGGCGGGCGCCTGTAGTCCCAGCTACGTGGGAGGCTGAGGCACGAGAATCGCTTGAACCCGAGAGGTGGAGGTTGCAGTGAGCCGAGATGGTGCCACTGCACTCCAGCCTGGAGACAGAGCAAGACTCCATCTTGGAAAAAACAAAACAAAACAATCCTTAACCCAAGAGCTATGGAAATCTGATAAAGTATGTTAAAGCAAAAGAGGATGACATGAACAGATTTACATTTGGAAAGGATCACTCTGCTCTAAAATTATATGACTAGGCCGGGCGCGGTGGCTCATGGCTGTAATCCCAGCACTTTGGGAGGCTGAGGAGGGCAAATCACCAGAGGTCAGGCATTCGAGACCAGCCTGGCCAACAAGAGCGAGACTCAGTCTCAAAAAAAAAAGAAAAAGGAAAAAAAAAATTCTATGACTAAAGATGGAAGGCAAGAAATATATATACAACTGCAATAATCAGCATGATAGAAAAAGCATATACTTCTGGATCATGCTGTGTACTTGCAAAATAAATCCTCTTTTGCTGTAGACATTTCCATACACTTCATACCTGTAGCTTATACATTTCCTTGTTCTTGTTGACCTCCTTTCAAGCAAGTTTGCTTTGGATTTTTTTGAATCTTTTTTCTTTTCTTCTTGATCTTCAGAAAAGTCTGGCTCCTTAAAAAATATGATAATAAGCATAGAGGTTATTCCTTATGCAGAACAAAGTTCCTTGGGATAAACAGTTTTGTAATCTCCATTTAGGTAGCACATGTGAAAGGTCTGAAAAAGTTTGAGATGATCCCCTCCAAAAGTGAATAAACATGGCAACACTGAGTATACAGATTAAAAAGAATGCTGGTGATTAAAGGATGAAATCCTTCTGTATTAAAATTCTGACGCTTTTGTGAGATTATAACCAGTACTTGTTTTAAAACAGTCATGATGAAGTTTTTCCATTGATAAATAATTTAATTTGCAACAGAAGATGTTCAACAGGTATGCTGCATGAATGAAAGATTTAGAAGAAAGGGGTTGCTACTCAAGGAAATAACTTGACAGGCCTTTTAAGCTTGTGATTTAATTAAGCCGGAATGAAATTACTTATACACATTTTTACAAATTGCAAAAATTACAAATTATGTAAATTACAAAACCACATTTTATGCACTTTCACTCATGATATACCCACCTTAGTTATAAATTAGACTAATAAATGCAAAACAAAGGTAATCCTTCAAAAAACCCAAACTGTGTTGAAAAATACAAACTGAAGTTTTCAACAATCCCCAAAATAAAAATTAAAAATCAAATCTCCCCAAACTCTTCTTTAGTCATTTTACATAAACAGCATGCAAAACAAGCTAACAACACATTATAAAGTTCAGTGTAAAAACAGAAAACATACTCCAAAGGTAAAAGCTGTAAGTTTAGTTTAGATGTGATATCACATTTTGGAGTTACCTGCATACATAAAATTTCAATCATGAGGGATTATGGGTGATTTCTCGAAGGTCTTAAATTTCCATTTTTAATACTGGTGTATCATAGATTTAAAACCACTGTCCAGGAGCAGTGGCTCACACCTATAATCCCAGCACTTTGGGAGACCAAGACAGGCAGATCACCTGAGGTCAGGAGTTCGAGACCATCCTGGCCAACATGGTGAAACCCCGTCTGTACTAAAAATACAAAAATTAGCCGGTATGGTGGCGGGCACCTGTAATCCCAGCTACTCAGGAGGCTGAGGCAGGAGAATTGCTTGAACCCAGGAGGCAGACACTGCAGTGAGCAGAGATTGCGCCATTGCACTCCAGTCTGGGCAACAAGAACGAAACTCCATCTCGAAATAAATAAATAAATAAATAAATAAATAAAACCACTAACATTACATAAGGTGGGTAAAATTTTAGAGCAATTATGACAATCTCCCATTTAAAAACATTACAAATCAGAAACTTACTTGTGGAGGAATGATGTTTTCAATACTGATACCAACATACACCAAGCGTTCTTTTCTTTAGGTGAAAAACAAACAAAATACATGAGATTTGCAGAAAATAAAACTGTTATGTAAACATCACGAATACACATAATGTTAAAATTACAATTTCACGTTAACAGCAGAGGGTAAGTCACAGAAATGTTAGCTATTATTTATTTATTTATTTATAGACAAGGTCTCACTCTCTTGCCCAGGGTGGAGTGCAGTGGCGTAATCTTAGCTCACTGCAACCTCTACTTCCCGGGTTCAAGTGATTCTACTGCCTCAGCCTTGCAAGTAGCTGGGATTACAGGTGAGAGCCACCACAACCAGCTAATTTTTGTATTTTTAGTAGAGATGGGGTTTTGCCATGTTGGCCAGGCTGGTCTCAAATTCCTGGCCTCAAGCGATCCACCCACCTTGACCTCTCAAAGTGCTGGGATTATAGGTGTGACCACTGCTCCTGGCCCATGTTAGCTATTAAGTATAAAACTTTAATATAGTATTAGTATGTGTGGGGAGCTCAACATTTCCTAGGGTTAAGATAACAATATCTTTCAGAAATGACTTACATTGGTGAAATAAAACCTATAACTGAAATAAGACAAGCAACTTCATCAAGAGTCATGCTGTGACAAGTTGATAAGATTAGATGGAAAGCCACCTTTGATTAGACAAATTAGATCTTTGTTATGCTGGAGAAAGTTTTTAGTAATATTTTGGGTGTATGTATAAACAATTATAAACTCATGGTAATAAATATTGCTATAAAAATTATGTAAACAAAACCTTATCAAGGTCCCAGTGAATGACACTGAGACCATTCATTCCTTGCTGTTGAAAGAGAAAAAAGCAATGCAGACGTATAGCTCTGTGCTCTAGAAGGCCACAGCTGAAGATAACTAGAGCCAGGAAATACAGACTTGAGCCAATGACATCTCCATAGTTTCATTTCCAAGAAACAAACCTTTGTTGATTTTAATTAAATTACATATTAAAAAAACAGCAGGATGGCTGGGTGTGGTGGCTCATGCCTGTAATCCAAAGCAGGAGGTCCCCCGACGCTGGGAATTCAAGACCAGCTGGGCAACACAGTGAGACGCCTGTTTCTATAAAAATTGAAAAAATAAAAATTGGCCAGGTATGGTGGCACACACCTATTGTCCCAGCTACTCAGAAGGCTGAGATGGGAAGATTACTTGAACTCAGGAGTTGGAGGTTGCAGTGAGCTTTGATCATGCCACTGCACTCCAGCCTGGGCATCAAGAGTGAGACCCTGTCTCAAAAAAAAAAAAAAAAAAAAGCAGGTGTTTTCCCTGGTTCTCTCAAAGTTAATCCAATTCAAGAACAGCTGAGCTCTGACATGCCTCTGTATGTTAAATTGAACTGAACTGAAATAGTAATCATTCTGTCTCTCTCTGCTTGTAATGTTCCTTATATAAGGATATTAATGTATCCAGCTGGCTAGGTCTTTTAGAGTGCAGCCTTTAGTGCCCTGCTAACAAGAATATTCATGGTCTTTTTAGAGATAGGTTGTGATGCTATTAAAACTGGTATGTTTAAAAATCATTCAGTGGACTTCTAAAACATCAGATTTCACAGAGCATCACACCATCAGGTCTGTAGACAGTTGCTGGCTAGCCACTAAATACTCACTGAAATGTATATCCATCCCTCTTTTCCACAAGACTGTAGAGACCTCTATGGTAAAGACCACATTATATACTTCCTCATTTGATTACACTCATTGGCATAAAGTAGGTACCCAATACATGTTGCTTAAATGTTGAATGACTGCATAAACAAGGGTTGCTTAGGGAGTAAACAGGGAGTAAAATGCTCTTGTATTATGACATAGGGAGTAAGTACACCTCTAAGCTGCTAGGATGAATGCTAATAAGTTATTTCACAGATTTTTAAAAAGTGAATATAAGTGCTTACTTTAGAAAACTGAATGACGATGGCTAGAATTTACAGCTAATATTTATTTTAGAAACACATATTTTGCTGTTTAGAGCTCCTAAGATTCATATACATGTGTGTGTATACATGCACACACACACATACTTGTATTCTAGGAACTATATACAACAAAAGCTTTGTTAACCAGATTATTAGGGAGAATCAGCAAACACCAACAACAATCCATTAACTGGCTCTGTGCCAGACTGGTCTTCCTGTAACAGTAACTTTCCTTTCTTTTCTATACACAATCTGAGAACTTAGTGTATGATATAAAGTCATAATTACAGATGTCCTCTTAAAGGATGACATTTAAAGCCAGGTGTGGTAGCTCATGCCTGTAAACCCATAATTTTGGGAGGCCAAGGTTACCCACCTTGGGTAACCTTGGGTAGATCACTTGAGGCTAGGCATTTGAGACCAAGCTGGCCAACATGGCAAAACCCCATCTGTAGTAAAAAATACAAAAATTAGCCGGGTGTGGTGGCGTGTGCCTGTGGTCCAAGCTACTCAGGAGGCTGAGGTGGGAGGATCACTTAAAGATGGGAGGCAGAGGTTGCAGTTATCGTGCCACTGCACTCTAGCCTGGGTGACAAAGCGAGACTCTGTCTCCAAAAAATAAAAAGGATGACATTTAAACAAAGAGGATTACCTAGAGTAGGAGAGAAAGTAAAGGAACTAGTAAATTGGAGACAGTAATATAAACAAATATTGTGGCATACTTTAAAATAAAAATTTCTAAAAATCAAAATATTTCATAATTGCAGTGGCATATCCTATAGCATATGAGGCTGTTGTCAAAATTTTTTCATCAGGCTTTTACACATATAAATGGTATAAGCATCAAAGGGCTCCAAAGAATAAGCAGGTAAGAAATTCTTAGTGGTTTACATTCTTGGCTTTTAGAAAGAATACATTCTCAGCTGGGAGTAGTGGCTCATGACTGTAATCCCAGCACTTTGGTAGGCCAAGGCAGGTGGATCACTTGAGGTCAGGAGTTCAAGACCAGCCTGGCCAACATGGTGAAATCCTCGTCTCTACTAAAAATACAAAAATTAGCTGGGCATTGTGGCGCGTGCCTGTAATCCCAGCTACTCGAGAGGCTGAGGCAGAAGAATCGCTTGAACCCAGGAGGCAGAGGTTGCAGTGAGCTGAGACCCTGCCACTGTACCTGAACTCCAGCCTGGGTGACGGAGCAAGACTCTGTCTCAAAACAAAACAAAACAAAATTCTCTTCCTTAGTGGATGAGCCTATTAGCTATCTACATTTCTGAGACAAATCAGCTTCAGGACATGGGAAAACTGCTAATTTCTGAAAAGGATAAACAGATTTGAGCAAGATGGAGGCAAAGGAAAAATCTAGTTTTTATTCGTGATTTAATTTAAATACCTTTAGTTACATCTTTTGCAGTGTCAAAAATAAAAACAAGAGAAACAGCACATCAAAATAGTCCTAGTAATTTCATACAGGATCATTCTTTATTTTTTAAAATGTTCTTGGAAAATATTCCAAATATCTGAAACACAAGTAGTTTATGGAAATAACCCAAGGTTTAGCTGGGTGTGGTGATGGGCACCTGTAGTCCCTCCTACTTGGGAGGCTGGGGCAGGAGGATCCCTTGAGCCCAGGAGTTCCAAGACCAGCCTGGGCAACATAGTGAGACCCTGTGTTCAAACAAAAGAAAGAAAGAAATAACCTAGCATTTCTCAATTCAAAGTACTTTTATGTCCTAGTCAATTTGAGAGATTAACTTGCCTTTAAACTAAGCAGCATCCATTACGAGCCAGAGTGCTCAAACTGGGTAGTAAAAAAAACAAAACCTTTAGGTTCTGGAGGCTGAATCCATTTTTAAGGTTCACCTTTGCACAAGGTAAAGTGAGAGGATTATGGGACAAGCTGATTGCCTTAAGGCAAGCTAAATTTGGAGGGCGAGACTATGAGTCAGGGGATATAAGGTAAAGAAGTAGCAAATGAAGGTAAAATCAGGAGATAATGCTTAGATTTCCTCAATCATACTAGTGTATAAACGGGCATCAAGTCCTATGACAGATTAATCCTCTGAAAATTCTCCCCAACACCTCCACCTTATTATCACAATGCCTGCCCTAATTCAGGCCTTACAGACTCTCAGGTTTGCTATTCCAACAGTCCCAACTCTATTTCATTCTTCTGTTACCAGAGCATTTTTTTCTGAAATAAAGATATACTTACATATGTCTCCTTTGATGGCCGCCCCACTTTCTATAGAGAATAAGTCAAATTCCCCAACCTGGAAAGCTATTCACAATTTGGCCTTACTCAGCTTTTACAAAAATCTATCTCCTACCATACCTCTACTGTCACTTTTACACTTTGCCTTTGCTCATGTTTGTGCTCTTTGTCTGAAATATGTTCATCGGTATAATCTCAATTTATCTTACAAGGCCTCTCTTGAGAACCCCAAATCCTATGAGAACTAAAATGCTCCTCCACCATGTTCCTGTATTGCTTTTAATATATCTCCACTTTTCCATTTTATCATATCATTGGTTCTGTACTATATTATTGGTCTGTACTATATTATTGGTTCATATGTCTGTATTCTCTAATAGAAGGTGAGTTCCATGTAAACAAGAGCTTTGTTTTTGATCTTTCCTCTTCAGTTTGGTATACAGTAGGTGAAAATGAATGATCAGAAATAGATTAATTAAAGAAGGTACAAATAAATATGAACTGTTGTCCTGATTATGAATCCCCTTTTAAAGAGGAGGCTCAAGTTCAGTCTTAAGAACTTCATCTAAGAACCCTTCTCCAGGCTGGGCACAGTGGCTCACGCCTGTAATCCCAGCTCTTTGGAAGGCCGAGGCGGGTGAATCACAAGGTCAGCAGTTCGAGACTAGCCTGGCCAGTATGGTGAAATCCCTTCTCTACTAAAAATACAAAAATTAGCCAGGCGTGGTGGCGGGTGCCTGTAGTCCCAGCTACTCAGGAGGCTGAGGCAAAAAAATCACTTGAACCTGGGAGATGGAGGTTGCCATGAGCCGAGACTGTGCCACTGCACTCCAGTCTGGGCAACAGAGCGAGACTCCATCTCAAAAAAAAAAAAAAAAAAACAAAAAACCTTCTCCAACTGCTTAAGACCACCACTGCAATGCTATATTGAAAAGAGGGGCATCTCTTACAGTCAGTAGGACACAATTCAGCATTTAATACTCTTTATTTCACCAATGTTAGCTGCCCACCCAAGGAGATGACAAGGATAACTGAATTACAGACCAGTTCTTATAGTTTTTTTGTATTCTCTACAATACTTAGTTATGGACATACCCTCCACAATATTTGGGCCAATATTTATTCAGAGAAGGTTCTGACAAATACTTTATTTATTCATTTATTTATTTATTTTGAGACAGAGTCTCACTCTTGCCCAGGCTGCAGTGCAGTGGCGTGATCTTGGCTCACTGCAACGATTCTCCTGCCTCAGCCTCCGAGTAGTTGGGACTACAGGTGTGCGACACCATGCCCAGCTGATTTTTGTATTTTTAGTAGGGACAGGGTTTCACCATGTTGGCCAGGCTGACCTCAGGTGATCTGCCTGCCTCGGCCTCTCAAAGTGCTGGGATTACAGGCGGGAGCCACCATGCCCAGCTACTTCTGATAAATACTTCAGATAGAAAGTTGGCAAACATTTCCTATAAAAGGAAAGATAATAAGCATGCAATCTTGGCAGGTCATAAGGTCTCTGTTCCAACTACTCAATGCTGCTGTCACAGGGCAAAAGTAGCCACAGACAATATACAAACAAATGAGCAAGGTTGCGTTCAATAAAACTTTATTCACAGACAATAAAATTTGAGTATCATATAATTTTCATGTGTCATGAAATATGATTCTAGTTTTTCCCCCCAATCATTTAAAAACATAAAAAACATTCTTAGTTAGCAGGCAGTACAAAAACAAAAAGGAGGCTGGATTTGGCCCACAGGCCACAGTATGCCAATCCTTGTTTTAGATGGATCCATTTATCCATACAGTGAGACAATTCTGCTCTCATATTCCCAAACAAAACATTAACACACATATAAAAATACCTTCGTTCGGCACGCTCTTTCTTCTTTAAGGCAACATCCAAATCCTGCAACTGTTCCTCTAATTTTTCACAGAGCAGTTTCTGAAGAAGCAAAATAGATAAAAGTCATTTTAAACAACTTTTAGCAATCATTTATTACATACATGTTAACTTCATGGGTAGTGGGCTCTGAGAGCTGGTAAGGGACCACATAGTAAGTGAACAATGAAGCTTTTCTTGTGTTTAATTAAACACACCTTTTGAACAGAAGATGAGCACAGTACCTTTGAAATAAAGCACACGTTAAAGAAACATACAGCTTTGCCAAAAGAAACGGATTCTGTGCCTATCCTACTGGCAATAGTCAATGTTTAAAACAGCATTTGGTTCAACATGTGTATGTAACAGTGATTATACTTTTTAAAAAAGATCCCAAGATGTTTTAAAGGGAGAAGGTTATACGTACGATATAACATAATGATGCCAAAAACTATTTTTTAAAAAAGGTGACTGGGCTGGTGTGAGTGCTGTGGTATTTACAACTAATTGATCCCAACCAGTTACAGATTTTTTTGTTCTTTCTCCACTCCCAGGGCTTCACTTGACTATCCTTAAAAAAAAAGACTGTAAAAAAGTATACAAACAATGCTACACAGTTACTGAGTCAAAACAGAGCTGAAAAATGTACTTGATAATAAAGCTGTGCTAAGCCACAGAAGTCCATTTCACTGAAGAATGCATAAAGCTCATCATTTTATTTTATTTTATTTTTTGAGACAGATCTCACTCTGTCACCCAGGCTGGCGTGCAGTGGCACAATCTTGGCTTACCGCAACCTCTGTCTCCCAGGTTCAAGCGATTCTGGTGCCTCAGTTTTCTAAGTAGCAGGGATTACAGGCGTGTGCCACCATGCCTGTCTAATTTTTGTACTTTTAGTAGAGATGGGATATCGTCATGTTGGTCAGACTGGTCTTGAATTCCTGGCCTCAAGTGATCTGCCTGCCTTGGCCTCCCAAAGTGCTGGGATTATAGGCATAAGCCACCACGCTTGGCCAAACTTTCATCATTTAAAAAAAATAATTATTACTACTTTTAAATTTTTTTTTTTTTTTTTTTTTTTTTTTTTGAGACGGAGTCTCGCTCTGTTGCCCAGGCTGGAGTGCAGTGGCGGGATCTCGGCTCACTGCAAGCTCCGCCTCCTGGGTTCACGCCATTCTCCTGCCTCAGCCTCCCAAGTAGCTGGGACTACAGGCGCCCGCCACTACGCCCGGCTAATTTTTTGTATTTTTAGTAGAGACGGGGTTTCACCGTTTTAGCCAGGATGGTCTCGATCTCCTGACCTCGTGATCCGCCCGCCTCGGCCTCCCAAAGTGCTGGGATTACAGGCGTGAGCCACCGCGCCCGGCCACTACTTTTAAATTTTTTAGAGATGGGGTCTTGCTATGCTGCCCAGGGTGGTCTCAAACTCATGGCCTTTAGTGATCCTCCTGCCTCAGCCTCCCAAGGAGCTGGGACTATACCTATGTGCCACCATGCCTGGCGGTGTTTTTTTTTTTTTTTGAGACAGAGTCTTGCTCTGTTGCCAGGCTGGAGTACAATGGCGTGATCTTGGCTCACTGCAACCTCTGTCTCCCGGGTTCAATCGATTCTCCTGCCTCAGCCTCCCGAGTAGCTTGGACTAAAGGCGTGTGCCACCACGCCCAGATAATTTTTGTATTTTTAGTAGAGACAGAGTTTCACCATGTTGGCCAGGATGGTCTCGATCTCTTGACCTTGTAATATGCCCATCTCGGCCTCCCAAAGTGCTGGGATTACAGGTGTGAGCCACTGTGTCTGGCCTAATCTATCATTTTTAAGGCAAATGAAAGTAGGTTTGTGAGAGAAATGTAACCAATGAGCACAGCAGCACAGAAATAACCTGATTCTTCAGTTTCTAAAAGAAATTTGCCTAAGATAGAAGAGAAAGAGAATCTATGTTTCTCCTAACCCTGATAACACCATCTACAAAACTACTGACAAATACAAAGTAGGTAGAAACCAAAAAAGAGGATGAAACAAAGTGATACATAGGAAGAAACATATATCCTTCCTTCTACATATCTACACTTGGTGCTTTTTGTGCTTTTAACAAATACAAGAAAAAAATCATTCATAATTTTACAAAACTTAGAGGGCTTTTGATAACTGCTTTGGGAAAAAAAACAAAAAGGAAAACCTAAAAGCTATTAATAAAAGGTAGAAATCTAAACAGAGGTAAATACTATTTACACATTGCTTTGAAGGTTAAAAATATTCATTCAGTAGCTATTAAACAGTTATTAATTTGAATACAAACTCAAAGACTAGAAAAACAAGTGGGCGGGGTCTTACATGTTGGCAAGGTGGGCAGAACCATTCTCCATCTGGGATGATCATCAGAGGAGGGCGAAGGCAGGCAGTATGGTATCCACTATCGCAAGAGTCACACAGAAGAATCTGAAATAACCACACTGATGTCAACCTAACTATGACTAAAATTCAATGACTCTTAGGTTAAAGACGTTTCAATATCTCTGAGTACTATACTGCAAAGCACTCTATTTGCATAAAGCTAGTAAATAAAAAAGCTCTGATGATTAGGGATCTGACATTTATTTATTTATTTATTTATTTATTTATTTATTTATTTGACAGAGTCTCGCTCTGTTGCCCAGGCAGGAGTGCAGTGGCACAATTTTGGTTCACTGCAACCTCCGTCTCCCGGGTTCAAGTCATTCTCCTGCCTCAGCCTCCTGAGTAGCTGGGACTACAGGTGCCTGCCACCACACCCAGCTAATTTTTGTATTTTTAGTAGAGACGGGGTTTCACCATGTTGGTCAGGATGGTCTTGATCTCCTGACCTTGTGACCCACCCACCTCGGCCTCCCAAAGTGCTGGGATTACAAGCGTGAGCCACCGCGCCCAGCCCATGCTAATTTTTAAAAAAACCTAAAAAAAAGTTAAGCTATAAAATTTAGTTAAAAATAACAAGGCCTTTCTGACCTAGAGTTAGAATCCTTTTTCATTCAGTATATAGTCATAAAGGCTATAACAACATATTCCTTATAACAAAGTTTTAAAGCTCAAGTATCAAAGACTACCCTACCACACAGAATTTTTAAAACACAAAAAATTTCCATTTTAAATAGCATTTCAATTACTTACCTGTAAGAAACACTCATGGTTCTTTTTATCATGTAAATTCAAATAAGGAAGAGACTGAGGTATAGAAAAGGAATACAACTACATTCAGAACCGTCATCATGTAATACAAAGGTTCGTAACATCACTTAGTCTTATAGTTGTTTTATCGGTATTTGAGTTTAAGAGGACCAAGGTCTAAAACTAAACACAGTATACTCAAAAATGTTTAATTTAAAAGAAAACTTTTTACTTTTAAATAATTTTAGATTTACAGAAGAGTTTCAAGATGGTACAAAGTTCTCTTATATCCTTCACCCAATTTTTAACACCATTACCTCATATAACTATGGTACATTTATCAAAACTAAGAAATTAACATCAATACTATGAACTAAACAACAGGCTATTCAGATTTCACAAGTTTTTCCACTGATGTCCTTTTGTTGATTTTGAATCTTGCAGGTCCCTTTACATTCAGTTATGTTTTGTTAGTATCCCCAGTACGTAACCGTTTCTTGGTCCTTCTTTGTCTTCCCTGACCGACAGTTTGAAGAGTACTATATTAGTCAGATATTTTTGGTAGACTGTCCTGAAATTTGAGTTTGTTTGATGTTTACTCATGATTAGACTGGGGTTCTGGGTTTTGGAGAAGAGCCTACAGAGGGGAAATGCCCTGCTCACTGCATTGTATCAGGGGATACATGTTATCAATGACTTACTACTGCTGTTATTAACTTTGGTCACTTGGTTAAAGTACATCTGTTGGTTTTATCCACTCTAAGGTCACCTTCCGTACTCTATTCTCAAGATAAATGCAACCCACACTCAAGGGTAAGGGAATTAAGTTTTCTAGAAGTATGAGTATCAAATAATTTGTGGATATATATTAAAATCTCAATAGTAATAAATCAATAAATACCTTGGGGGAGATGCACTGAAGCTATGCCAATATCTTCTCTCTCCTTAAAGTTCTGCTCACTAGTTTTAGCATTTGCCGGGGATTCTGCTTGCAACGATTGTTACTGTGGTGTTCTGATGGTGATTTTCTATCTCCCTTATGCCTTCTACATATGTTATTAGGAATTATTCTGTAAGGAAAATAAGTCTCTTCTTCCCCACATTTGTTTATTCAATTATTTATATCAATATGAATTAATGATTATTTTATTCTTTGGGCTACAATCCAAAGCTATCATTATTTAATTTGTTGTTGGAACTGTTCCAGCCATGGACACAATGGAAGCTCTTTCAGGTTGTCTCCTGTGTCCTTAGGACTTGCCTGCATTTTTTTTTTAAGTACTTCCTTACTTTCTGGCACAACAGGATGTTTCAGGAACATCTTGTATTTTCCCTGCCCAAGCCTTAGAACCAACCATTTCTTCAAGAAGCCCTAGCTCCTTTACTGGATAATGGTACTTAGAAACCAAGATCTGGATGCTCTGAAAGCTCACTGCTACTGGCAACTACTTTTAATCTCTCTCAGAGGACAGCGCTAAGATATATATGTATGGATATGTATACACATATATCTTTCTGTGCCTATATTAAAATAAACATGGAGTTCATGCTAGTATCTCCAGTTCTAATCTACCATCATAGGGTTCATCATGGCTCCTATTATTTACACTTTATTTATTTGCTCAACCCTAGTATAGATGAAGTTTCTGCAATCCTAACCTGTACCATGGGGGTGGGAGGAGGCACACCATTACAATGCATCACCACTTGCTCGCAATACCCAGGGTTTGGTACTTACTTACATTAGTATTATACTTCCGGTATACAGTTGATTACATTGGCACATGTGGACTAACCTGGCCACCTAATCAATTTATCACATAGTTTCTATAAAACATAACCTAAATTTCAAATATCAAAATTACAGGTAAACTTTCAGAATTTATTTCTAAAGGGAAGATTGCTTCTACTCTGCAGTAAAGGCAAAGTCTCACTAAATAAATATTACCATGTAAGATTTCCAAGCCTCAGGTGATAATCCATTTATTTTGACTAAAACATCTGGAAAATCCCTTAGAGTTCTATATTCATTTATACATTTATTGCTTTTCTGCTGTTAAAGCTCAATTAAGACAAGGACCATGCCTTTCTAGCTCAGCAGCATATTCTTATGATTTAACATATAATAGCTGCTTGGTATTCTGACTTGAGGATTATCCTTAAGCACTTGGCATAAGAATCTACCATATTTGGGATCTTCAGTTTCCAATGTCATTCACAATATAATTTCTGCTCACCCCATTTTACCATTTTATTTCTCATTTCTTCACATCAGTTCATTACAGCAGCCATTGCTGCCTTAGGTAAAATGCCCTCTTTTAGTTTAAAGGGACATTAGAAAATGGTAAGGAGAGAACACAAGTGATGCTTTTTTTTCTTGATTTAGAAGGCAGAAAAGACTACTATCTCAAATGTCCTCTTGGCCTTTATCTGTATAAAAATATTGACTTAACTTGCATAGCCTTGATGATCATAAAATACTTAGAGGGATCTTCTCAGCATAATTTCAACATCTATTCTTCTCAGAGCTCAAGTCATTCTCTGGTTCTATCTTTTACTTGAGCCTTTAAAAACTACTGGGTTATGATAAATTTCACTGATAATACATTTAGCTTCCAGATATGATATTAACAGTAAGAAAGAAAAGAGTAAGTAAACCAGAATTAACTTTAACCCAGCACATAATATAGATCAGAAACTGTGCTAGGCAACTTTACATGAGCTGTTAAAAACACCCCTCAGAAGTATGTGGCGTGAGTCCCACCTTACAATAAAGAAATCAAAATACAGAGAAGATAGCTCCTGATAAGTAGTATCCTGATAAGTAGGATCTGAATTCATGCTGTCTGGCCCTATGCTTTTCCCATCACATCATAATGCTTTGCAGGAAAAAAGAGGCTGGAGAACCACTTCTTAGGAATTTTCCAAACTTTAGAGGATCTCAAATGTTTCTGGTCCACACAATTCTACTCAGGTAGAAACATCTTTCTTTACATTTTCTTCTACTTAATAGCTGGAGTTTGCCTTTAAAGTGAAATCTATTCAAAAGAACAGCACAGGTGCATAGAATTAGGTATAACAAGGCTACTTCCTCAACAGACTCACTTATGAACTGCAAATTATATATATATATAAATATATTATATAAAATATATTTATATATAATATATAATATATATAAATATATTATATAAAATATATTTATATATAATATATAATATATATATTATATATATAATAGATTAGATATTGATTCTCCTGATTCAGGCAACCTTTGAAGAACTTACTTCCTGGGGAAGAAAGCTCTCTATAAAAGTGGTACTATTCTTTTTGGAATATATCTGGTCTACAATTTATTCTCCTATAAATTAAAAAAAATTTTTTATGTTAAAAAAATTGTAGTCGGTATATAGCAGGTGTATATATTTATAGGGTACATGTGATGTTTTAATAAAGGCATCTAATGTGTAATAATCACATGGGGTAACTAGGGTATCCATCACCTCAAGCATTTACCATTTGTTTTAGAAACATTCCAATGCCACTCTTTTGCCATTAAAAAAAATTTAAAGCCCTACTACATTATTACTTGACTTACATGTTTTTATAGGAAGGCAGTAAGGCCTTCAGGCCTAATTTACTTAAAGCTGGCACTTCAAAAATATCATTATAAAGTTACCTATTTATCTTACCTATTTATCTATCCAGCCATCCATGAGACAGGGTCTTGCTATGCTGCCCAGGCTGCATTTGAATTACTGGGCTCAAATCCTCCTACCTCAGCCACCTGAGTAGCTGGAACTACTGGCATGTGGCCACCATGCCAGGCAGAAATGCCATTATTAAGTAATTTAAAGGGAAAGAAGAAAAACTTAAAAAGAACAGACTAAAAATACTTGAATACATTCCTCAATCTGTGAGAAGAGATTGAGGTGTATTATTATGTAGAGGAAATATCAATATACAAGCCAAGTAGAATGAAAGTAGGATCTTGATCACTGGCCTTCCTACAATTAGGTTATATGAGAAACAGAAATAAAGGTTACTCTGTAGCATACAAGTTATCATTAAGAAATTCAAATAATGATAAAACCCAGAAGAGTTAGGCTGCTCCAGGCAACCTCACCATGTCTGTAATATGAGTATTCTTCATTTACATCAGGTACATACTAGCTCAGGATGGTTTGGAAGGCCACATTTTTTGCATGGTTCATCATCATCTGCTAGGATGGCTTCTTCACTTTCCTTTTCTTCCTCCTCTTCTGAAGCTGCAGATGATTTTTCACTGCCAGACCCTTCACTTTCATCATTGCTGGAATATTTCCATCTGCCACGTGTCCGAGAACCAGTCCATCGAACTTTGCCTTTGGGTTTTACCTTGTATAAAATAAAAAAAATTGGGATAATTTGATATAAGAATGTCTTTTAAAAATCTCCTGATTACATGTCCATTGTATAATAATATTCAGCCAATATACCAAAAAAAGAGGAGAAAATTATTATAGTCTCATCATCAGATATAGCTATGGTTAAATTTTGGTATATATTTCCACTATTTTTTCTACATTTTTGTTTACTTTTTTCTTAAAACCGAATTATAATGAACATTTGGTCTTATATTTTTCCTAGTCACATTCTCCTAACATTACTATAAATGCCATTACATAACTGTTTTTATCTAATCCTCTACTAGACATTTAGGTAGTTGTTTCCCATGTTTTTCACTTTCGTCAACAATGTACTGTATCTTTACAAATATTTTTACACACATCTCTGTGGTTAGGATAAATTCCTTGAAGAGGATTCTGGGTCAAAGGTCATGCACATTTTAAATGCTTTGTAAGAGAATGATGACTATATTCTCACATATTTTCATGTAAAAATTTAAAATCCTGTATTAGAGATAAATTTTAAATTTTAAATAAGCCAGAACTGCATATAAAAATCCTGACAAATGTAAAAATATATACATTCAGAGAGCAAATTTATAATGTGACTAACAGCTTTTTATTGCGTAGTTTTATACTCTTTTAACTTGTGTTTTAGTTTATTCCTACACTATAGGTCGTCAGCAAAGAACAAAATAAGTCTAACAACAAAAGAAGAAAACATTAAAAATTCAGTATCTCAGGGAACACAGGATCACTTACAATGAAGAATGATCTGATCGTTTAAATACATTAAAAAGAAAAGTAGCACTTTTGATTATGATAAATTCCCATAGACTAGCAAAAGACTTGTAAAATATTTTGCTTAAAATAACAGGGTCATAGTTATGATGAGTAATACCAACATTAATGAGTAAAATGGGGAAAACAGGCACTGTCATACACTGGTAATAAGATGCTATATTAATGGAGCCTTTTTGGAGGGCAATGTGGAAGTAGCTATCAAAACTTAAAATATACATGTCCCTTGACCCAGCAATTCCAATTCTAGGAGTCTATTCTAAAGAAATACTCACTCATGTCCAAAAGGATCTTCAATGCAGCATTGCCTGTAATAGTGAAAAATTGGAAACAACCTAAATGTCAATCAGTAAGTGAGTGGTTAAATAAACTGAGGTATATCCACACTATGGAGTACTGTGTGGCCATTAACAAGCAAAAGGGATACTATATCTACGGACATGAAGAGTTCAGAGACACTTTAAGTGAAAAACTCACAGAAAAATGAACATATTTGATCCAATTTCTTTTTTAAATAAGTAAATATTTATGAACATCCACATAAATGCATGAAAAAGGACTGGAGGGCCAGGCACGGTGGCTCACGCCTGTAATCCCAGCACTTTGGGAGGCCGAGGTGGACGGATCACCAGGTCAAGAGATCGAGATCATCCTGGCCAACATGGCGAAAACCCACCTCTATTAAAAATACAAAAATTAGCTGGGTGTGGTGGCACGCTCCTGTAGTCCCAGCTACTTGGGAGACTGAGGCAAGAGAATCGCTTGAACCAGGGAGGCAGAGGTTGCAGTGAGCCGAGATAGTGCCATTGCACTCCAGCCTGGCGACAGAGCAAGACTGTCTCACAAAAAAAAAAAAAAAAAAAAAAAAAAAAGACTGCAAAGATACTATACCCCACACTGTTAATAGTGGCAATTATCCCCAAACTGTTAATAGTGGCAATGGGGAATTCTCATTCTATAATTCTACAGGTTGGATATTATTTGAATAGTTTACAAGGAGAATATATTCCTATACTACTTTTAATTTCTTAAAAAAGTTAAAAGATGACAAGAGTATAGAGTATAAGTAAGAGTATAAAGTCTGAAAAGGTATCTCAGACAGAGGAAGAAAGATACTTTGTCAGTTGTCTTTGATGACTAAGTTTTAGACAAAACCAAAAAACCTATTAATATATAGAGACAAATATTTTTAATTAAAGTTAAGACAAGTTTTACCTTGCTTACTTTAGAATTTGTATCTTTCTCTGATTTTTTCAAAATTTCCTTTTTGTCAGTTTTTTGCAAAGCTGTTGACTCTTCTTCCACCTCATCTTCTCCTTCCCCTCTTTTTTTATCAGCTTTCTGATCTCTGATCTCAGCCACTTTTGCAGTGGGTCTAGATATTCTTGGAGATCTTCTTAAAGTACGACCCACATTTGTTTTCTCCTCTTCCTTTTCTGTCTTCTCTTGCTTGTTTTCTGGTTCTAGAACTTTGGGGGGAGAATCGGGCTTCTTTTTCCGACTTGATATCCTGATTGTTAATTTGATGCCCTCTTTCTGCCTTTCAGAGGTTATCTCTGTATTTTCTGAGGCAGTGGTTTCTTCTTCAGGAACCAACTTATATTTGAATTTGCTTTTTTGCATAGAACCCTTTGTCTCAGAAGGCTCCTCTATGCCAGAGGTCTGGGCATTGTCCAGATTATCCATTTCTACCTTTGTGAACTCAGAATCCTCTTTTAGGGTTTCTAGGTCTACTTTTTTCACAGACTGGCCACCAACAGTACTTGTACTCTGGCATTCTACCACTTCTTTTTCTGAGGCTAGTTTCTCACAGTGGTCAATGATATTAGATGGTGGAGAAGTTTCAGCTGCCTCAGGAGAGCCAGGCTTTTCTGACTCTAGAGTACTCTTTGGAACTTCTTCTGGTATTGGACTCAATCTTTGTGCGTCCTTATCAAGAAAAGTCTTTTTGGACTTCTCTAACTTTTCAAGACATTCTAGGATTGGTGGGCGCTTATCCTTCTTAGTTTTGGGAGACTTCTCTTCACCTTTCATGGTACACGACTCGGTGGAAGATAAAGCAGTTTTTGAAGAGAGATCTTTTGCCATCTCAGAAGAATCAAGAGAAGTTTCCATTTCTGGAGGATCGGGTTCCTCTATTTGTGCTTTTTGACTATGGATCTCTAAGACTGATATTGAACTATCTGCATCTTTCCTCAAAGGGGCTGTTTCTTTCTCAAGCTCACCTGTTTTCATACTTGTTATGACAGAATTTAAGGACTCTGTTCCATTTCCCTCCGTGATGATATTTCTGTCCTTAGAGGGGCTATAGCTCTCTTCCTTTGTCTCATAAAACTTTGTCTCTATTGGTTCTGTCTTAAAATTTGGAGCTACCCTTTCATCACTAACTTCTCCATTTACCAGCTGTTTCCCTTCATGACCCAAAGCAGTGATTGTAGAGATCCTTTTACAAGTCTCTTCCTCTTGTTTTATTTCATCTTTCAAAAACTCTTTTGTTGGAGTAACTGATTTACACAAAGGTCCCTTGACTGGACTGTCAAAATCATCACTCAGTTTAATTTCTCGTTTTTTTAGTGGTATCTTGGCCTGCTGGTCATTTTTAAGTTTCTCAGTTTCTTCAGTAGATTTCTCAGTAATTTCGTGAGAAGATTTAATATTGCCACCAAATTCGATCCTTTCAGGCTCCTGTGCCACTGGCTTCTCCATGCTACTTTTGGTATCTTTAGGATCTGCTCTACATTCCTTCACCTCAACTTTAATGGGTTTGACATTTTCCTTGAAGGAATCACTTTCTTCTTTGATAATCTTTTTTTCTTCATTTTCTGGCAAAGGTTTTTCTAGCTTCACTATGACTGGCAGTTTCACAAGTTCCTTTTCATCTTCTTTTTCTTTTTTCACAGTAGTCTCTTCTAGAACATTGGCTGTAGAACGGTTTTCTAAATCCATAGGCTGCTCCTCACTTTTCATCTTTTCACTTTCTTTCTGTTCCTCTAAAAATCAGAAAAAGCTTAATTACATGAATAGAAACTTTCAAGGCTATAAAATATAAGACTTAGTATAATGTATATTTCCATTTAAAGTTTCTATTTTAAAAGAGGTGGCCTCTGTCATTGGATATTTGACAGTAAAAAATAAAATCTGACAATGAAGAAAATTACAAAAACTTTGAGATACAACTTCTAGATATTAAAAAAAATTTAGAAAAATTTAGGTTTCTGCTTTTTACTTTTTGTTTTGGTGTTCTCAATGGATTGCAAATATTTATGCAGTTCAAATAATTTATTCAAATTCAAGAGATGGCTTAAAAACATAAAATTGAAAATGCT
Source organism: Homo sapiens (assembly GCF_000001405.40). Lineage (NCBI taxonomy): Eukaryota > Metazoa > Chordata > Mammalia > Primates > Hominidae > Homo > Homo sapiens. The sequence continues at coordinate 77,702,832 of NC_000011.10, forward strand.
ACCTAAAACATTTCCAGAAGACTATATTTGTTTTAAAAACTGACAACTGTTAAAAGAACTGAGCACTTCATTTCACTGAGGTACCAGGAACACGGCAGTGGGAAAATGAAAAATATAGAAAGACAAAAAGCCCATATCCTATTACCCAGAGGCAATCACTAGTAATATTTTAGGTTACTTCCTTCTGGTCTTGTATATTTTTCACTAAGTTGGTATCATGTTGCCTCAATTTATTCATTGAAACATTGGCACTTTCTTATGATACTTTTATAAAATGATGCCTTTTATAAAAATTGAGTTTAATAATTATATAACATTCCTCAATGTGATCATATTACAACTTACTTTATCAAATGCCACCACTGAACATTTCAGAAGTTAGTACTATACAAAGAAACTGTTTAGATTTATCTGTCAATTCTTCTTTATACCTTATTGGCTATATATTTTCAACTTTTAAGGAGCACCTAATACTAGTGCAGATTTAAACACAACCAAAGCTATATTCAGTAAATAGCATAATCTCTGAATAGGATTATACAGACTGCATTCCAGAATTCATTGACTACTAATTTTACGTACATTTTTAATCCCTTCACCTTATCCTTGCTACTGAAAAACCTAATTCTAAACAAAGTTTTACTGAGACATAAATTTTTTTCCTAAAATTTTGAAATGATTCTCGTCAAGTTGATAAACCAGTTAGGATATACTTCATGGGAATAATGGGATGGAAAAAAGTGAGAAGATAAAGCAGGATATGTTTTTTGAAATGAAAATTTAACCACCATTTCTTTTATGTACAATGATGTTGCAAATAAAAAAGCCAAGAACCATTTAGAACCATTCAGTGTCTGAGAGTTAAGCAACTGTAATCAGTATTTCTTCCTTCTTTACAAAGTCAGTGCCATAGGGAATGCTGCTAAAATATTTCAAGAGATGAGAGTAAAAAAAAATTTCAAAAATTCAAAATATAAAAGTCCTACAGCATAAATAAGGTAAGAAAAAAACAGAGATGACAGTAATTACCTAAGTTGCATGTTTTCTCTTTCCCACTGATAAAACAGGTTTAATAAATTCTCATTTATTGAGATTAGCTAGTATATCAGGAAATTTAACTAAATGAACACCTTGTTTAACGGTTAAAATACTGATTACTATCTTTAAAAATAACTTCAACTGCCACGTGCAATGGCTCACGCCTTTAATCCCAGCACTTTGGGAGGCCAAGTTGGGTGGATCGCTTGAGCTCAGGAGTTTGAGACCAGCCTGGACAGCATGGTGAAACTCTGTCTCTACAAAAAATACAAAAAGTAGCCGGGGCATGGTGGTGTGTGCTTGTAGTTCCAGCTACTGGGTAGGCTGAGGTGGAAGGATCACTGGAGCCCAGGAGTTCAAGGTTAACCCTGATCCCTGATCATGCCACCACATTCCAGCCTGGATACATTCCAGCCTGGGTGACAGAGTGAGATCCTGTCTCAAAAAATAGAAACAAACAAACAAAACAAAAAAACCTTCAACCCAATACTAAGTGTGGCTAAACACAAGTTAATATTTTTTATCCCTATTCTATGGTTCAGAAAGTATCTAAAGATTTCATCATGACCCTGATCCAACGTAAAATTAAGTTTCTCAGTTTCTTCAGATTTCTCCATGTTTTCATTCGAAGGTAACTGATCTTGGTTTGAGTAACAACATAGCAAAATAAAACAAGAAATGACATTAGGTTCAAGATTCCCAGGTTCACTAACACTAATTTAGCTAGTGATGCATCTTTGGGTGTGTCACAAACTCACTGATCTTTCTTCATCTATAAATAAAGCAGCTGGACTAAATAACCTCAACTATTATTCTTCGCTGGTGTCATATTTCTTTTATTCTAAAAATGTTAAATTCTTTGGTTTTTTGTGTGTTTGCCTTGGTTTTTTTTTTTTTTTTGAGACGAAGTTTCGCTCTTGTTGCCCAGGCTGGAGTGCAATGGCATGATCTCAGCTCACCACAACCTCCGTCTCCTGGGTTCAAGCGATTCTCTTGCCTCAGCCTCCCAGTAGCTGGGATTACAGGCATGCACCACTACGCCCGGCTAATTTTGTATATTTAGTAGAGGCGGGGTTTCTCCATGTTGGTCAGGCGGGTCTCGAACTCCTGACTGCAGGTGATCCGCCCACCTTGGCCTCCCAAAATGCTGGGATTACAGGTGTGAGCCACCATGCCTGGCCGGCTTGGTTCTTTTAAGAGAAAAAAATGACAACAATTAATATTCTAGCTCCTCTAAATTAAATAAATATGTTTCCAAAATAGTGTAGAGGAAGGAAGAACTAGGACAGAATATGAACCTTTAAGCACTATAATAATTAGTAAAAAGGTCAGTTACACAAGCATTTTCCCAAAGTTTGTCAAAAGAAAGTTGTAAAAGAGCACATAAATGAGTTTAAAAGGCATAAAATTTGAAGTGACCAAAGGAAAAATTCACTCCAAAAATTGAAACACAGCATCACATTTCTTCACAAATGAGGTGACTCAAGAGAAGTGGTAGCTACTGTGGGTTTTTAAAGGTGATTCATTCATTTACTCAACAAATATTTATTGATCACTTATTATGTGCTTTCTCCACCACCCCTAGCAGAATCACTCTGTAATGATACATTGAATATTCTATAAAAGTTAACAGTAGAAGACACTGAGTTGCCTGCCGATTATCTATTCTCCTCTTCCTTTTTACAAACAGAACTTATTTTGTTCAGGAAGGCACTTGCCTCCTCAAACACCTTAAAGCTGTGAGTCATGTGATCCAGTTATGACCAATGACATGTATGAGGAAGTCGTGGGTGAGAAGGGAGTCAGCTGACTGGTGCCTTTTGCCCTTTTCCCTTCTTTGGGTCCAGATTCTATACACAATACCTGGAGAAGGAGCTGTGGTCCCAGCTACGTGGGAGGATTGCTTGAGCCCAGGAAGTCAAGGCTGTAGTGAGCTATGACTCACTACATTCTTGTTGGTGCGACAAAGCAAGACCCTGTCTCAAAAAAAAACCAAAAAAACAAAAAAACCCAACAAACCAACAAAAAAACCCACCACACAAATAAAATGTTGGATATACAAGTGTTTTATACTATTTTTTATTTGAACTATTTCATTAAAAATTAAGACTCTCAGCCAGGTGCAGTGGCTTACGCCTGTAATCCCAGCACTTTGGGAGGCTAAGGTGGGCAGATCACAAAGGTCAACACGGTGAAACCCTGTCTCTACTAAAGATACAAAATTAGCAGGGTGGGGTGGTGTGAGCCTGTAGTCCCAGCTACTCGAGAGGCTGAGGCAGGAAAATGGCTTGAACCCGGGAGGCAGAGGCTGCAGTGAGCTGAGATTGCCCCACTGCACTCCAGCCTGGCGACAGAGTGAGACTCTGTCTCCAAAAAAAAAAAAAAAAAAAATTAAGACTCTCAAAGAGTCAGACAAACCTTAACGCTCTTGTGTCACCTCCACCTTGGCCAGCTGTGGGACCTTTAGAAAATTACTTGAAACTTTCTAAGTCTCTTTAGACTCTAAGCTCTTTAAAACTGAAACATAAATATCTATACCTCAAGGAGGAGCTGTGAGGATTTTTTTTTCTTTTTATCTTAGGGGACTTTTTGAAAATGGAGCATGCAAAGTACTTTTACACAGTACTTGGGAGCTATTATTAATTATTTGGCCCCATCTTTTTACCAGAAACTTCAGCCACATCGGAAAATTCAGTTTCCCAAAGCTGCCATCACTTTTTTGTTTTACTCTGTTAACTCTGCCTAGTAAGCAATTGCTATTTTGTACCTTTTAAGATTCCTCACTTTCCTAATTTTTTTTTTTTAACTTTTACTTTAGGTTCAAGGGTACGTACGCAGGTTTGTTATACAGGTAAATTGCGTATCATGAGGGTTTGACATACAGATTATTTTGTCATCCAGGCAATAATAAACATAGTATCTGATATGTAGTTTTTTGATCCTGACCCTCCTCCCACCCTCCACCCACTTTCCTAATTTGTAAAACAACTAAAATAACAGGCACAATCTCCTGGGTTGCCAATGATTGCATACAATACTACATATAAGGCCTTCAGAAGAGTAATACCAGGCAAGCACTCAATGTTTGCCAATATTATTATATTATAGGCAAGATCTTACCTTCCTCAAGCCCAGTTACAATATCACTCCATTTTATAATTTTATCTGATCCTTTCCCTATAAGGAATTAACGGCTCCTTTTCTTGTGTTTGCACATTGCTTTATAGAGACTTCTATAGCAGCACTTACTGCCCAGAATTATAATTATTTATTTACAAATCTATGTATCCTACCAGTCTTATGAACTACTCTGGGGCAGAAATCATGGATTATTCACCTGCAGTAAGACACTCAAACATGTGCTGACTAAATTGAATAACTGAAACGGTAACAAAAGCTAGTCTAAATGTTGGCAAATAACATCAATACTTTTCATGAGGTAGCTTTTACTAACAGGAAGTCTTATGTAGACTGTAAAGCAATATTTAATTAAAAATTCTATGAAGCATATTTCACCAACCTACAAAGTGAGATTTGGGCAAGGACATGATACATTTAACAGATGCTAAGGTATACTGCATTGAAGAAGGATTAATAAATGCATTTACTTAAAAGACCATTTAAAATATAAGCTAAAACTAAAGATCCGAAAACAAAATTAGCCATGGATGTCAACCAACAATGCAGAGGCTGAAATGTTCAAACTCCACTAGTAATCAAAGAAATTAAAATTCAAAAAGCAGTGAGATTTTTAATTTAACCAACCAGCAAAGTTTTTATTTAGTCACAATGTTCAAAGCTTCTAGATATGGCAGAAGGAATTATGCTCATACACTGGTAGTATTAGCATAAATTAGGTAAAACCATTCAATAACTATTCAATAAATATTTACTGAGTGCCTGCTTTACACTTGGAAACCTCATTAAAGAATTTTTCAAAGACAGTGAAACTATCATGTAGCATGCTAAGTGCAAAAAGTAGAAAATAAAACTCATTTTTCATGTAATCCTAATTCACATAAATAAGCCAATAAATCTGTAACCACGCCTAGAATAATGACTAGAAAGAAACAGAACACAATGTTAACAGTATTGTTGCATCTTGATAATAGGATAACAACTAATTTTTATTTTTTGCTTTACACTTTCCCAAGTTTTCTATAGTGAACATGTAATATCTTTTTAACTAGATAAGTAAGAAACCCAGTGTGTTTAATGCAGGGAGTGGAGTGACAGAATCAGATCTGCACTTCAGAAAAGGTACTCTTGGCCAGGCATGTTGGCTCACGCCTGTAATCCCAGCACTTTGGTGGGCCAAAGTGGGCAGATCATTTGAGCCCAGGAGTTTGAGACCAGCCTGGGCAACATAATAAAACCCGTCTCGACCAAATATAGAAAAATTCGTCAGGCATGGTGGTGCACACCTGTAGTTCCCTGTAGTTCCAGCTATACTAGAGGCTGAGGTGGGAGGCTCGCCTGAGCCCAGGGAAGCTGAGCCTGCAGTGAGCCATGACCACGCCAGTGCACTCCAGTCTGGACAACAAAGTGAAACTCTGTCCTCAAAAAATCCCCCAAATCAAAAAAAGCCAGTGATGTCTATTTTAAGCTAAGGCCAATCCTTCCATTAATGCTTTGCATTTCATATCCTCTAGCCCACTCAGAAAGAGTTTTAATCAAAGTTTCATCATCTCACTTGTTTTAATGAGCTCTCACTAGCTGTAGTATTGACAACAGATTCAAGTGAATCAAGACAGAAACAAGAATAAAGGATTATTGCAAGAGAACTAATTATAAAAGCTCTTCAAGGCCATCCCATTTTATTCAGATTCAAAACCAAAATTGTCAATAAAGCACAAGGCCCTGCACAATTGGCATGTCTCTCTCCCCCCTTTCAGAGCCTTACCTGCCTGACCTTTTTCCTCCCCTGTTACAAATAGTCCCCACTCATTCTGCTTCAGCTATATTGCTAACCTTGTTTTTTCTATGAAACAGACCAGCAAACTTTCTATAAAGGGTCACAGTAATATTATTAGCTTCCCAAGCCATGAAGTCTGTCACTACTCAAGTCTACCATTGTAGTGAAAAAGGAGTCATTGACAATCAAATATTAAATGAATAAATAAAATTTGATTAATAAAACAGGTGGCACAGGCCAGATTTGGAAGATAAACCCTGGTCAGTCAATCTTTGCTCTAACATAGTAAGTAAGCAGGGTTGTGCCACCTCAGGGTCCTGACTGTTGTTGTCAGCATAAAAATCCTTTTTCTCTGGTATTTGCATGGCTTGCTCTCTCAGATCCTTTAGGACTCTACTCAAGTACCAACTCTTCCATGAGTCATTTTCTAGCAACTCAATCTAAAATCATGCCCCACTCTCTTCCCCAAATTATTTTCCTTCCACACCTCCTTACCACCATCTATACTATATATTTTATTTACTAATCTTGTTTATTGTTTGATAATTATGACATGTAACCTCCATCATGGGAAAAATTTGACTGCTTTTGTTCACGGCTACATTCACAATACTGAAGATAGTGCATGACAAACTGCATATACTCAATAAATATTTGTTGACTGAAATGAGTGAAATATGACAGGTGAAATATCACCTGTGTCTAAGAGTATATGTCAACAACTGAAGTTTTGTTTGCCAAAGAAACTTTCACGATTTTGAAAATGTCAACAGACTTAACAGTTTCCAAAATGGGTTCAAATACTGAAATTATCATTTGATACTATCAAGATGCACATAATGGAAAATTTTATGCAAGCTGCCTGCACCATTTTGCTGTATGATAAAGGGATCTGAATTTGTGCCAATTCTTTTTTTTTTAAATGTTTTTTTATTTTTAGAGACAATGTCTTGCTCTGTCACCCAGGCTAGAGTGCACTGGTATGATCATACCTCACTATAACCTCAAACTTCTGAGCTCAAGCAACCCTCCTGCCTAAGCCTCCTGAGTAACTGGGACTATAAGCAAGAGTCATCACGCCAGGCTAATCCCAAAGTGCTGGGATTACAGGCATGAGCCACTGCACCTGACCAGTGACAATTCTTTTATAACTTACTTTAAAATTTCATGGTACTTACTTGACAAAGGTATCAAGAATTTTTTAATGATTAAGTATAGCAAAGAAAACCACACAAAACAAATGCATAGCTTAATACAGTAGAAGGCAAAAATGAAAAAGAAATTTAGCAGCTACCCCAAGAGAGCTATACATGCCTTTTCTAATAATAATTCTCTTCTTTACCAAAAATAACTATTAATCTCACTTTTTTAAATTAAAAAAAAATTGTTGACAAGTAAAAATTGTATATATGGCACACAAAATGATGTTTTGAAATATAAATACAGTGTAGAATGGCTAGATCAAGCTAGTTAACATATGTATTACCTCACAATATAATTTTTTTTTTGTAGTGAAAACACTTAAAATCTATTTGGCAATTTTAGGCATACGGTGTTATTAACTAGTCACCACATAGTACATATCTCTTGAACTTATTCCTTATTTTGTTGATAGTTTAGTTTTACAAGTTTATTTTCTTTTTAAGGACACGTTAATGTTATCCCCTCTATCCCTTATTTTTCTTGCAATTTATTTGTTCAGGACACCAAATCCACTGTCCTACAGTTTCCAGATACTGTAGACTACATTCCCATGTTCCTCTGTTCTTTGTTTATCCTGTGAATCATCACTTCAACATATTCAGGTTCAATTTCTGTGGCAAAACTACTTCTCTGGTGTTGAGGAGTTCTTTATTAAGAGACATATGATACCTGGTTATTTCTCTTTTTATTAGCAGATGTTGATACTCAATATAAAAACTTTTAATTTATTAGCAATTTCAGAATGCTGACATTCCCATTCTATCATTCATTCATCTGTGACTAGTTGGAATACTTTTATAAAAACAAAAGTACTTTACTCATTTACTATCTTATTATATAGTGGTAAAGTTCATATACAAAAGGAAGGATACGTATTTGACTCTTTGAGTCATTTTAACATGGCTTTGATAACTTCCTTACTACCTGGAGTGACAAGATGATTCCTAGCTTATCATGCTGCAGAACTGAAATCAACCATTTTTCTGATTTTTTTAATTGGTTTAGTTTTGTGGGAAGTTGTATTTCAAGACCACGATCTGGGCATTGAGGATGCTCACAGGTACTGGGTTTACCAATGTCTCTAAGCCTTTTCAGTAAACAGGGTTAGGAAACACACACATAGACACCCCCCCTGACCCCCACACATTTTTAACTTAAAAAAAAAAAAAAAAAGATAAAACTCATGAGTTCATTCTGATAGTTCATGTTTTCTTAACCTTTTCTAGCTTACCTATTATTTGCATTTCCCACACTGAAAATCTTGGTTTTCAAGGACACAGATAATACAATTAAGATATCATACTATTTTGTCTCAAATTATATACAAAACATTTTCAGAATAACAATACTGATACCATTACCAATGTCATTAAAGAAAAGTTTAAAAAGTTTGTGTATGTGGCCAGGTGCAGTGGCTCACGCCTGTAATCCCAGCACTGTGGAGGCCGAGGCGAGCGGATCACAAGGTCAGGAGTTTGAGACCAGCCTGGCCAACATGGTGAAACACCATCTGTACTAAAAATACAAAAAAATTAGCCGGGCGTGGTTGCAGGTGCCTGTAATCCCAGCTACTCAGGAGACTGAGGGCAGGAGAATTGCTTGCATCTGGGAGGTAGAGGTTGCAGTGAGCCCAGATCGAGCCATTGCACTCCAGCCCGGCAAGAAGAGCGAAAGTCCGTCTCAAAAACAAACAAACAAACAAACAAACTTAAAGTGCACTCTCACCCTACTTTCCCTAATGTTAAGAACTTACGTAACTAGAGTACAATTACCAAAACAGAAAATTAACATTGGTAAAATACTATTAAACAGATTTTATTCAAATTTCACCAGTTTTCCTTCAATGTCCTTTTTTATTCCAGGATCCATGTCTCAGTGTATTCTTTTTTTCCTTGGTCTCCTCCAACCCTTAGTCTCCTCCATTCCTCATTCTTTCTTTGTCTCTTCTGACCCTGACACAGTTATTCTGTAGAATACCTCTTAATTTGGGCTTGTTTGGTGTTTTCTCTAGATTAGATTGAGGTTATACAATCTAATGTGGAATTTTTTGACAATACTTCCACAAAAGTTACGTTGTGCTTTGTATAAAGAGTTACATGATGTCAATATACCTGATATGGTTTGGCTGTGTCCCCACCCAAATCTCACCTTGAATTGTAATAATCCCTATGTGTCTAGGGCAGGGCCAGGTGGAGATAACTGAATCACGGGGGTGGTTCCCCCATACTGTTCTCGTGTAGTGAATAAGTCTCAGGAGATGTGATGGTTTTATAAATGGGAGTTCCCCTGCACAAGCTCTCTTGCCTCCCGCCAAGACATGCCTTTGCTTCTCCTTTGCCTTCCACCATGATTATGAGGTCTCCCCAGCCATGCAGAACTGTGAGTCCATTAAACTTCTTTCCTTTATAAATTACCCAGTCTCAGGTGTCTCAGGTATATCTTTATTAGCAGCATGAGAACAGACTAATACAACACCTTACTGGTGAGGTTAACTATTTGATTAAGGTGATGTCAACTGGTTATTTCACCGTAAAATTACCATTTTCACCTTTGTAACAGATAAATATCCTGGGGGAGATACTTTGAAATTATGCTAATATCCTGCTTCTAAACAAACTTTCACCCACTAATTTTAGTATCTATCAGGGATCTTGCTTGCAACAATTATTACTGTAGCATTTTCTTAATGGTGATTTTCTACTTCCCTCATTACATCTACATGTTTTAACTTATGTTCACTTGCAGGGAAAAGCTGCCCCTTCACCTTTATTTATTTATTCAAATTGTACTTACATAAGTCTGAACTCATAGATATTATTCTATGGATTAAAATCTATCTTTATATATTTTGTTACTAAAACTCTTACTGCTTTCAATATTGGGAAACTCCTTCCACTGGCACCTATGTCCTAATGATACGCCCAAATCCCTTTTTGAGCACATCCTTATTTTCCTGCATTACCAGATGTTTCAGGCTCATCTTGTGTTTTCCCTGCCTGTTCTTGAGATCAATCTCTTCTCTAAGGAGCTCTGGTTCCTCTTACAGGAGAATGACATTTTGAAATCAAAATCTGGAGGCTGTGTTCATTGTTACTGGGGTGTCACTGCTCTTAGATTCCTCTCATAAACACATATATGCAGGTATACTAACTCATACATATGATTAAACTTTTATTTATTTATCACCTACTACTGATGTTTTGTCAGTCATTTTGGCTATCTAAAGCTCATTCACGAGAAGATTCCTATACAAAACACTCACGGGAAAAGAGATTATAGATATTGGTAACAGCTTATCTGCAGTCTATCTGAAAGTCACATTGGCTGGACATAAAGTCCCTGGCTGACATTTTCTCCCCCCGAGAGTCTCTCAAATACATTATGGCATTTTCTTCTGGAATAAAGCACTGATGTCAAAAAGAGTGAAGGCAGTCTGATTTTCCTTCCCTTGTAAGTCATTTGGTCTTTTTGTCTGGATACGCAAGGTATTTCTTTCTTCAAAGCCCTGTAATTTTACTAGAAAATGTCTTGATGTTGAATGGTCTGCACTGAGTTTCCAACTACTTCAGGAAAGTGTTTTCCAACACAGTCTTTAGTTATTTATCTGTCCCCTTGCTTTTTCTTTTTTGTGGACACCTATCTCTTGGATCTTCTTTGCCTATTTTCAGTATAGCATTTTCTCTCAAATCCTTATATCCTATGTTTCTTTTGTTTTTTACAAATACCCTGTTTTCTAATTTTCTATTTTGTAAAGGCATTAATTCTTATGTTTGTTGACTCAGATGTTTATCTTAATCTTTTTAAAATTTTAACTCTTCTGAGTCCTACCACTTATTATAGTGCTCATGTTTGATGGGCATGTCTTTCTGAGAAGCTTTCACTGTCCGTAGGGATGTTATTCTGCTTCTTGTTCTCTCTTGTTCTTATAATCCCAGGAGATTTGAACTTGCTCCCTTTTAGTTGTCTGGTTTTATGTACAAGTAGATTTCCTAAACTTTTAGAAAAAAGTCATTTTTATGATAGTTTTGCCAATTTCATAACTTTAGAGCTCCCGTTATTTTTGTGAAATACTCAAATTAAAGCAATGTACTTTATGAGATCACCTAACTCTATTCTTCTCCCATAAATTTATTTGAACCTTCTTTTTGTTTGTCCTGTTGTCCCTGTCCTACTTAATTTGGAGCCTATGCCCAGCAGTTTCACATCAGCGTGGAGCTTAATCCTGGAAAGGCTTTGGGTGGTGAGGATTGAGAATTCATGAGGCCCATAGTACCTGAGAATCTTTAAGACCTTTGTTGTAGATTTTGTCTATACGTTTTTGTTGTTACCATCAATATGTTCCTTTTATGGGGGAATTGGTAGAGACTCAAAATCCACACCACTATTACTTTCCAAAATTCATGAATGATAAATTTTCCCCTTCTAATTCAAACCACAACAAACTCAGAGCAAACCAATTTCAACAGTTCCTCCAATCATGAAAGATTTCTTCTGTTTCTTTCTCCTTTTCTTCCTTGCTTCCTTCCTTCCCTCCTTCTCCAATAAGGAAAAATCTTTCACATAAGAAGCACTAGAGGCCAGGCGTGGTGACTCACACCTGTAATCCCACTTTGGGAGGCCGAGACAGGCAGATCACTTGAGCGCAGGAGTTTGAGACCAGCCTGGGCAACATGGTGAAACCTTGTCTCTACAGAAAATACAAAAATTAGCTAAGCGCAGTGGCGCATGCCTGTAGTTCCAGCTACTCAAGAGGCTGGGGTAGGAGGACTGATTGAGCCCTAGAGGTGAAAGCTGCAGTGAGCCATGTTTGAGCCACTCAACTCTAGCCTGGAGACAGAGCATAAACCTTGTCTTTAAAAAAAAAAAAGGCTTACTCCTGTAATCCCACTGCTTTAGAAGGTTGAGGTGGGAGGATTCCTTGAGGCCAGGAGTCTAAGACTGGGCAACATAGCAAGACCTCATCTCTACAAAAACAATTTTTTTTTAATTAGCTGGACATGGTGGCACATGCCTGTAGTCTGAGTTACTCAGGAAACTCAGGTAGGAGGATTGCTGGAGCCCAGGTGTTCAAGGTTACAGTGATTTATGATCATGACACTGTATTCTATCCTGGGCAATTGAGCAAGACCTTATCTCTTAAAAAAAGTTCTTAAATTATTGGGAATGATAGAGGAGTTAAAAAATTATTTAAGTTCTTTAAAAAAAAGCAGCAGCACTATAGTCTGTATCCTATTGTTTATGGCAAAAAAATACAAGAAAGAAATGCAAACGTCAATGTATTTCCTGTCAATTTTTTCTACTTAACTCAAACATGATGTAAAAGACAGATGGTGATAATAAAGAGTATCTTTTCTTTTATTCCTATAAAAGGAAACTATTTTAGATATCATAATGTTGTAACAATAACATCTGTATTTATTAGTCTCCCTATACTTGTTTAAAGTAAAACAATGTTTTATTTTATTTATTTATTTTTTTGAGAGGGAGTTGCACTCTGTCGCCCAGGCTGGAGTGCAGTAGCGCAATCTTGGCTCACTGCAACCTCCATCTCCCAGGTTCAAGCGATTCTCCTGCCTTGGCTTCCCAAGTAGCTGGGATTACAGGCTCATGCCATCACACCCAGCTAATTTTTGTAATTTTAGTAGAGACGGGGTTTCACAATGTTGGCCAAGCTGGTCTTAAACTCCTGACTTCAAGTGATCCTCCCGCCTCAGCCTCCCAAAGTGTTGGGATTACAGGCGTGAGCCACCACACCCTGCCAAAACAATGTCTTATATAATAAAAATAGTAGTTTTTTTTCCTTTTTTGAGACAGGGTTTCACTCTGTCGCACAGGCTGGAGTATGGTGGTGTGAGCACGGCTCACTGCAGCCTCAACATGCTGGGCTCAAGCCTGCATCAGCCTCCCCAGTAGCTGGGACCAAAGGCGTGCAACACCATGCTTGGCTAGTGCATTATTATACATTCAGTACATAAACTTTTTGATCCCCATCCATAAGTTTCTAGAAATTGCCCACAAGTATCAAAAAATGTTCAATCTTACTACTCATCAGGAAAATGTAAACTAAAACCACAATGAGTTATCACCTAACGCCTGTTAGGGTGGTTATTATCAAAGACAAGACAACAGGTGTAGGCAAAAATGAGGAAAAAAAAAAAGAAAGAGAATCCCTGTACACTGTTGTTGAGAATGTGAAGTAGTACAGCCATATAGGAAACAGTATGGACGTTCCTCAAAAAATTAAAAATATTAAGTACTATAGGATTCAGTAATCCCACTACGGGGTATATCCAAAGAAAATGAAACCAGTTTGTTAACAAGATATCTGCACTCCCATGTTCCCTCCAGCATTAATCACAATAGGCAAGATATGGAATCAACCTAAGTGTCCATTAACAGATAGAAGGATAAAGAAAATATGATCTATATACATGATGGAATATTATTCAACATTAACAACGAAAGAAATCCTGTCATTTGTGACAACATGGATAAACCTGGAAGATACTATGCTAAGTGAAATAAGTCAGGAACAGAAACAAATACCCCATGATCTCACTTACATGTGGAATCTTAGAGTTGAACTCACAGAAGCAGAGTAGAATAGTGGTTATGAGGGACTGAAGGTGTGGGGAGATGCTGGTCAAAAGATAAAAACTTTCAGTTACGAAGAGTAAGTTCAAGAGATCTACTACTGTACAACATGGTGACTACAGTTACAACAACGTACTGTATACCTGAAAATTGCTAGGACAGGAGACTTTAAGTGCTCTCATCACAAAAAAGATAAGTCTGTGAGTCAATGCATATGGTAATTAGTTTTAGACATTCCACAATATGGAATTAGTTTTAGACATTTCACCATAAATATATACAACTTTTCTTTGTCAATTAAAAAATTTAAACCCAGCCAGGCATGCTGGCTCATGCCTATAATCCTTGCACTTTGGGAGGCCGAGACGGGTGGATCACTTGAGCTCAGGAGTTCAAGACCAGCCTGGGCAACACAGTGAAACCCTATCTCTACAGAAAAGGCAAAAATGAGCTAGGCATGGTGGCTTGTGCCTGTAGGCCCAGCTACTTGGGGGTCTGAGGCGGAAGGATCACTTGAGCCCAGGAGGTGGGGGTTGCAGTGAGCCAAGATCGCACCACTGTACCCCAGCATGGGCAAAAAAAAAACAAAAACCAAAAACCAAAAAAAAAAAAAAACACCTTGCAATCTAGAATAAAAAAATAATATAAATACAGGATAAGGGTGTCACCCTTGGGGCCTCCTGAATACAGTGAGAATCCTGGAACTTTGGTCCACAGAGTTGATAGAAGAGATATTGGCTTCCATGGAACATGAGGCTTTTGAGTGGTTCCTGGACCCTCTCAACATAAATCCCATCTGCTTGTTTCTCCAGTTGTCACCTGGGAGAAAACAGCTTCTGGATGGCCATAAGAACTGTTGCAAAGACTATTCCTAAGGCTAGATGTTGCTCCTGTTGGCAAGCTATGATCCCTGTCCTAGATCGATCTCCGTATACTGATGCCAAGTGTTGTCTGTAGTAGTTTTGCGAATCTGAATACTGAAACCTAAGAAGGATCCCGACAGGGACTAAAGATATAAAACTGCAATGTATGGAAAAATACTGTGTTGTGTAGCTCATTTATTAATGAACACATTGACTCATGTATGGGAGCTTATCCAATTCACAAGTTTACCATGACAATGCCATGTTCCACTTTTAATTTTTTTAATACAAAAAAGTCCCTAGATAACGATACAGGGAAGTAAGTTCTTTTATCTCCAGTCATATTAAAATTCTCATCAAAGTTACAAAGAAATCATTATGAGTAACATCATAAATATCTGTGCTTTCATCAGGTACAATAGAAAATATAAAAAATAATTTAACATCTTGTCTCACTTATTACCAGTAATCTATTCACTACGAGCAAGAGTATTTCCAATTGTCCTTACATATGCAAATGCTCATTCTAGTTTGATACACTTTTTTGCTGCACTCAAACTCAAAATGAAAAGAAAGTTTTGGCCGGGCATGGTGGCTCACACCTGTAATCCCAGCACTTTGGGAGGCCAACGTGGGCAGATCACCTGAGGTCGGGAGTGCAAGACCAGTCTGACCAACATGGAGAAACCCCGTCTCTACTAAAAATACAAAATTAGCTGGGCCTGGTGGCACACGCCTGTAATCTCAACTACTCGGGAGGCTGAGGCAGGAGAATCGGTTGAACCCAAGAGGTGGAGGTTGCGGTGAGCCTAGATCGCGCCATTGTGCTCCAGCCTGGGCAATAAGAGTAAAACTCCGTCTCAGAAAAAAAAGAAAAAAAAACAGTTTTGATACACGTAATAGTTTTCTCTTAAGAATATATAGCTGCACATCTCAGCATTCAAAAATGAATCTCCTTAAAATATCAGTCCTCCCCCTCCCAATTTCTTCCTCAGGTACCTTTTACGTTAACCATCATAGTTTTTACAATGGATAGTTTCATAGTATTACATGTTACAGACTGAATTGTGTCCCCCACAAATTCATATATTGAAGCCCTAATCCCCAATGCGACTGTATTTAGAGACAGAGCCTTTGGTGAGGTAATTATGGTTAAAGAATTCTCACAAGAGTGGGGGACTTTAACATTACAGGAATGGTGCTCTTATAAGATCAGAGGAACAGAAAACAGATAGCTTTTTCTCCACACACACAGAGAAGAGAGTCATTTGCAAGCCAGGAAAAGAGCCCTCATCAGAAATCAAATTTGCTACTTTTAACTCCAGAACTGAGAAAATAAGTTTCTGTTGTTTTAAGCCATCCAGTCTGTGGTATTTTGTTATGAATAGCCTGAACAGACTAATAGACTACGTTAAGTTATATTATTTTGCCACATAGAACTTAAGCTTTATATCTGACATCACATTAATAATGATCAAAGGAAAATCATCAGTAAGTTAATCTACCTACTATAACTATACTGGGCTGGGTGCAGTGGCTCACGCCTATAATCTTAACATGTTGGGAGATGGGGGGGAGGATTGCCTGAGGCCAGGAGTTTGAGACCAGATGGGGCAACATAGTGAGACCCTGTCTCTACAAAAAATTAAAAAAGTAGCCAGGCATGGTAGCATGTGCCTGTAGTCCCAGCGAGGCAGGAGGATCCCTTGAGCCCAGGAAATGGAGGTTACAGTGAGTTGTGATTGTGGCACTAGATTCCAGCCTGGGGAGTAAGAGCAAGACCTTGACTCTAAAAATAAATAAATACAAAAACCAACTATACTGACATACTTCACTTCAACAATTAGCAACTCTCTCCTTTTTCTGAAATAATTCTTGGTCTTTGTTATTCCAAAATTGATAAAGACATGAATACAATAAATATCTTATTTTCATGTTAACTACACTGTAAGAAAAAAATATAAGTCCAAGCACCTGAGACTAAGCCCGATTTTAGAGGACAAAAGAAAGGAGTATGGCAAAATGGAGTGTAAATCTCACGTAAATAGAAACAACCATTACTCAGCTACAGAGTATTTTTGACATATAAAAATGATGATCCAAAGTTGACAACTTTTCTAATTTTCAATTTTAGATGTCGACAGCAACTTCATTTAAAAAATCAGTCATATGAAAACATATGTTCCCTCAAAAATTTGTATATTAACATTCACCGCTGCATTATCTATACCAAAAGGTGGAAAAATCCAAATGTCCATCAAGTGAACAGATAAATAAAATGTGGTATATCAATACAAATAAATATTATTCATGTGTAAAAAGGAATGAAGTACTGATACATGCTACAACATGGATGTTGTAATATTTAGCATATGTTTTTAACATTATGTTAGTGTAATGTTAAAAAAATTACGCTAGATGAAAATGTCAGACACAGATGGCCACATGCTGTATGATTCTATTTTTATGAAATGCTACAAAGAGACAAATCCATAAAGACAAAGTAGATTAATGGTTTACAGGGGATGAGGGTAGGGAGAAATGGCAAGTAACTTCTAAGTGGGTACAGAGTTTCTTTGTGGGGTGCTAGAAATGTTCTAGAATTAGTGGTTATGGTTGCACAATGCTGTGAATATACTAAAATCACTAAAATGGTGAATTTTATCTTAGCTTTTTAAAAACAAAGCAGCACTGTAGAAACCAAAATAAACACGTTTTTGGGCCAAATTAGGTCTGTGAGCTGCCAGTCTGTAAATTCTGTTCTTTATATGAAATTCTCAAGTGATATCTTATCTGATCACCTGTAGGCAGAAGTGCATGACTGTAAAAATTTAAAAAAGGACAGTCTTCTTTCAATTAGTAGAATTAAAAACTAAATGTTAGTTGGGCTTCCCTCAGCTTTTTCCCCAGAAAAGTTTCTTTTTAACTTTTTGGTCCCTTCTAAATTAGAATACAGTATCCAATGTAGAGAGAAAATATATATTAAATTCCATGGTGTTTTATATGCACGATACCTTCCAGGTAGTATTATCACCTAAATTAAGACAATGGATCTTAAACTCCCATAAAAGGGTATAAATGACACCAAACACTTACTTGGAAATCTACCACAGTCTGAGAATAACAACTCAAAAAGTATTTGAGCGTTTCAAGCCTGATGCCACGACTAGCCCTAATATAAGTGGGATACAAATAGTATAAATAAAGTTTCAGATGTTCCTTGAAGTATAATCAGACTTTCATGGGAGTTGGGGAGACAACATCTGAGGGAGAGAAACAGCATGCAGACACAGAAGGGAATGCCCAAGACATATGGAGAAAACAAAAGCATCTAGATGATCTGGAACCAGTACTCATGTAAGAAAAAGCAGGAGCTATTGCTAGAAAGAGAGACCAGACTGAGATTCTGAATGTTAGTCTAGCAAATTTAGACTTTCAGAAGGCAATTCGAATTGTCTTTGAAACAAAGTCAACTTAATTATTTAGTTGGTGTCACCATTTTCTAGGCCACTTATTGCCATTTTCCATTTTTTTGCCCACTTTTACAGTTAATACGTTTCTCCTTAACACCTATACAAAAATAAAAACTTATCTTACTGAGTTAAGATACAAGGCATGGCAATTTAACTAATGACTAAAGAAAAATCTATTTTAGCTACAAGAATAAGAGTGGTTGTTATTCCCTCTCCAGTGCCTATTTATTTTTATTTCTTGCTGCCCAATTTGCAAATATCTAACCATGCTTAATTTTTAACTTTTGTCACATTTTGCTTCAACACTCTATGTTAGACATTCCCCAGGACTGTTTCCAGCTTTTGACATACTCCTTCCCACCTGGCCCTGATCCCCCAACACAGCCCAAGGGTAATGTTTGTTTACATCCGAAAGGAATAAAAATGACAGAACAGAATCATATTTATTTGGTCTTGCCATGGAATAGACTACAAGAACTACATCTGAGAGGACAAGGGTGAGAGACAGGGTTTTTGGGGGCTGAAATTATATGTAAGTGCAGCATTAAAAGGGCACAGGGACTCTGGAGACAGATTGCCTAGTTTTGAATATTAGGTCTGCCATTAACAAGCTATGTGACCTTGGGAAAATTACCGAAATCACTCTTTATCTAATTTCCCTCATCTGAAAAAAGGGAAGTAATAATATTACACTACTAAACAGGGTTTGTTGTGAAAATGATCTGACAATATAGGCAAAAGCATTTAGAACAGTATTGGCACATGGTAAATGGTTTATGTGTTACTGTTTTATCTACTATAGTGTAAGCTTTACAAAAGCAAGGATTTTAGTCCTTCTTTATTAAACTATATGCCTAAAATCATGCTTAGCACAGAGAAGGTGCACAGTAAGTATTCACTGAATGAATGAATGAATGAATAAGAAACATTTTGTTGTTAGAGAAAGAGAAGCAGAAAAGCAAAAGAGAAGGTAGGCTGTGCGCAGTTGCTCACATCTGTAATCCCAGAACTTCGGAGGGCTGAGGCAAGAGGATTGCTTGAAGTCAGGAGTTCGAGACCAGCCTGGGCAACAAAGTGAGACCATGTCTTTACAAAATTAAAAATTAAAAAACATTAGCCAGGCATGGTGGCGCACACCTGTAGTCCCAGCCACTCAGGAGGCTGAGGCAGGAGGATCACTTGAGCCCAGGAGTTCCAGATTGCAGCATACTATGATTGCACTACTGCACTCCAGCCCGGGTGACAGAGTGAGACTGTCTCTAAAATAAAAATAGAAGACAGAAAAACAAAGAGAATGAAATGTCCTGCTCCTCCTCTTCTACTTTTTCAAGGATGCCATCCCTCACAGACCATTTTCTCTTAGTTGTGTTGAGAGGTATAACATCAGCATTCATTGAGAAATGTTTTCAGAAACAGGTGTATAACGGCCTTTGGTGTATTTGTTT